>NC_000017.11:19582020-19885050 GCF_000001405.40 Homo sapiens | reverse complement strand
ATCTCTACTAAAAATACAAAAAATTAGCCAGGTGAGGTGGCAGGTGCCTGTAGTCCCAGCTACTCGGGAGGCTGAGGCAGGAGAATGGCGTGAACCTGGGAGACAGAGCTTGCAGCGAGCAGAGATTGTGCCACTGCACTCCAGCCTGGGCGACAGAGCAAGACTCTGTCTCAAAAAAAAAAAAAAGAAATCCTCAAAGTAATTTAATTAATAATGTGTGCTACATCTTCAATGAGTTGATAGGAAACTTTATGTCATGTGTTATTTGGTTTATTCAAAAAATAAAATGTTAAATTTTATATGTTAGTATATAATATTGTTAAAAGTTGCCTATACTGTTTATATTAAATATTGTTAAATATGTTTAACACCCCAAATACAAGAAAGATTTGGTTCCTGTTCTCAGTAGCCCCTCAAGGATGAATACTGTTTCAGTAATCTACTGCTGTTTTGCAAAACTTAGTCACTTAAACCAAAAAACTTTTTTTTTTTTTGAGATGGCATCTTGCTCTGTCACCCAGGCTGGAGTGCAATGGTGTGATATCGGCCCACTGCAACCTCCGCCTCCCGGGTTCAAGCAATTCTCCTGCCTCAGCCTCCCAAGTAGCTGGGATTACAGACACCCACCATCATACCCAGCTAATTTTTGTATTTTTGTAGAGACAAGGTTTCACCATGTTGGCCAGGCTGGTCTTGAACTCCTGACCTCAGATGATCCTCCGCCTCAGCCTCCCAAAGTGCTGGGATTACAGGTGTGAGCCGCCGTGCCTGGCCAACATTTTTAAAAAACTGTTCGTAGGCTAGGCATGATGGCTCATGCCTGTAATCCCAGCACTTTCAGAGGCCAAGGTGGGAGGATTATTTGATCCCAGGAGTTTGAGACCAGCCTGGGCAATCAAACAAGACCCTATCTCTTAAGAAGTAATTAACTAATTAATTAATTAAGGGTTCACAATTGAGTAGGTCAGGAATTCTGGTAGGGCCATCAGGGATGGTTCATCTCTGCCCCACATGGTTTTGCCTGTGGTGACTCAACTGGGGCTGTAGGATCTGGGTCACTGGAGCTGGCCAACAGTGCTGGGTCTCTTTGTATAGGATGAGCTGGATTCACTCATTTTTCTGGAAACCAAGTTCCCCCGTCACAGACCCCCTCCTCCTCCCATCCCGCCACTGTACTCCAAAAGGTAACACTATCGCAACCTCTAGATTTAGTTTTGTCTGGTTTGTATCTGGTTTCTTTCACTCCACGTCATGCATGTGAGAGTCATCCGTAGAGGGCTTGTGGTCCTTCACTCATTCTCATTGCTATTCAGTATCACATGGTACGCATAAACCACGACTGCCAAGTTTATGTCTCCTGCAAATAGTGCTGTTACAAACACTCTAGGTTGTGAATTTGGGTGAACATTTGTCGACATTTCTGTTTGTATACCTAGCTATGGAACTGATGGATCATAGGCAATGCATGTACTCAACATTGACAGATACTAATGAAGTGTTTTCCAAAGAGTTTGTACTGTTAACTTTTTTTTTTTTTTTTTTTTTGAGACGGAGTCTCGCTCTTTCTCCCAGGTCGGACTGCAGTGGCGCTATCTGGGCTCACTGCAAGCTCCGCCTCGTGGTTTCACGCCATTCTCCTGCCTCAGCCTCCGAGTACCTGGGACTATAGGCGCCCGCCACCGCGCCCGGCTTTTTTTTTTTTTTTTTTTTTTTTTTTTTTTGAGACGGAGTCTCACTCTGTCGCCCAGGCTGGAGTGCAGTGGCGCGGTCTCGGCTCACTGCCAGCTCCGCCTCCCGGGTTCACGCCATTCTCCTGCCTCAGCCTCTCGAGTAGCTGGGACTACAGGCGCCCGCCACCACGCCCAGCTAATTTTTTGTATTTTTAGTAGAGACGAGGATTCACCGTGTTAGCCAGGATTGTCTCGATCTCTTGACCTCGTGATCCGCCCGCCTCGGCCTCCCACAGTGCTGGGATTACAGGCGTGAGCCATCACGCCCGGCCTTGTGCTGTTAACTGTTTAAAAACTGCAATGTATAAACTTAGAAAAAGGGAAGAGACTTGATTTTTTTTTCTTTTTTTTTTTTTTTGAGTCGGAGTCTCACTCTGTTGCCCAGGCTGGAGTGCAGTGGCGCGATCTTGGCTCACTGCAAGCTCCGCCTCCCGGGTTCACGCCATTCTCCTGCCTCAGCCTCCCGAGTAGCTGGGACTACAGGCGCCCGCCACTACGCCCGGCTACTTTTTTTGTATTTTTTTAGTAGAGACAGGGTTAGCCAGGATGGACTCGATCTCCTGACCTCGTGATCCACCTGCCTCGGCCTCCCAAAGTGCTGGGATTACAGGCGTGAGCAACCGCGCCCGGCCGAGACTTGATTCTTTATAAAAGGGTTACAGCCCCCAAGGTGACCATCCCACAGGCTGGAAAGCGTGCCTCTGACCAAGACTAGAGATAGGCACTTCAGAGGAGGAGGGGTTAGGGTAGGAAGTTATGCTGGACATGTTGGCTAAGCATACATATTCAACATGTTATAGGAGGAGCTATGCTATGAATATTCATGAAGGCAGTCCTGATGTGTATTGAGCAAACATACATGTAACATATAACCCATGTTCACTTCTGGGTAGAGATTTAACATTTAAATGTATTACGGTTAGGCCCTATATGTCAAAAGATCTTTTCAGGACCCGAAGTCATGAAAATACGAAACCTCTGTAAACCCACAAGAGCCAGTCCATAATCAGTGGTCTTTTTTTTTTTTTGAGATGGAGTCTCACTCTGCCGCCTAGGCTGGAATGCAGTGGCGCTATCCCTGCTCACTGCAATCTCCACCTCCCGGGTTCAAGCGATACTGCTGCCTCAGCCTCCTGAGTAGCTGCGATTACAGGTGCTTGCCACCACGCCCGGCTAATTTTTGTATTTTTTAATTTTATTTTTTGTTTTTTTGTATTTTTTGTTTTTAGACGGAGTCTTGCTCTGTCACCCAGGCTAGAGTGCAGTGGTGCGATCTTGGCTCACTGCAAGCTCTGCCTCCGGGGTTCACGCCATTCTCCTGCCTCAGCCTCCTGAGTAGTGGGGACTACAGGCACCTGCCACCACGCCTGGCTAATTTTTTTTTTTTTTGTATTTTTAGTAGAGACGGGGTTTCACCGTGTTAGCCAGGATGGTCTCGATCTCCTGACCTCATGATCCGCCAATTTTTGTATTTTTTTAGTAGAGACAGGGTTTTACCATATTGATCAGGCTGGTCTCGAACTCCTGACCTCAAGTGATCCGCCCACCTTGGCCTCCCAAATGTGGACTTCTTATCCGGAGAAAGTTACTTAAATCAGTTTCTTGACCAATCAAAGCTGTAGCTATGGCTAGCGGAGCAAGGGTTCAGTTAGTCAGCATCTGTGAGCTGGATGAGTTGTCACTGTTTTAACATTGCTTATTTGAGGCCACAGCTTGTTTAGTTGCCAGAGTTGCTCTCAGCATTTTGGGAAGCTGAGATGGCAGGATCACTTGAGCCCAGTAGCTCAAGGATGCAATAAGCTATGATCGCGTCAGTGTACTTCAGCCTGGGTGACAGAGCAAGACCCTGTCTCTAAAAAAATTTTTTTTTTTAGTTGGAGTTTTGCTCTTGTTGCCCAGGCTGGAGTGCAATGGCATGATCTCGGCTCACTACAACCTCCGCCTCCTAGGTTCAAGCAGTTCTCCTGCCTCAGCCTCCCAAGTAGCTGGGATTTCAGGCACCTGCCACCATACCTAGCTAATTTTTTTTTGTTTGTTTTTTGAGACAGAGTCTTACACTGTTGCCCAAGCTGGAGTGCAGTGGCACGATCTCAGCTCACTGCAAGCTCCGCCTCCTGGGTTCCAATGATTCTCCTGCCTCAGCTTCCCGAGTATCTGGGATTACAGGCACCCGCCACCATGGCCAGCCAATTTTTGTATTTTTAGTAGAGACAGGGTTTCACCATATTGGTCAGGCTGGTCTGGAACTCCTGACCTTATGTGATCCAACTGCCTCGCTCTCCCAAAGTGCTGGGATTACAGACGTGAGCCACCGCGCCTGGCCAAAATTTTTTTTTTTTCCGAGATGGAGTTTTGCTCTTATTGTCCAGGCTGGACAATCTTGGCTCACTGCAACCTCCACCTCCCAGGTTCAAGAGATTCTTCTGCCTCAGCCTCCCAAGTAGCTGGTATTACAGGCATGCATCACCACTCCCAGCTAATTTTTTGTATTTAGTAGAGACAGGGTTTCACCATGTTGGTCAGGCTGGTCTCGAACTCCTGACCTCACCGGTGATCCACCCACTTCAGCCTCCCAAAGTGCTGGGATTACAGCTGTGAGCCATTAAATTTTTTTAATGGTGCTAGGTCAGACACTGAGATTATCATGATGGAGGCATGGATAATAGATGTTTCCCAGGAGAGCTACGTGGATAGGAGGTTGGCTCTGACAGTCAGAGTTCAAGATCAGCAAAAAATAACTCACAGCAGAGGTTATGTGAGATGTCTTAGAGAAATAATATTAATGCCAAGTCAGCAAGAGCTTTTTTTTTTTCTTTTTTGTTGAGGCAGAGTCTTGCTCTGTCACTCAGGCTGGAGTGCAGTGGTGTGATCACAGCTCACTGCAATCTCTGCCTCCCAGATTCAAGCTATTCTCGTGCCTCAGCCTCCCGAGTAGCTGAGATTACAGATGTGCACCACCATGCTCAGCTAATTTTTTGTATTTTTAGTAGAGATGGGGTTTCACCATGTTGGCCAGGCTGGTTTTGAACTCCTGGCCTCAAGCAATCCACCCACCTCAGCCTCCCAAAGTGCTGGGATTACAGGCGTGAGCCACTGTGCTTAGCTAGCAGCAAGATTTTTAAATTGAGCATATCTTAATAAAGAGTGTGGCCCAGGCACGGTGGCTCACGCCTATAATCTTAGCACCTTGGGAGCCCGAGACAGGTGGTCAGGGGTTCAAGACCAGCCTGGCCAACATGGCAAAACCCCGTCTCTGCTAAAAATACAAAAATTAGCTGGGTGTGGTGGCACATGCCTGTAATCCTAGTTACTCGGGAGGCTGAGGCGGGAGAATTGCTTGAACCCAGGAGGCAGAGGTTGCAGTGAGCCAATATCATGCCAGCGCACTCCAGCCTGGGCAAGACAGTGAGACTCTGTCTCAAAAAAAAGAAAGAAAGAAAGAGTGTGCTGGTCAGATGCGGTGTCGCACACCTGTCATTCCAGTGTTTTGGGAGGCTGAGGTGGGAGGATTGCTTGAGCCTAGCAGTTGGAGGCTGCAGTGAGCTATGATCACACCACTGTACTCTAGCCTGGGCAACAGAGTGGGACCCTTTCGAAAGAAAGGAAGAAAAAAATGAAAGGAAGCAAGGGGGAAAAGAGGGAGGTGGGGGAGTAAAGAGTGTACTAATCAGAAAGGGGCTGAGAGCCCTGGAAGAATGAAAAGGCAGAGTCAAGGAGACAATATGGGGAGAGAGAGTATTGCCTTGCCAAGGGTGATGCCTTCAACGGCATTGCCCGAGGTCAGCAGACACCCTGGGCTCAGATTCCAGCTTACTCAGTACCCCTGAATCTATGGCTTCCCAGGTGGCTTTGCAGAGCTGAGGGTATGTGAGGAGCTACTTACTGTTACCAGCATTTTAGCCCACCAGACAGTTCATCTATTCATTCATTCAACAAGTATTTAGGAGTGAACAAAATTGACAAAGTAGCCAGGTGCAGTGGCTTGAGCCTGTAATCCTGGCACCCTTTGGGAGGAGAAGGCAGTAGGATCACTTGAGTTCAGAGCCTGGGCAACAGAGTGAGACCCTCTCTCTGAAATACATATACATATATATAATATATGTATTTTATATTCATATTTACAATTTTAATATATATATTAAAATAATAATAGAAATAACTGACAAAACCCCTGTTCTCAAGAAATGTATTCTCTAGTGGAGGAAGCTGACCATCAAACAAACAAACTAGGTAGGATGTTAGCTGGTGATGGGTACGAAGGAGAAAATGAAACCTGGAAAGGGAGATAGGAATTGTAGAGGGAGGAATACAACTTGACAAAAGGAGGCCAGGGATAGCCTCACTGAGCAGGTGACATCTCAGTAAAGACCTGAAGGAAGTGAGGGCGTGATCCTTGCAGATAGAGTGAGAGCATTCCCAGAGGAAGAAACAGCATGTTTAGGAGCCCTGAAGCAGGAGGCCAGGCAAACTGGGGGAAGGTGACATGAGATGTGGACACATGGGAAACAGGCCAGATGGTGAAGGGTCTTGCAGGTTATTGTTAAGGACTTTCCTTTGATTGGATGAGAGGACTTTGTAGGGTTTTTAACAAAGAACAACATAATCTGGGTTACTCTTTTCCTTTTAAAGACTTTATTTTTATCTTTTTAGTTACTTTTATTTCGATTTGTACAAATGTATTGGGTACACGTGCAATTTTGTTGCATGCATAGATTCCCCAGTGGTCAAGTCAGGGCTTTTAGTGCACCCATCAGGTACATTGCACCCTTTAACTAATTTCTTATCATCCACCCCTCCCCCTCGCAGCTCCTCACCCTTCTGAGTCTCCATTGTCTAGCATTCTACTCTACGTCCATGTGCACACATTTCTTAGTACCCACTTATGAGTGAGAACATGCAGTATTTTATTTTCTGTACCTGTCTTGTTTCACTTAAGATAATGACTGACCTCCATTTCTACCCATGATGCTGCCAAAAACATAATTTCATTTTTTTTTTTTTGAGACGGAGTCTCCCTCTGTCACCCAAGCTGGAGTGCAGTGGCTCGATCTTTGCTCACGGCAACCTCTGCCTCCTGGGTTCAAGTGATTCTCCTGCCTCAGTCTCCTGAGTAGCTGGGATTACAGGCATGCACCACCATGCCTGGTGAATTGTTCTTGTATTTTTAGTAAAGATGAGGTTTCACCATGTTGGTCAGGCTGGTCTCGAACTCCTGACCTCATGATCCGCCCTCCTCAGCCTCCCAAAGTGTTGGGATTACAGGCGTGAGCCACCGCACCCGGCCAATAATTTCATTCTTCTAATGGCTGAATGATATTCCATTGTGTATATGCACCACACTTTCTTTATTCATTCACCTGTTGATGGACACTTAGGTTGATTTTGTATCTTTGCTATTGTGAATAATGCTGCGATAAACATACAAGTGCAAGTATCCCTTTGATACACTAATTTCTTTTCGTTTGGGTAGATACCCATAGAGGGACTGCTGGATTGAATGACATTATGGTTCTATTTTCAGTTTGTGAGAGATCTTCACATCGTTTTCCACAGAGGCTGTACTAATTTACATTCCTACCAACGGCATATAAGAGTTCCCTTCTCTCTGCAGCCTCACCAACATCTGTTATTTTTTGTCCGTTTAATAATAGCCATTCTGACTGGTGTGAGATGATATCTCATTGTGGTTTTAATGTGCATTTTGCTGATAATTAGTGGTGCTGAGCATTTTTTAGGACTTTACTTTTTAAAGCAGTTTTAGGTTCACAGCAAAATTGAGCAGAAAGTACAGCAAGTTCCCACACACTCCCTGCCCCCACTGCATGCACAGTCTTCCCCACTGTCAACATCCCCCATCAGAGTGCTGCATTGGTCACAATCCATCAGGCTACACTGGCACACTCTAATCACCTGAAGTCCACCGTTTACAGGAGGGTTTTTACATTAGTGTTTTCTCTTGGTGATAGACGTACTATGGGTTTGGACAGATGTCAAAGTTGGGAGAAGTTCACCTTTAATCAGAAATGAATGTTGGATTTTGTCAAATGCTTTTTCTGGTTTAGTTTTTAACAGCTGAAACTTTCCCTCACAAATCAATACATTCGGCTTCTGGGATATATGTCACAGCCTCTAGGATTGTGATTCATGTGAACTCCTCTTGAGAGAGACTCTCACCCTGATCTCTGGGTGCTCATGAAATCAGGTTCATGGACCTGCCAGGCCAAGTTCTGCATCCCAACTGAGGTGGTTTCTCTAGAGCAGGCAACCCGTTGTGAAGCCTTAGGGAGGACATGGGCTGCAGCTTCTCAGGGTGACCCCCTCGCTATCAAGGCACAGCGCTGTGGGCTGTGGGTTCTACTGGTCTCAGGGTTCTACTGATGTCTCTGCTATGTCTGCACTGAGATCACACACACAGTTTTAGTTCTTGTTGCTGGTGGGTTTTGCTTCTTCCTTCCTTTGAAGAAGGCTGGCAGCCTCCAAGAGCTTCGTCCCTGAGAGGCGTGGCATGTGGGCATGTGTGTGCCGTGTGGTTGACCTCGGGCAAGATCCCTACCACATCCCCGAGAGGCAGAGGAGATGGCTTCGGGCCCCCTGCGCAGGGCAGGGCGTTCACTTCCTCTTGAGTTGGGGGAAGATATCAGCTCAGCAATTCTCACCACGGTAGGGAGAAAAAGGGAAATATTAGTTTCCCAGTGTTAGCAATTACACAACAGCCAGAAATCAGTCCTCCTGATTATAGACTCCTCCAAGGAGGAACTGAGGGCTGCAGGGGCTGCACGGAAAGAATAGCCTTGGGAGTAATATCAAGAGATAGGTCTGTCTTTGTAATAAATCAGAAAAATCAATGCTTTATTTTTATCTATTTATTTATTTTTGAGACAGAGTTTCCCTTTTGTTGCCCAGACTGGAGTGCAATGGCACGGTCTCGGCTCCTGCAACCTCTGCCTCCCGGGTTCAACCGATTCTCCTGCCTCAGTCTCCTAAGTAGCTGGGATTACAGGCGCGTGCCACCACGCCCAGGTAATTTTGGTATTTTTAGTAGAGACGGGGTTTCACCATGTTGGCCAGGCTGATCTTGAACTCCTGACCTCAGGTGATGCATCCGCCTTGGCCTCCCAAAGTGCTGGGATTACAGGAGTGAGCCACTGCCGCCGGCCACCAACTCTTTACTCTCATCTTCATAATACATCATCAGGACCTCCTGACTGTCCCACCAATGTTTCACAAGTCAGTGAACTTGTCTCTATCTCTGTCTGCCACCAGCAGTCACTAAACATCATCATCTCCATTTCTACAGATGGCACAGAGGCCCAGAGAGGTGAAGGAAAGCCTAAGGTCCTACAGCCAGGATGTGGCACAATTTGGAACTGAACCTACTTTACTGCAAACAGCACAGTGTAGATGAAGCCTGGCCTCTTACGGCACTAGCTTGAGCTTGGACTAGTGGAGCAGTTCTCAAACCTTTCATCTCAGAAACCCTTCACACCCTGAAAATGTTTTGAGAATCCCAAAGAGCTTTGGTTTATGTAGGCTAGACCTATTGACATATGCATAATGTATCAGAAATTAAAAACAGAAATTGGCCAGGTGTGGTGGCTCACACCTGTAAGCTCAGCAATTTGAGGCAGGAGTATCCCTTGAGCCCAGAAGTTTGAGACCAGCCTGGGCAACAAGTGAGACCCCATCTCTAAAAAAATTTTTTAAAGTAGCCCAGCACAGCGGCTCATGTCTGTGCTTCCAGCTACCCAAGGTGGGAGGATTGCTTGAGCTCAGGAGGTCAAGACTGCAGTGAGCTGTGATTGTACCACTCACTGCCCTCCGGCCTGGGTAACAGAGTGATAACCTGATTTAAAAAAAAGAGAGAGAAATTTTTGGCCGGGCACAGTGCCTCATGCCTGTAATCCCAGTACTGTGGGAGGCCAAGGTGGGTGGATCACCTGAGGTCAGAAGTTTGAGACCAGCCTGGCCAACATGGCGAAACTGCCGTCTCTACTAGAAAGACAAAAAAAAAATCAGCTGGGCCTGGTGGCCCTCTGTCTCCTGGGTTCAAACGATTCTCATGCCTCAGCCTCCTGGAAAAAAAAAAGAGAGAAAAAATTGAATTTTCTATTATAAATCATTTATTAAAACCAGACCCTTAAAAAGTTTCATTTATTTATTATTTAGCCACTCCCATGTTACAGTTTTTATGTTTTTATTAAACTTTCTAAATCAGGATGGATTCCTTTTTTTTTTTTGAGACTGAGTCTTGCTCTTTCTCCCAGGCTGAAGTGCAGTGGGGTGATTTCGGCTGACTGTAACCTCCGCCTACCGGGTTCAAGTGATTCTCCCACCTCAGCCTCCCAAGTAGATGGGATTACAGGCATTCGCTACCACACCCAGCTAATTTTTGTATTTTTAGTAGAGATAGGGCTTCACTATGTTGGTCAGGCTGGTCTTGAACTCCTGGTCTCAGGTGATCCACCCACCTCAGCCTCCCAAGTGCTGTGATTACACGCCGGGCCGAGTCACAGGAAAAAAAAAATTTAATAGATGCTTTCAGATATTTTTTCTGCCAGTTCCACATAATTCACAGGACACACTAAATAATCTTTAAAGTCTTAAAATTTGCATTTAAGTACATTATTAAAATATTTTAATATGAAATAATAGATGTGGCATTGATAATGGTAGAAAATTACGGCTTGACTTCCAAGTGTTCCCGAAAGTTGTTGCAGTAGCCTTGGGGACATGCTGCCCAGACCTTCCCTGGAGGACGAACATGCTGCGAGGCTGTGGTAGCACAGTAAACGTCCAGCAGTCAACTCCTCCTGGCCTCAGCAGCAGAGCAGCCTCACCGCCCTGTCAGGGGCCTGGGTGGCCCCACCAGGTTGCTGAGTGAGGCGTGACATTTTGGCTCAATGCGGGACAACTCTGATGTTCTGCTCCAGAGCTTTCTGCTGAGGAGGTTAGGCATGGTCGAGCCTGCATCACAGTTCTTCCTCTTCTGTCCCGTTCTGCTTCCAGCCCCCATTTTTCTCCCCCTGGTGTTAATCCCTAATAATCATCTGTACCTCAAGTCCAGGTCAGCATCTCTTTGCAGAGAACGCAACCAAGGACAGTTGTTTTGTCATTTCAGTGGGTCTTTGCTTCGTAAGAGGGAGCTCAAATCTAGATTGCAATGGCACATCTACATTGGTCTCATTCCTTTTTTCTTTCTTTTTTTTTTTTTTTTTTCTGAGACCAAGTCTCGCTGTGTCGCCCAGGCTGGAGTGCAATGGTGCCATCTTGGCTCACTACAACCTCTGCATCCTGAGTTCAAGTGATTCTCCCCCCTCAGCCTCCTGAGTAGCTGAGATTACAGGTGTGTGCCACCACACCTGGCTAATTTTTGTATTTTCAGCAGAGACAGGGTTTCATCATGTTGGCCAGGCTGGTCTCAAACTCCCGATCTCAAGTGATCCACCCACCTCGGCCTCCCAAAGTGCTGGGATTATAGGCATGAGCCACTGTGCCTGGCCAGTCTTATTCTTTTTTGAAGTTCTAGTAAATCCATCATGGCTGAAAATGCTCTATTCTTTCTAAACCATACAGTAGATTCTGCTGACATTTTTGAAGTGCTTCCAGATAGCGGAACAGGGGAGGTTCCTGGAGGGTGCTGTGCCTGGAGAGGACATAGAAGCTCCATGCCCCTTCCCACATGCCTTGACCTGTGCATCTGTTCACCTAAGACACATGCTCACCAGTGCCCAGATGAGGAAGTAAGAGCTGTGGACAACAGTGTGCTGAACAGAATTGGGGAACCCAGCTTCTTCTCGATCCCCTTTCATAGTCCTTTTGGACATGACCTTATCAGACAGGCTGGAAGTAGGAGTTGGCGGGGCCTCTAGCACCTTCCTGGATAAGGTCCCAACCTAACTTCCCAGCCCCATCTCCCACTATTCTATCCAACCCATCCAACCATGTACCTTACATTCTTGCTATGCCAAACAGCCCACTGGTTCCCACAATGCCACATTTTGAACACGCTCCTTTCACTCACCTTTCCTACTTGGCAGGCTCTGATACATCTTTCAAGACTTTTCTCCAACATGACTTTCTTCCAGAAAACTTTGCAACCCCAAGCAATGTTAGAGTCGTCTTCTTCTGGTTTCACCATGTTGGCAAGGCTGATCTCAAACTCCTGACCTCAAGTGATCATGTGGGAAGGGACATGGAGCTTCTATGTCCTCTCCAGGCGCAGCACCCTCCAGGAACCTCCACCTGTTCAGCTATCTGGAAGCACTTCAAAATGTCAACAGAATCTACTGTACGGTTTAGAAAGAATAGAGCATTTTCAGCCATGATCCCAAAATGCCTGTAATCCCAAAATGCTGGGATTACAGGTGTGAGCCACCGTGCCCGGCCTGGTCAATTGTTTTATTTTTTGTAGAGAAGAGGTTTTCCTATGTTGCCCAGACTGGTCTTGAACTCCTGAGCTCAAGCAATCTGCCTGCCTCATTCTCCTAAAATGCTGGAGTTACAGTCTTGGGCCACTGTGCCTGGCCTGAAATGCAAATTTTTTTTTTTTTTTTTTTTTTTTTGAGATGGAGTCTCACTCTGTCGCTCAGGCTGGAGTACAGTGGCGCGATCTTGGCTCACTGCAAGCTCCGCCTCCCAGGTTCACGCCATTCTCCTGCCTCAGCCTCCCTAGCAGCTGGGACTGCAGGTGCCCGCCACCACGCCCAGCTAATTTTTTGTATTTTTAGTAGAGACTAGGTTTCACCGTGCTAGCCAGGATGGTCTCGATCTCCTGACCTCGTGATCTGCCTGCCTCAGCCTCTCAAAGTGCTGGGATTACAGGCATGAGCCACTGAGCCCGACCTGAGATGCAAATTTTATACTGATTTTTTTTTTTTTGAGACAGAGTCTCGCTGTGTTGCCCAGGCTGGAGTGCAGTGGCATGATCTCAGCTCACTGCAAGCTCTGCCTCCCGGGTCCACGCCATTCTCCTACCTCAGCCTCTGGAGTAGCTGAGACTACAGGCGCCCACCACCATGCCCAGCTAGTTTTTTGTATTTTTAGTAGAGATGGGGTTTCACCATGTTAGCCAGGATGGTCTTGATCTCCTGACCTTGTGATCTGCCCGCCTCGGCCTCTCAAAGTGCTGGGATTGCAGGCGTGAGCCACCGCGCCTGGCCAAATTTTATACTGATTTTTGCACAATATAAAAAGATGCTCCCTGCTGTTTTTGTTTGTTTGTTTGTTTTTTGCATTGCATCAAAATATTCCTAGGCTGAACTTTGTTACTGATATCATTTCAGAAAATTTACATTTATTATTCAGAAGATTTGTCATTATGGTATTTTTTAAAACTTTAAAAAACATACTAAAAATTTGTTATTGCTTCCTTTTTTGTGCTTATTTTTCGTATTTTATTGTAAATTCTTGCATTTATAAATATCAAAGCACTGCACCCTAACTATTCACAAGAATTTCAAAGCATCAGCAATGTCATCAAAGTAGAAACAATAGAACCAAAATAGAAGGAATAGCAATGATGTAATTTGAAGATAATAATAAACTGGCTATTCTCCTGCATCTTGGAATGCCTCCCTGCCCAGCAGAATATTTCTCACATTTATTTTCACAGGATACCTTTTATCATCAGAACATTTCTATAGCACTGGATGATAAACTAAACAGTTTATATTAGAATTTATATTAGTAATTAATTTTTTTTTAAGACAGTGTCTCATTTGTCACCTAGGCTGGAGTGCAGTGGTGCGATCCCGGTTCACCACAACCTCTGCCTCCCGGGTTCAAGCAACTTTCCTGCCTCAGCCTCCCGAGTAGCTAGGATTACAGGCGAATGTCACCACACCTGGCTAGTGTGTGTGTGTGTGTGTGTGTGTGTGTGTGTGTGTGTGCATGTGTGTGAGATGGATTTTTGCTCCTCTCATCCAAGCTGGAGTGCAATGGTGCAATCTTGGTTCACTGCAACCTCCGCCTCCTAGGTTCAAGTGATTCTCCTGCCTTAGCCTCCCGAGTAGCTGGGATTACAGGCACACACCACCACGCTCGGCTACTTTTTGTACTTTTAGTAGAGATGGGGTTTCACCATGTTGGCCAGGCTGGTCTGGAACTCCTGACCTCAGGTGATCCACCCACCTCAGTCTCCCAAAGTGCTGGGATTATAGGCGTGAGCCCCTGTGCCTGGCCTATATTAGTAATTAATTTTACCTCTCATTGCAGTTACTGTTTTTCTATTTACTAACTGGTATTGAAACATTTCAACAGTTAAGCATGTTTAGACACACATGCATATGCACACACAGGACAAATTAAGAACAATGAACATGAATCAAATTGGCAATTTCCAGTGATTTTAGAGGTAAACTAGAAATCTGCCCTGGCCTCCATTCTCAAATGAAGCCTAAATTTGACCTAGGGTGAACACTTCCTGGGGTGCCTATGTGGCCCCTGCTTCTGGGGACTCAGAACACCCACAGGCTTGTGTTGGGGGCAGCCATAGTTACATGATCCTGCCTTCCTCAGTCCCATTCCTGGCTTCCGATGATTGTTCAGGGCCCAGCACCCAGCTGAAGTTAGGTTGATCAGAATCCCCTCCTTAAGAATTTGGTGGCTGGGCCCAGTGGCTCACGCCTGTAATCTTAGCACTTTGGGAGGCCGAGGCAGGCGGGTTACCTAAGGTCAGGGGTTCAAGATCAGCCTGGCCAACATGGTGAAACCCCGCCTCTACTAAAAAAGCAAAAAAAATTTTAGCTAGGTGCAGTGGCACGCAACTGTAATCCCAGCTACTTGGGAGGCTGAGGCAGGAGAATCGCTTGAACCTGGAAGGCGGAGGTTGCGGTGAGCCGAGATCGTAACACTGTACTCCACCCTGGGCGACAGAGCAAGACTTCGTCTCAAAAAAAAAAAAAATTTGGTTTGGAGACTGGGGCTGCCATTGCCACCATGTAGGAGATCTCAGGCAAGAGAACAAAGCAGGGGCACAGACGGAAGGCAGTTCTCTTTGAGATCCTGGTTCTGCGGGTAGTTTGCTTTTGAAGCCCAACTTTGAACTCTGAGAAGCACACCTGTATCTTTATCTACATTCTTTATTTTTCACTTTATCACATTTGACGTTTGCTATTTGCTACCAACATAGTCCTAACTAAACATTTTTTAGCAAAGCACCCCCTGCCTCCTGCCCCCACTTCTTTTCTGACTCTTGAGGTCAGAAATCCTGCACATTTTGCTTTTCAAATGGATATGTCCATGGGGCCCATGTTTGGCCTGTGAATACAGGACACGCATGTCCAAACGAAGGGCCTATTGGAGGTTTCTGAAAAATACCTTCATGTGGCCGGGCGCAGTGGCTCACGCCTGTAATCCCAGCACTTTGGTAGGCCGAGGTGGGCGGATCACGAGGTCAGGAGATGGAGACTGTCCTGGCTAACACGGTGAAACCCCGTCTCTACTAAAAACATACAAAAAATTAACCGGGCGTGGTGGCGGGTGCCTGTAGTCCCAGTTACTCCGGAGGCTGAGGCAGGAGAATGGCGTGAACCCGGGAGGCAGAGCTTGCAGTGAGCTGAGATCGTGCCACTGCACTCCAGTCTGGGCGACAGAGCAAGACTCCGTCTCAAAACAAACAAACAAACAAACAAAAAACCTTCATGTGGCTAGGTGAGGTGGCTCACACCTATAATCCCAGCACTTTGGGAGGCCGAAGTGGGCGGATCGCTTGAAGTTGGGAGTTTTGAGACCAGCCTAGCCAACATGGTGAAACCCCACCTCTACTAAAAAAAAAAAAATTAGCCGGGCATGGTGGTGCAGGTCTGCAATCCCAGATACTTGGGAGGCTGAGGCAGGAGAATCACTTGAACCCAGGAGGCGGAGGCTGCAGTGGGCCGAGATCATGCCATTGCACTCCAGCCTGGGCAACAGAGCAAGACTCTGTCTCAAAACAAAAAACAGGCCGGGCGTGGTGGCTCACGCCTGTAATCCCAGCACTTTGAGAGGCCGAGACAGGCTGATCCCTTGAAGTTGGGAGTTTGAGACCAGCCTGGCCAACATGGTGAAACCCCATCTCTACTAAGATACAAAAATTAGCTGGGCGTGGTGGTGCGTGCCTGTAATTCTAGCTGCTTGGGAGGCTCAGGCAGCAGAATCACTTGCACTTGGGAGGCAGAGGTTGCAGTGAACCAAGATTGTGCTACCGCACTCCAGCCTGGGTGACAGAGTAAGATTCTGTCTCAAAAAAAAAAAAAAAAAAAAAAGTAAACAAAAAAATAGACTGTAGAGAATCTTTCAGTGAGGTAAGGAATCATCTCCATCCATTTTTGGGTGTATGTGCAAACTTGCTTAAGTTGCTGTCAACTTTTGAAGGCTCCAGATTTTCAGTGTCTAACACAACCACCTGGGCCAGATGTAAGTAAGGACAGGATAACGTAAGCGTGCACAGTAGCAGAAGCAGAAACTCAAGGCCCTACGTTTTGAGCGTGTGAGGAAGGAGCGTTCTCTCAGAATCCTGGAGCTGACTCTGTCATGGTTCAGAGATCAGCTTGCAGGGACAGGCAGTGGCAGTCGAGGTGGTGACAGACCCCAAAAGCACATACCCTATACAACCGAACACACACTCAAGTGTGGAGCCTGCGTATTCCATGGTAGTTTCAAGCATATTGTTTATTAAATGGTTTCATAAGACACTTCTTTGCGGGAAACCTGACAATCTGTTCCTTGTCACTTGGACAGCTTTAACAATCAGGTAGAAAAGAAAGCTCCCTTCGGCCATGTGAAGTAAGCCCGAGGTCAAACTAGCCTGACACTAGGAGCTCCCAGGAGAACCTTGAAAACGTGTGCGATTCTGAGTCGGTGTGCAGAAACGATTCTCTGCGAAGAGGGCCCTGAGCTGTCACCAGCTTCTCGCAGTCAAGGGACCCCCAAAAGGTGCAGAATCCCGCCTGTCACCGTCCCTCTAGGGATCCTAAGCGAGTAAACCCCGAGAGGCGTCCGAAGGCTGGCAGTTTGGCAGCGTGAACTCTGGTTTTCCAGAGCGCGGGCAAAGCCTGGAGTAGCAGTTGCTCCTTTGCTCTGGCAGGAATCTGGGGGTCTACCCTGCGCAGATAATCCCGTCCTGCCTGCAGCTGGGGTTCAAGACCCGCTTCTCTGAAGTCCGCCTCCCAGCGGCCTGGAGCCCGGGGCGTGGTCGGCTCGAATCTGCTCCCCAGGCCCAGAACGGAGCCCGCAGCCCGTAACCCGCTGTGGCCGCAGCGGGTCGCGCCCTTCGTCCCCGCCTCAGGAGCGGCCGAGGATCTGCCCAGCTGCGGGCGCCAAGCCCTGGCCGCACTCCTTTCCCCGGCGGAGGGAGCCGGCTGGCGCTGCGGCCTTCAAGGCGCGCGGACGTCGCGGAGGGCAGCCAGTCGCGCGGGAGCGGGTAGCGCGCGCGAGGGCGTTGGGCGCCGCCGCGAGGCGGGGAAGCGCGGGGCCGCGGCGGTGCGGGTTCTAGGGCGGCGGCCGTCGCCGTCGCAGCAGCGCCCCGAGCGGGGAGGGCCGAGGAGGCCCGACGAGCTGGGGATGGAGAGTACCGGGCCCCTCACTGCCTCAGAGCGCGTGTGCGGCTCTGGGCGCGCACAGTGACGGTGACGGCACCCCTGGCCCGGCAGCGCCGAGGCCGCTTCGCCAGACAGCCAGCGGCCGGCGGCAGGCCGGGCCATGAGCGGCAGGGGCCGGGCCGGGCCTCGCTGACCCTGGCTCCGCGCGGCAGCTTCCCCAGTTTCCGCTCCGGTCTCTCGGCATGAGAGTCCGCCCGGGCCCGGGGCTGCGGCTGCCCCAGACCCGCCGCACGCTGGCGCGCTCCGGGCCCGCGGAGCCGCGGTGCTGATACCTGCGCCGCACTGCGCCGCCCGCCCGTCCGCTGTGTGCCCCGGGGGCGCGGCCATGGAGGTGGTGGGTGACTTCGAGTACAGCAAGAGGGATCTCGTGGGACACGGGGCCTTCGCCGTGGTCTTCCGGGGGCGGCACCGCCAGGTGAGCGCCGGCCGGGGCGAGGCCGGGCCCCGGGCGGCAGGCACGGGGCTAGGTGGTTCTGAAACTTGGCGCAGCCGCGAGCCGAGACCCCCGACTCGGCTAGCCGCCCGGGTATGCTATTGTGCGCGCAGCCCGTCTCGCCGTTTGTTTTGGTCCTGTGAGGGTTGTTGTGAGGCCCAAGCCTCTGGCAGCGCTCCGCCTACCGACCGGCTGCTGCTGATCCTCCTGTGTGCCCGGGGCCCACCCCGCGGTCCGCCCGCAGGAGCGTTTGCACCCAGGTTACCCTGGACCCAAAATAGACGGTACTGCACCGTGCAGACTCGAGGGTTGGGCGTGAATGGACCTTTGGTTTTTTTCCCCGTGCCCAGGGCTGGTCACTTTTGAGGTTGATAATTACAGACCCAGCGGAAAATGGGCGGATGTCCCATTAGCCTCAGGCTTTCGCAGCCTGGGAGGTGTCACCTTTCCCAGCACTGGTCCCCTGCACCCCGAAGAGCCCCCGTACCGTTTTCCCCCCCGGAGTCAGATAGACGAGCTCCGGGTGAGAAAGGTGGTTGGACAATTCATTTTCAATCACCTTGAACATGAAATCACCTTTAAGCCTTAAAAAAATTGTTTTAAGCCTTTGCTGTTTCGCAAGTACAGTTACACGAGGTTTTAGAATCTAAAGAATTTGGAAAGGCATATCGGGAGTGGAAATAATCTTAAAGGGTGTGGCAGTTCTGATTGTTGCCCAAGGGGCGTGTTAAAAGTGGGCTGACTTTGTTGCTTATCGGATGAAGTAATGCTACTTTTCTTATTTATTTATTTATTTATTTTTGAGACAGAGTCTCGCTTTGTCGCCGAGGCTGGAGTGCCGTGGCGAGATCTCCGCTCACTGCAACCGCTGCCTCCCGGGCTCAAGCGATTCTCCTGCCTCAGCCTCCTGAGTAGCTGGGATTACAGGTGCCCGCCACCACGCCCGCCTAATTTTTTTTTTTTTGTATTTTTAGTAGAGATGGGGTTTCACCACGTTGGCCAGTGTGGTCTTGAACTCCTGACCTCAGGTGATCCGATCTGCCCGCCTCAGCCTCCCAAAGTGCTGGGATTACAGGTGTGAGCCACGGCTCCCGGCCTACTTTTCATTTATTAGGAAAATAATTTAGAACTCAAGCACGGTGTAATCCTTCCAAGCTAACAAATAACTTTTCAATTAACTGTATCACCTTCCAAGTTTATTTCTACATTTGTCCATAACTTTGAAGTGGTTGTGAACTGTTCTTTTTTCATTTAATGTTAGTTACCATGTGGACTTCATATTTGTTATTTTTAGAAGTTGTGTTGTAGGATCTTGGCATATTGCACTATAATTTATGAAATCACTTTCCAATTATTGAAAATAATTCCATTTTTCCCCAATGCCGTACATTTATTTGCCAAAAACACCTTCGCGCTTGTAAATTTTTTTCTGTTATTTATGTGGAATGGTATCTAGGAGTAACACTGTTTTTCCTTTTCAGAAAACTGATTGGGAGGTAGCTATTAAAAGTATTAATAAAAAGAACTTGTCAAAATCACAAATACTGCTTGGAAAGGAAATTAAAATCTTAAAGGTATGTTACTTTATGTAGTAGTATTCATATAAGGTTAAAACTTAATTTAAATGAATACATGCTGCCATCCTTTTCAATTTTGGTAGTTGGGTCCAAGTTTGAGAATTTTCAACTGTTGCTCTCCTTTTTGCATGCTCACTTTTTTAAAACATTGAGTACTCGGAAGCTATTTTTAAGAACCAAAGCTCAGAGGGATTCTGTGAAGACTGAGTTTAGCTTCTCATCATTTCTCTTTTTCCTAGTGACTGTGTTGTTGTTTGAGAAGAGGGCCAGGCAGACCCATCTTGTACATTGTTTTTACCTCTCCTGTTGTCCCCTTTCATGTTACTACTAAGTTTTTTGGGGGGAGTAGGGGTGCTTGGGGTCTTTCTTTAAATTGAAGAAAGTTATATTCCTTGGAGGTGGCCTTTTTAGATCACTCACAACCAGTGTTATCTAAGTGGGATGGTTTGAGAAGATGGTTGAGTACGTTTGGAAAACCCCATTTACTAAATACTTCTTGGAGAGTCACAAAGCCTATGGCTCATTAAAGAAAGTCTGAAAAATTCTACAATGAAGAAACTTGTTTCAAAGTACTTAACCTGGTGTTTTCCAAACTAATACAAGCGTGGAACCCTCATTTAACACCCGATTTCCTCAAAACTGCTTCCTGTGGAGAGCTCTTTTTTAAGAATTGTAGCTCTTTGAGCTAAAAATCATATTTTCTTTCAGTGAGATAATGTGCTTTTTGTTTGATCAGGCACATTTCTTATTCTTTAATTGAATTTTTATAGTCTTAATATAAGTATAATACTAGAAGTGTATGTGTATACTTTAATTTTATTTACATATTAAAATATAGTAAAGTCATTAGAATACTTACATATTTTTCATTCTCAATTTTCTTAATAGGAACTTCAGCATGAAAATATTGTAGCACTCTATGATGTTCAGGTACCTTATTTTGAAAATTTTTAAAAATTAAAATAAATTTTTTTTAATTTCATACAGATTTAAGTGACTCTTAATAGAAATAAAAATGACCTTAATTCTTGTTGAAAAGATGCATAGCTTGAGTTACATGTTTCTGAATTAAGAAATTGTTTAAAACAGAACAGAGTAATAGGCTGAAAGAATTTGCTGCATGAGTAAGTTTATTAACAATTGATAATACACTATAGGTGTAGCATTGTTTTAGGTGAAGTAGAGGACTGTTGATACCAGATCTAGCATTCTCTGATGAATGTTGAAAGGACAATTAAAAATAGAGCTTTTTTTTTTTTTGATGGAGTCTCACTCTGTCTCTTGGGCTGCAGTGCAGTGGCTTGATCTCGGCTCACTGCAACTGCTACCTCCCGGGTTTAAGCGATTCTCCTGCCTCAGCCTCCCGAGTAGCTAGGACTATAGGTGTGCACCACCATGCCCAGCTAATTTTGTGTGTGTGTGTTTTTCATAGAGATGGAGTTTCACCATGTTGGCCAGGCTTGTCTCGAACTCCTGACCTCAAGTCATCCTCCCACCTTGGCCTCCCAAAGTACTGGGATTACAGGCGTGAGCCACTGCGCCCCGCCTAAATAGAAGTTCTTTTTTTAAAAAAACATTTTTTTTATTTTGTAGAGATAGGGTCCCTCTGTGTTGCTCAGGCTAGTCTTGAACTCCTGGGCTCAAGGGATCCTTCTGCCTCAGCCTCTCAAAGTGCTGGGATTACAGATGTGAGCCACCACACATGGCCTACATAGTGCTTTTTCTTCTTATGAAAGCAATATTTGTAAATTGAAAAAATATTAGAAAATAAATTAAAAACAAGGTCACTATGCATGTTCATCACCCAGTTATATCTATGATTATAGGTTATAGATATATTTGTGTATGCTATGGCATGCAGTAGAGTTGCATTTTATTTGGAATGGGAAGTAGGTTCTAAAGTCAATCACTAAGGCAAAATTTCTGTATAGTCAAAATTACTCTTGGAAATCCTTTTCAGATCTCAGCATTGGAGAAAATTGCTGTTTTCTGGGTGTAGCACCAGATGAAGTAGCTGGCTTATATTTAGGGCCATATTATGTTAAAAAATCCTTCAAATGCAAGAATCAGGCTGGGTGTGGTGGCTTGAGCCTGTAATTCTTGCTACTCAGGAGGCTGAGGCAGGAAGATCGCTTGAGCACAGGAGTTCAAGGCTGCAGTGAGCTGTGATCCTGCCACTGAAGTCCTGCCTGGACAACAGAGCAAGATCGTCTCTTAAAAAAAAAAAAAAAAAAAACTAGAATCACATGTAGCTAGTGTGATACCATGTGAGAGCTGTGGGGACCTGAGACTCCCAGAGGGAATAGCAGATTCTGGTTTTTTCTCCACTGTCACTGCAGGGCAGGTCAGCATGATGATTTACATAATTTCTTTCTTTTGCTTAGTCTGGACGGTTGAATTCGGGTAAGGTAAATGTATATGTTATGTGATCCTATTACATATATATTTCTAGCTAAAACCTCTTCTGTATTCACTTGCATTACTCAAATTCATTCATTTGACAACCTTTTTTTTTTTTGGAGACAGTCTCACTCTTGTCGCCCAGGCTGGAGTGAAGTGGTGTGAGCTTGGCTCACTGCAACCTCTGCCCCCCCGGGTTAAAGCGATTCTTGTGCCTCAGTCTCCCAAGTAGCTGGGATTATAGGCGCCTGCCACCAAGTCCAGCTAATTATTGTATTTTTAGTAGAGACAGA
This sequence comes from Homo sapiens, assembly GCF_000001405.40. Classification (NCBI taxonomy): domain Eukaryota; kingdom Metazoa; phylum Chordata; class Mammalia; order Primates; family Hominidae; genus Homo; species Homo sapiens. Next base: position 19,863,039 of record NC_000017.11, on the reverse strand, counting down.
GTTTCACCATGTTAGCCATGCTGGTCTCGAACTCCTGACCTCAGGTGATCCTCCTGCCTCTGCCTCCCAAAATGCTGGGATTACAGATGTAAGCCACCACTCCCGGTCTGCTTTGCAAGTTTTTGAGTGACTATTATGTGCCAGGCATTGTTCTGAGTGCTGGGAATGAGGCAGTGAATAAAACAAAGTCTTTGCTTTCAATATGTTTAGTTTTAGTGGGGTGAGACAAATGGGCTGTTGTATATTTACTTTTTAAAAAATACTGTCATTTTTCAGCTGGGCACGGTAGCTTATACCTGTAATCCCAGGACTTTGGAAGGCTGAGGTAGGTGGGTCACCTGAGGTTGGGAGTTCGAGACCAGCCTAACCAACATGGAGAAACCCCATTTCTACTAAAAATACAAAAATTAGCCAGGCATGGTGGTGGGTGCCTGTAATCCCAGCTACTCAGGAGCCTGAGGCAGGAGAATTGCTTGAGCCCAGGAGGCAGAGGTTACATTGAGCTGAGATTGTGCCATTGCACTCCAGCCTGGGGTAACGAGCGAAACTCCATCTCAAACAAAAAAAAAAAATTGTCATTTTTCATGTGGTCATATCATAACACAAAGTAACTAAACTCATGTTATAAGATGTTTAACTTTTTTTGCCTGGTTGCGATGGCTCATGCCTGTAATCCACACTTTGGGAGGCTGAGGCAAGTGGATCACCTGAGGTCAGGAGTTCAAGACCAGCCTGGCCAACATGGCGAAACTCTGTCTCTGCTAAAAATAAAAAAATCAGCTGGGTGTGGTGGCAGGTGCCTGTAATCCCAGTTACTCAGGAGGCTGAGGCAGGAGAATCACTTGAACCCGGGAGGCGGAGGTTGCAGTGAGCTGAGATCGTGCCACTGCACTCCAGCCTAGGTGACAGAGCCAGACTCCATCTCGGGGGGGAAAAAAAAAAGAAAAAGGATGTTTAAGTTTTTCCTAATAGAAAAATGCTGTAAGAATTATGTATATCTTCTGAACATATTTTTGATTATTTAACTTCAATTTCTAGAATTGGAAAGACCAAGTCAAATAGCATGCACAGTGTTAAAATTTTTGATTGTAGAGTATGATTGCTTTCCAAAAAATTTACAATTTAAACTTCCATCCATGGAATATGTGAATGCAGTGGGTATATTTTATTACCTGTTCAGATAGCTGTTAATTCGTTTCTTCATTTGAGAAATTCAAAGCAGCATGAAAAGGGGAGAAACCTTTTAAGTCAAAACTAAACTCATCTCTCAGTCCCTAGTTGAAATGTTGGTTCTCCTCACTGCTGTTTGTGTAGTTTGTCTTAGTCTCTGTAGATAGAGGGCACCAAGTGGTACAACTCAGTGCCTAGTACCAAAACTGTTAAATAATGTTAACTCTTTAGTTTCCCAATCTTGGAGAGATACAGAAAACCCTGGCAATTGCAGAGTAGGTTTTGTTTTGAAAGTATACTTAGATGATTTTCTTTTTTTTTTTTTGAGACGGAGTCTCGTTCTGTTGGCCAGGCTGGAGCGCAGTGGCGCGATCTTGGCTCACTGCAAGCTTCGCCTCCTGGGTTCACGCCATTCTCCTGCCTCAGCCTCCAGAGTAGCTAGGACTACAGGCGCCCGCCATCATACCCGGCTAATTTTTGTATTTTTAATAGAGACGGGGTTTTACCTTGTTAATCAGGATGGTCTCGATCTCCTGACCTCGTGATCCGCCCACCTCGGCCTCCCAAAGTGCTGGGATAACAGGCGTGAGCCACCGCGCCCGGCCTTGCTTAGATTATTTTCTATCAGAATGAAAAGTATTTTTTAGTACCAGCTTTGATTATAGAATGAGGTATCATTAGGGAGAACATACTAAAAAATGTGAATTGTTAATCAATCAGGAATTTCAGGGTGACTGCATTCAAATGTTATATTATTTTGTACATGGTATACTGTTAGAACTAATTTGTTTTTCTTTTTTTTTTTGAGAAGAAGTCTTGCTCTTGTCGCCCAGGGTGGAGTGCAATGGCACAATCTCAGCTCATTGCACCTCTGCCTCCTGAGTTCAAGGGATTCTCCTGCCTCAGCCTCCTGAATAGCTGGGATTAAGGTGGGAGCTGCATTGGCCAGGAATCGAACCTGGGTCTCCTGCGTGGGAGGCGAGAATTCTACCATTGAACCACCAATGCTTTTAACTAATTTATAAAAACAAATTTAAGAAGTGTCAGGCCAAGCGCGGTGGCTCATGCCTGTAATACCAGCACTTTGGGAGGCCGAGGCAGGCAGATCATCTGAGGTCAGGAGTTTGAGACCAGCGTGACCAACATGGAGAAACCCTGTCTCCACTAAAAATACAAAATTAGCTGGGCATGGTGGCACATGCATGTAATCCCAGCTACTCGGGAGGCTGAGGTAGGAGAATCTCTTGAACTGAAGAGGCGGAGATTGCAGTGAGCCGAGATCGCGCCATTGCACTCCAGCCTGGGCAACAAGAGGGAAACTCCGTCTCAAAAAAAAAAAAAAAAAGAGGTATTAATCAAATGTCTTAAGTATTTGGCTATTAAATAGAGTTTTGACCTAATACTTTATATTTGTTTTATTGATTGAAATTGTTCATCAAGGGGTACAGTATGTTTAGGAATTAATACAGTAACTATCAACTTGAAGTGAATGTCATTTTTACTGACCATTAGTTTTGGTTATCTGTCCGAAGTTTATAAATTGGGAACTTTTGCTATTGTAAAAATCAGCTTTCAGTTTAGATGACACTTAAAAAGAAATGCATTTTCCCACTAATTCCAAAAGTAATATATACCCACAGTTAATCAAATACTGTGTGAATGGTAAATTAGAAAAGAGATGGCAATTCCCAGGGATAACCACTCTTTGGTATATTTGTTTTAGAATTTTCTAAACATTTATACTTAGTTTTTAAAGCTTTTCATTTTGAGAGAATTAGTAGTGTTTGTACAGAAATGCAACTTGTTTTATTAAGCTTAATGTATCTTAGATACCTTTTCATAATCAGTATAGTATTGTAGGGCTAAATGATAATTTACTTAAAACCCAATTATGAGCCAGGCATGGTGGCTCACACCATAAACTCAGTGCTTTGGGAAGCTGAAGCTGGAGGATTGCTTGAGGCCAGAAGTTCAAGACCAGCCTGTGCAACATAGTGAGACCCTGTTTCTACAAAAAATAAAGTTAGCCAGATGTGGTGGCGCATACCTGTGATCCCAGCTACTTGGGAGGCTAAAATGGAAGGAAGGCTTGAGCCCAGGAACTTGAAGTTACAGTGAGCTGTGATTGCACCACTGGCCACTGTACTCCAGCTTGGGTGACAGAGTGAGTCCTGTAGCTTAAGAAACCACCGAATTATGGCTATTTGGAGTGTTTCCTATTTTTTCCCTATTGGAAACAGTATTGCAGAGAAAGATGTGTGCATATATCTTTGTGTGTTTTTATAGTGTTCCTGTAGAATAAATTCCTTGAAGTGGAATTGCTTGGTCAAAGATATTAGCTATCTTTTAAAAGATTATACCAATTCTTTCTGTTACCCAGGCGGGAGTGCAGCGACAGTCTCAGCTCACTGCAACCTCTGCCTCCTGAGTTCAAGTGATTCTCTTGCCTCAGCCTCCCAAGTAGCTGGGATTACAGGTGCCTGCCACCACGCCTGGATAATTTTGTTTTTGTATTTTTAGTAGAGATGGAGCTTCACCTTGTTGCCCAGGCTGGTCTTGAACTTCTGACCTCAGGTGACCCGCCTGCCTCAGCCTCCCAAAGTGCTGGGATTACAGGCCTGAGCCACCGCACTCAGCCTATACTAGTTCTTTTTAACCAGTAGTGACCTTTTTAAAAAAAATTTTTATAATCTCACACTAGGAAAATATCTTTTAAAACATTTTTAAATTATATTTACTTAATTAATAGAGATGAGGTCACTATGTTGCCCAGGCTGGTCTCGAACTGCTGGACTAAAGTGATCCTCCTGCCTTGGCTTCCTAAAGTGCTGGGATTATAGGCGTGAGCCACCATGCCCAGCCTAATTTTATTACTTTTCTTTCTTTCTTTCTTTTTTTTTGAGACGGAGTTTCACTCTGTTGCCCAGGTTGGAGTGCAGTGGCACGATCCTGGCTCACTGCAACCTCTGCCTTCTGGGCTCAAGCAGTTCTCCTGCCTCAGCCTCCCAAGTAGCTGGGATTACAGGCGCCCACCACCACAACTGGCTAATTTTTGTATTTTTAGTAGAAATGGGGTTTCACCATGTTGGCTAGGCTGGCCTCGAACTCCTGACTTCAAGTGGTCCACCTGCTTCGGCCTCCCAAAGTTCTGGGATTACAGATGTGAGCCACTGCGCCCAGCTGGTATTTTTTTTTTCTTAAACCATTAGGGTATCAGTCATCTTTTTGCTGTATTTGTCTTTTTACATTTCTTCTGTGACGTTCCCATTGCTGTCCTATGATGCATAGGTTGTGTTCATTTTTCTTACTGGTTTATTTGTGACTAGTATTTCTTGAGCTGGTTAATGAGATGTACAGGCGTATAGTGGTGAACAAAGTAGAAATGGTCCTTGTCATTGTGGAACTCTTACAGGATATTAGGGAAGATGACATTAAGCAAATAGTTACTATTTCTTTTTTTTTTCTTTTTTGAGACAGGGTCTGGCTCTCTTGCCCAGGCTGGAGTGTGGTGGCATGACCACACCTCACTGCAGCCTCCACCCTTTGGGCTTAAGCCATCCTCCCACCTCAGCCTTCAAAGTATCTGGGACTACAGGCAGGCACCACCATGCCTGGCTAATTTTTCTATTTTTTGTAGAGATGGAGTTTCACCATGTTGCTCAGCCTGGTCTCAAACTTCTGAGCTTAAGCGACCTGCCCAGCTTGGCTTCCCAAAGTGCTGGGATTACAGGCGTGAGCCACCACACCCGGGCCAATAGTTACTATTTCCAAGTGTGCCAAGTGCTGTAAGGGAGAGCTCTTGGCGAGGTTTGAACAATATGGGGCCTAGGAAAATGGGACAAGGGAAGGCTTCCTGGGGAAATGATATCTGTAGAGACTGAGGGATGGGTGGGAGAAGGCTAGGTGGGGGTTAATGGGAGAAAATAAAGTAAGTTTCCCAAGGAGATGAAGGCTTCTGTAAAGACCACTGACAGGAGAGATCACTGAGTTTGAGGAACTGGAAGAAGGCTAGTGTGTCTGGAGTACAGTAATGAGAGCGAGAGCATAGTGTTAGATGATACTGGAGAGGTTAGCAGGAGCCAGATCTGATCTTTATCTTAAGGACAGTACAAAGCTATTGAAGAGTTTTAAAAGCAGGAGAGTGATACCGTTTTTGTTTTTCAAAAGATAAATCTCCTAGAGCACTCTGAGCATGAGATAAGTACTTTCACTTAGGAATACATAACTGTGTGATTGTCAGTGGCCTGGTTAAATATCTACCTCTTGGTAATTTTTAGTATCGCAAGAAAAAGATGATTAATTTAATAGGTGGTGCTCATAAAACTGAGACATCTGACAAAAAATAGAATTGGAACACCATTCTCATCATTTTCCAAAATCATTTCCAAATGAATTAAAAGCTTAAATATATAAAGTAAACAATAACAGTCTCAGAATAATATTTAAATGACTGTACAATCCAAGGGATGGAAAGACATTTTAAATCAAGATAAGAAACTCAGAAGCTGTAGTATCAGAAGCTCTAGTAGGGACATGTAAAACATTTTTTTTTTTTTTTTTTTGAGACAGAGTCTCACTCTGTCACCCAGGCTGGAGTGCAATGCCGTGATCTTGGCCCACTGCAACCTCCACCTCCCAGGTTCAAGCAATTCTCCCTGCCTCAGCCTCCTGAGTAGCTGGGATTACAGGCGCCCCGCCACCACACCTGGCTAATGTCTGTATTTTTGGTAGAGACGAGGTTTTGCCGTATTGGCCAGCCTGGTCTCGAACTCCCGACCTCAGGTGATCTGCCCGTCTTGGCCTCCCAAAGTGTTGGGATTACAGGTGTGAGCCACCGTGCCTGGCTATAAAAAATTTTAAAACTCTTTTTTTTTTTTTTTTTTTTTTTTTTTGGAGATGGAGTCTCGCTTTGTCACCAAGGCTGGAGTGCCGTGGTGCGATCTCGGCTCACTGCAAGCTCCACCTCCTGGGTTGACACTATTCTCCCACCTCAGCCTCCCGAGTAGCTGGGACTACAGGCGCCTACCACCATGCCTGGCTAATTTTGTTTTTGTATTTTTTAGTAGAGACGGGGTTTCACCGTGTTAGCCAGGATGGTCTCGATCTCCTGACCTTGTGATCTGCCCGCCTCGGCCACCCAAAGTGCTGGGATTCCAGGCGTGAGCCACTGCACCCGGCCGTAAAACTCGTTTTATAGCAAATAATACAATGAACAAATTGACATATATAAAAAGGAACAAACGATACATGTCATAACGTGAATTTCAAACTTTTTTTTTTTTGTGTGTGTGACGGAGTCTCGCTCTGTCGCCCAGGCTAGAGTGCAGTGGCGCGATCTCGGCTCACTGCAAGCTCTGCCTCCCAGGTTCCCCTCATTCTCCTGCCTTAGCCTCCTGAGTAGCTGGGACTACAGGCACCTGCCACCATACCCGGCTAATTTTTTGTATTTTTAGTAGAGATGGGGTTTCACTGTGTTAGCCAGGATGGTCTTGATCTCCTGACCTCGTGACCCGCCTGCCTCGGCCTCCCAAAGTGCTGGGATTACAGGCGTGAGCCACCGCGCCCGGCCTCAAACATTATTTTGAGAAAAATAAGCATGCCATATACTGCTACAGTATAATTCTGTTTTTGTGAATTTTGGGAAGAGTCAGAAGTAAGCTAGGGTGATAGAAATCAGAACAGAGGTTGACTCTTGGTCCCAGGGAGTGATAGGAAAGGGGCATGAGAGAACTTCTTGGGGTGATGGAATTGTTATGTATTTTGATTGGCAGGGTAGATACGTAGGTGTAAACATTTGTCACAACACATTGAACTGTACATTTATTTTTATTTTTAAATACTTATTTAGAAATGAGGTCTTACTCTGTTACTCAGGCTGGAGTGCATTTCTTCTGTGGTGCCATCATATCTCACTGCAGCCTCTAACTCCTGGGCTCAAGCGATCTTCCTGCCTTTGCCTCCTGAGTAGCTGTGATTACAGGCCTGTGCCACCATGCTCAGTGTATACCGTTATTAAAAAGAAAGAGCTATTTATATCTGGGTAAGAAAGAATGTTGGTATCAATGGAGACAGAGGCCTGGACAGATTAGTGAGATGTTTAGGAGATAGAATTGTTAGGACTTGGGCACTTGGACTGTAGGAGGTAAACAAGAGGGAATCAGAGTTGATAGCTCTTTGTCATGTTTTGAGATATTTTTCCCATTTTGTTTGGTATTTTTGTGGGGGGGTCTTACTTTAGACTTTTTTTCCTTTTTTTTTTTTTTTTTTTTTGAGATGGAGTCTTGCTCTGTTGCCCAGGCTGGAGTGCAATGGCACAGTCTCGGCTCACTACAACCTCCGCCTCTCGGATTCAAGTGATTCTCCTGCCTTAGCTTACCCAGTAGCTGGGATTACAGGCACCTGCTACCACACCCGGCTAATTATTGTATTTTTAGTAGAGATAGGGTTTCTTTTCTTTTTTTTTTTTGAGATGGAGTTTCGCTCTGTCACCCAGGCTGGAGTGCAGTGGCGCGATCTCGGCTCACTGCAAGCTCTGCCTCCCGGGTTCACGCCATTCTCCTGCCTCAGCCTCCCGCGTAGCTGGGACTACAGGCGCCCGCCACCATGCCTGGCTAATTTTTTGTATTTTTAGTAGAGACGGGGTTTCACAGTGTTAGCCAGGATGGTCTCGATCTCCTGACCTTGTGATCCACCCGCCTCGGCCTCCCAAAGTGCTGGGATTACAGGCGTGAGCCACCACGCCTGGCCTAGCCTCTTTTTTTTTTTTTTTTGAGATGGAATCTTGTTCTTTTGCCAAGTCTGGAGTACAGTGGCGCACTCTCAGCTCACTGCAACCTCTGCTTCCTGGGTTCAAGCAATTCTACTGCCTCAGCCTCCTGAGTAGCTGGGGTTATAGGCACCTGCCACCAAGCCCAGCTAATTTTTTGTATTTTTAGTAGAGAAGGGGTTTCACCATCTTGGCCAGGCTGGTCTTGAACTCCTGACCTCGTGATCCACTCGCCTCTGCCTCCCAAAGTGCTGGGATTACAGTCTTAAGCCACCATGCCCCCGCCGTGTCTTTAATATATGGAAGTTCCTACATGGTAGAATTTATCCAACCTGTTATTTAATGACCCCTAGGTTTCATATTATAGAAGATTTCTTTACCCTGAGCTTATGAAAATGATTCCCCATGTTTTCATCTAGTACTTAGGGTTTCATTTTTTCATATTTATATTTTTGATCTCTGGAACTTAGTTATGTACAAAGGGATAATGTAGGGACTCAACTTATTTTCCAGAAAGCCCAACCAGCTATCCCAGACTCTTACCTGTTTTTGAGGATATCTACAGAAGAAGTCTTCTGTAAGACTGTTAAAAAGAGTTAGGACTTAGGGAATTTGAAGAATTACAGCAAATCAGGGTCAGATTAGGTGAGAATCAATTTATAAATTTATTAATCAGTATTATATATTCTGAATATTTTTGCAACCTTTGGTATAATTAGTATTAATGAGATACACATTGAAGGAGAGTTTTTCCACAAACCTATGTTGGGTTTGTGTTAGATCAGGAAGCTAGAAATGCCTTTTTTTGTGTGTGCTTTTTTTTTTTTTTTGAGATGGAATCTCTGTTGCCCAGGCTGGAGTGCAGTGGCGCAATCTTGGCTCACTGCAACCTTCGTCTTCTGGGTTCAAGCAGTTCTCCTCCTTCAGCCTTCCGAGTAGCTGGGGTTACAGGCATGCACCACCACACCCAGCTAATTTTTGTGTTTTTAGTAGAGATGGGTTTCACCGTGTTGGCCGGGCTGGTCTCAAACTCCTGACCTCAGGTGATTGGCCCAGGGATTACAGGTGTGAGCCACTGTGCCTGGCCAGAATTGGCTTTCATATGTTGTATTTTGCATCTCTAAGTTTTGTAGAACTTGATTTGCTGTGGTGTCAATCAATGTTCATGTCCCTCCAAAATTCATATGTTGAAATCCTATCACTCATGGTGATGTTATTAGAAGGTGGGGCCTTGGCCGGGCGTGGTGGCTCCCGCCTGTAATCCCAGCACTTTGGGAGGCCGAGGCGGGGGGATCACGAGGTCAGGAGATCAAGACCATCCTGGCTAACAAGGTGAAACCCCATCTCTACTAAAAATACAAAAAATTAGCCGGGAGTGGTGGCAGGTGCCTGTAGTCCCAGCTACTCGGGAGGCTGAGGCAGGAGAATGGCGTGAACCCGGGAGGTGGAGGTTGCAGTGAGCTGAGATTGTGCCACTGCACTCCAGCCTGGGCAATAGAGTGAGACTCTTGTCTCAAAAAAAAAAAAAGAAGGTGGGGCCGAATTGTAGGAATGTTTCTTTTCTCTTTTCCTGTGAGATAAACCATAGAAACTGCCTGAGGGGTGGAGAATGAATTAAGAATATAGCAGAGAGATGTGAGGATTTGGGTTTAGAAACCAGGAATTAGGCCAGGTGCGGTGGCTCATGCTTGTAATCCCAGCACTTTGGAAGGGCAAGCTGGGCAGATCGCTTGAGTCCAAGAGTTTGGGACCAGCCTGGGCAACGTGGCAAAACCCCGTCTCTAGAAAAAATACATAAAAATTAGCTGGGCGTGGTGGTGCACACCTGTGGTCCTAGCTACTCGGGGGTGCTGAGGCAGGAGACTCGCTTGAACCCTGGAGGTGGAGGTTACAGTGAGCCAACATCACACCACTGAATTTCAGCCTGGGTAATAGAGCGGGACCTTGTCTCAAAAAAAAAAAAAATTAAAAAAATTTAAAAAAATGTCACTTTAAAATAAAAAAGAAACCAGGAAGTTTTCTTTGAATTGTCTGGCTTGTCATTTACTTTTCTGTTGCTTTGTATCATGCTGCCATTTTCTCTACTTCTGCTTCTAGGCATCTGAATTTACTGGAGAGAACCACCTACTCATGTTATTTTGACTTTTAAAAATTGGCCGTGCACGGTGGCTCACGCCTGTAATCCCAGCACTTTGGGAGGCCGAGGTGGGCGGATCACGAGGTCAGGAGATTGAGACCATCCTGGCTAACACAGTGAAACCCTGTCTCTACTAAAAATACAAAACAACAACAACAACAACAAAAAACTAGCCAGGTGTGGTGGCGGGTGCCTGTAGTCCCAGCTACTCGGGAGACTGAGGCAGGAGAATGGCGTGGACCCTGGAGGTGGAGCTTGCAGTGAGCTGAGATTGCGCCACTGCACTCCAGCCTGGGCCACAGAGCGAGAATCTGTCTCAAAAAAAAAAAAAAATTTACTTTATTGTTTTTTTAAATTACAAAAGTAAATGACCTTCAGTATAAAAACACTTTAAATAGCCTAGCAGTATATGAAGTAAAGAGATGCCCTCTTTTTTTTTTTTTTTTTTGAGATGGAGTCTCGCTCTGTCACCCAGGCTAGAGTGCAGTGGTGATCTCGGCTCACTGCAAGCTCTGCCTCCTGGGTTCACACTATTCTCCTGCCTCAGCCTCCCAAGTAGCTGGGGCTATAGGCGCCGGCCACCATGCCCAGCTAACTTTTTGTATTTTTAGTAGAGATGGGGTTTCACCGCGTTAGCCACGATGGTCTTGATCTCCTGACCTTGTGATCCGCCTGTCTCGGCCTCCCAAAGTGCTGGGATTACAGGCGTGAGCCACTGCGCCCAGTGCTTTTTTGTTTGTTTGAGATGGAGTCTTGCTCTGTTGCTCAAGCTGGAGTGCAGTGGCGCGATCTCAGCTCACTGCAAATTCCGCCTCCTGGGTTCAAGCCATTCTCCTGCCTCAGCCTCCCAAGCCGCTGGGACTACAGGTGCGTGCCACACTGCCCAGCTAATTTTTGTATTTTTTTTTTTTTTTTTTTTTTTGAGATGGAGTCTCATTCTGTTGCCAGGCTGGAATGCAGTGGCGCAATCTCGGCTCACTGCAACCTCTGTCTCCCGGGTTCAAGCGATTCTCCTGCCTCAGCCTCCTGAGTAGTTGGGACTACAGGCATGTGCCACCATGCCCAGCTAATTTTTGTATTTCTAGTGGAGGTGGGGTTTCACCATATTGGCCAGGCTAGTCTCGAACTCCTGACATCGAGGTCTCGAACTCCTGACGTTGTAATCCGACCCGCCTTGGCCTCCTAAAGTGATGGGATTACAGTCGTGAACCACCGCACCCGGCCGAGATGCCCTCTTCTTATACCTCTCTATTTCCTTTTTCCAGAAGAAGAAACTGTTTTGTGTCCTTCAAGACTTTTTTATTTTTATTATTTATTTATTTATTTTGTGATGGGGTCTTATTCTGTTGCCTAGGCTGGAGTGCAGTGGCGCGGTCTCAGCTCACTGCAACCTCCACCTCCCAGGCTCAAGCGATTCTCATGCCTCAGCCTTTGGAGTAGCTGGGATTGCAGGCGTGCACCACCACGCCCGGCTAATTTCTTTGTATTTTTAGTAGAGATGGGGTTTCACCATGTTGGCCAGGCGGGTCTTGAACTCCAGACCTCAGGTGATCTGCCCACCTTGGCCTCCCAAAATGCTGGGATTACAGGTGTGAGCCACTGTGCCCAGCCTAATTTTTTTTTTTTTTTTTTTTTTTTTTGAGGGGAAGTCTCACTCTGTTGCCCAGGCTGGAGTGCAGTGGTACGATCTTGGCTCACTGCAACTTCTGCCTCCTGGGTTCAAATGATTCTTCTACCTCAGCCTCCCAAGTAGCTGGGATTACAGGTGCCCGCCACCATGCCTGGCTAATTTTTTTTTTTTTTTTTTGGTATTTTTATTAGAGACAGGGTTTCACCATGTTGGCCAAGCTGGTCTCGAACTCCTTAGCTCAGGTGATCCACCCGCCTCAGCCTCCCAAAGTGTTGGGATTACAGGCATGAGCCACTGTACCCGGCCATTTTTTAATTGTTAGTAGAGATGAATTCTCCGTGTGTTGCCTAGGCTAGTCTTGAACTCTTGGGCTCAAGTGATCCTCCCACCTTGGCCTTCCAAAGTGTTGGGATTACAAGTGTTAGCCACTGGGCCCAGCCCAAAAGCTATATATCTAGATATAGATAGGTCTAGATCGATCTAGACCTATCTATATATATTTTTTGAGACAGAGTCTGGCTCTCTTGCAGGCTGGAGTGCAATGGCATGATCTCGATGATCTCGGCTCACTGCAAGCTCCGCCTCCCAGGTTCATGCCATTCTCCTGCCTCAGCCTCCCAAGTAGCTGGGACTACAGGTGCCCGCCACCACGCCCGGCTAATTTTTGTATTTTTAGTAGAGATGGGGTTTCACCGTATTAGCCAGGATGATCTCGATCTCCTGGCCTCGTGATCCGCCTGCCTCGGCCTCCCAAAGTGCTGGGATTACAGACGTGAGCCACCGCGCCTGGCCAAAAGCTATATTTTGAATTACATTTGCACACTGGCTCAAGTTAAGCCACAGGGAAGTTCAATCTAAATTTTAGTTATCGTTATAAAAATTGCCATTGAAGAGCCAGCTAATCAGTCTTTGAGTTACTTAATCAACAGCAGACCTGGAGCTATATGGATTTGAGAGACTTTTTAAGAGCCCTCAATTCATTTCCTCAACATTGTGGAACATGTGTTGATAATGTGATAAAACATTTCCCTTTGCCACCAATTGCTGATAATGCGATTGCCCCAAATAAACATAAAAAACAGAAAAACAAAAAACCAGGCGTCCTGAGTCATATATTCCAGAAATCAGACTGTGCATATAGTGTTGCTAGGGAGGATTATGCTGTTTTGCTGCTCCAAATCATAAACTTTTCAAAGTGGAAGTGTTTCCCCAAGGACCAAAGAATCCTTCCTTTTTCCCCATTGTAAATTTACCATGCTTTTTGTCCTAGATCTGTTGTTTTAGGTCAATCATAACCAAAAGATGAATCTTTCTCTAGTTATTTCTGTAAACAAAATTTTACTTCTTGATGACTACATTAGTGTTACCAAAACTTGATTTGGCTTTGTAGAGGAGATAATTACATCATTGTGTTGGGAATTTTAATTTCACTTTCTAATAGATTTTGTGATTTCATTTTACCAGTTTTAATAATGAACAAGTATGGTATTTTTAACTATCATTATCTTTAAATTTTGTGTTTAATTTTTCTCTAAATGATATTTAATATGTTTACTTTTCAGGAATTACCCAACTCTGTCTTTTTGGTGATGGAGGTAGGTAGTATACAAACTTCTGTTTAATTTATTTCAAATTTCTTTTTTTTTTTTTTTAGATTCTAGCATAAATCTGCATATTTCAAATCCTTTTTGATTAATATGAACTTTAAAATTGGTAGTAGATTATTTGAATTTTTGTATTAATAAAGTTGATTCAGTGATCTAGATTCTACTCAAGGAATATAAAATTTAAAAAATTTTGAATCTATAATGTTTTTAGGCTATATTTACATGACATTATATACAAATGATTTTTTAATCACAATTGAGAATGGATTGAATTAATCTTGAATCACTGTCCTTATTTTCATTACTTTCTCTTTTCTATGTCAGTATTGCAATGGTGGAGACCTCGCAGATTATTTGCAAGGTAACTGTGTATGTGTGTCAGTGTTCAGTAAAGACAGTGCTGCAGCCTGTTTAATCCTAAGAGGTACTTGTGAAATACACTACCCATTTTCTGCTCTTGTATAGAAACATTCAATAAATATTTGTGTATTTGTTTGACTTGTGGTCACTTTGCAGACCAGTTGTTGTTGTTGTTTGTGGTTTTGTTTCTAAGCTTTACTTGTATATAAGTATTTACCTTTTTGTGTGTCTCTCTCTGACAGTGTTTGAGAGATGGTCCTATCCCCAGGAGAGGAGAAACCCGATAGAATTCCTCTCCTTCAAAAGGCTTGACTGAGTTTTAGTCCGTTTCGTTTCTTTCAAAATTAAAAAATTATAGTGGAAAAATATATCCAAGAAGGTATTTATGTGAATATTTCTTGTAATTAAAAAAAGGCAACAAAAATTATAAGGCATTAAAGGTAACATTTAAATTATTTTGTGGTACAGAAGTAAGATTTTAATATTAGATGGTGCTTGAAATTCTGAACCCAAAATGCATACATGTAGGATATGAAGCATTCAGATCAAATTGTGTGCCTCCAGAGTATTTTCTTTTTCCTTTTTTTTTTTTGGAGATGAAGTCTCACTCTGTCACCCAGGCTGCAGTGCAGTGGTGCATTCTTGGCTCACTGCAACCTCCGCCTCCTGGGTTCAAGTGATTCTCCTGCCTCAGCCTCCCGAGTAGCTGGGATTACAGGTGCATACCTCCACACACAGCTAATTTTTGTATTTTTAGTAGAGACAGGGTTTCACCATGTTGATCAGGCTGGTCTCGAACTCCTGACCTCGTGATCGGCCCGCCTCAGCCTCCCAAAGTGCTGGGATTACAGGCGTGAGCCACACACTGGGCCATATTTGATAATTTTTAAACCATAAAGATTTATTTTATTTGAAGATGTTAAGGACATGTAAAACTTGACAGGTCATTAAAATGATTTTAAAACCACAGTATTTCACTTGTTCCAAATACTAATGTTATTTCTCTCTTATTTACAAATGGAAAGGTTATATAGAACATATTCTAAGAATTATATGGACAGACATGCATCACGAATAATTTAAATAGGTACATGGATACTAAATCCTCAGTGTAGGTAAGGAATTACACTTGTGACTTTTAGACTCATTGTAATAAGTATTTGCATACCTGCTACATTGAAATATGTGCAAAGCCTTTTTCTAAAGTTTTCATAATTTTTTTCTTTTTTTAATATAAATATTTTTTGCTAATCTTCTCTGTATTGTTCCAATTTTAGTATATGTGCTGCTGAAATGAGCACAAGTTTTCATTATTAAATGGGTTTTATTTAATCATCATGTCAACTCGTAGTTATTCTCATCAACTTTTATACATGAGGAAGGTGGGCACAGAGGGATTGTCTTTTCAAAAGGGTCACACATTAAGTGGAAGAACTAGGAGTTGAACAAAGGCAGCTAGACTTCAAGTCAAGCTGTTAACCACAACATGCTCTGGCATACACAGAAATAGAATTTACTGAATAGGCTGGTCACGATGTCTCTCAGTGTAATCCCAGCACTGTGGGCAGCTGAGGCAAGTGGATCACTTAGGTCAGGAGTTCAAGACCAGCCTGGCCAACATGGCAAAACCCTGTCTCTACAAAAATAGAAAAATTAGCTGGGCATGGTGATACATGCCTGTAGTCCCAGCTACTTGGGAGGCTGAAGCTGGAGAATCTCTTGAACCCGGGAGGCGGAGGTTGCAGTGAGCTGAGATTGTGCCACTGCACTCCAGCCTGGGGGACAGAGTGAAACTCTTGTCTCAAAAAAAAAATATTTACGGAATAATGACTCACTACTTTCAAATAATGTTCATATCACCTCTTTATAGTGGTGAAATCGGTTAAAACATTTATTCTTAAGGTATTTTTAGTTATGAAAGATAGTGGGACGGGGGTGTGGGAGATAAAAGGACAGAGTAGATGCAGGAACACAGATGCCTCACAGGCACGGGTAGCAGTAGTATCTGATCCCTCTGGTCAAAGATTTTGCTTGTTTTTAATTTGTGCTCACATAATGGTTGGAATTAAATATGGACACTTATTCCAGATATTTGACTAATATGAAGGGAACTTAGCTTTTGGCTTGTAAAGGACATTCATATTTATTGAGTACATATGGTGTTCAGAGTCATGTGGGCACCTTCAGCAGTAAAAACATGAAGGAAAAGCAAAAACCACAGGTGAAACAAAAGGTGAAAGTGCCAGTCAGTTCTCTTTACAACAGATTGACTACAGGTTTTGAGAAATCTGATATCTCTTCATAGTCTTCAATTATTAAAGTTAAAAAAATAAATAAATGTGAATCCAAATTCCTCATTCCCTTCATGCTCTCCTTCACAACCCAATCCTGTTGATGGAATATGCAGATGGTATTTGATTTTGTGTGCTTAAATATTTACGTGACTCCTTTTGTACCAGCGAAAGGGACTCTCAGTGAAGACACGATCAGAGTGTTTCTGCATCAGATTGCTGCTGCCATGCGAATCCTGCACAGCAAAGGAATCATCCACAGAGATCTCAAACCACAGAACATCTTGCTGTCCTATGCCAATCGCAGAAAATCAAGTGTCAGTGGTATTCGCATCAAAATAGGTAAATGGCCATGTATTGTGTCATGGAAAGGACATTTTTTGAAACTATTTTTAGACAACTTTAGCTTTGTTGAATGATGGATTTTTTTTTTTTTTTTGAGATGGAGTCTCGCTCTGTTGCTCAGGCTGGCGTGTAGTGGCGCGATCTTGGCTCACTGCAACCTACGCCTCCTGGGTTCAAGCGATTCTCCTGCTTCAGCCTCCTGAGTAGTTGGGATTACAGGCATGCACCACTACGCCCAGCTAAATTTTATATTTTTAGTAGAGACAGGGTTTCACCATGTTGGCCAGGCTGGTCTTGAACTCCTGACCTCAGGTGATCTGCCCGCCTCAGCTTCCGCAAGTGCTGGGATTACAGGTTTGAGCCTCCACACCTGGCCAGATGATGGATTTTATTGATGCAATCTGATATTTTTATTGAGATCGTGGAGTTCTCTTAGATAGGTGAATCCTTTACATTATTGACAGTTTCTGCCAAGTCTCAGGCAGTGCTGACAGGCCCACATCAGGAGCTCTAAATATGAATACCTGCGTCTCTCGAGAGGAAAATTGATGTGGTGTGCTTACTGGCAGCAAATTAATAACTCTGATTCTTTTTTTGTTTGTTTGTCTGAGATGGAGTCTCGCTCTGTCACCCAGGCTGGAGTGCTGTGGCACGATCTCGGCTCACTACAACCTCTGCCTCCCAGGTTCAAGAGATTCTCCTGCCTCAGCCTCCCAAGTAGCTGGGATGCGCAAGTAGCTGGCATGTGCCACCACACCCAGCTAATTTTTTTTGTATTTTTTTTTTCAGTAGAGACAGGGTTTCACCGTGTTGGCCAGGCTGGTCTCGAGCTCCTGACTTTAGGTGATCTGCCCACCTCAGCCTCCCAAAGTGCTGGGATTATAGGTGTGGGCCACCACGCCTGGCCATAACCCTGATTCTTTACAGTTCCTAGGCTTTTGACGTAGGGATCTCAGAGACCATCTAGTTTAGCCCTTGGCAGTTTTTTTTTAGTAGTACCTCAAAATTATTTGAAACAATAAAAGCATAATTGTTCACATTCTACATCTGGTATTGATATTTAATGAAAACTGTATTAATGAGCTACTTATTATAATTAGCATTTTCACTTGCAAAGTTTCGTACACCTTGGTTACAAATCTGGCAGAGCAGTGACTTGTACAGTTGACGATTACTACTATTTTTAGCTTGCTGAAATCAAGGTAGCTACTTTTTTTTTGGTGGACAGTCTAATTCAATAAGCTGTTTATTTTTCACAGTCCTTTGTGCCTTCTTGTGTCTCGAAGAATCATATGATATATGTTAGGTATGAGCGAAGACGTAATTTGCTTTTCTACTTTCTGTTTTGTGAAATAGCGGATTTTGGTTTTGCTCGTTACCTACATAGTAACATGATGGCTGCAACACTGTGTGGATCCCCGATGTACATGGTGAGTGAGTGTTTGCATCCTTGTGTGTTTAAAGCATGGCTCCATAATCATTGGAATTTAAATATAATGCGTGCTTCCAAATAAGATGTGATTTTACATATAGTCCAAGTTGTTATTACTAATGTTAATTATATTACTGATAATGCTATAATACAGACATCTTTTGCCTTAGCATAGTGGACTGTAAAAGTAAGTCATTTTTGCCCATTTGTTTTTATTTTTTAAAAAAGATTAGTTATGAGACAAATCTATTAAGTTGAAAATAAAAATTAATCAAGGGTAGTCATGCTGTACATAATGTATAATATAAGAGTGCTTTAAAAAACATCTTCTGGGAGCACTTCTTCAGCTGTAGGATGTGCTTATCTTTTGCATGTTAACTCTCGTGACAGGATCCCTGTGTTGTAGATGTTTTTTCCATTAGCCTCACACAGCTGAAATATCTCAGCTTTCCCCTTTATCCTCTCATATAGATATCATCATGTATTATAGGGTTAGGCTATGAAACTTCTAATGTAATGTGCAGTATTAAGTCTGGAAATACCTTAATTCTAGAGATTCAGAATTATGTAAAATAAATGTACCTATTTCAGTTCTAAATTTAAAATGGGTTTATATTAAATTCAAAATTTCTCTAAACTAAAATCAACTTTGAACTGGTAATCAAATTTCAAAAAAATTTTATTAGATTTATAGTCTTGATCATAATTTTACTGCTTATATATAATTTTATAATTTTATATAAATTTTAAAATTACTTTGTACTTCTTGAGTATAAAATTAGTTTAGCCTTGAGGTTAGAGTGCTTTGGCTGATTATTAAAGGATATTGACTTAATAAGAAATTTACTAGGGAAAATAAATAAAAATGTTATGCCTGAGCTGGGTGTAGTGATGGCGTGCCTTTAGTCCCAGCTACTTGGGAGGCTGAGGCAAGAGGACTTCTCAGGCGTTCATGGCCAGCCTGTGAACACAGCAAGATCCCATTTCCACAAAGAATTAAAGTTAAAAGGAAATGTTACATCTGAGAAATAAAACTATCTTTAAGTATATTTTCCATTTCTGTTTAATATTTGTCCTGATTAATGGTATATTTAAAATGCAACATTTGATGAGAGGTGGGAAAATACCCGTAACAAAGCAGCAGAGAAATGGTTTTGCTTTTAGGACAATTTTTAGTATTGTGTGGGGTTTTGCATCATAGTTTTTCTATTACTATAAAAGTATTCAGATTACAAAAAACATAGGGAATAATATAGCAAACACCTATGTACCCACCATCCGTATTTCACAAAGTTAACATTTTGCCATGTTTGTCTTGATCTTGTTTTTGAAAGAAATCAAATAGGCCAGGCGCAGGGGCTCATGCCTGTAATCCCAGCACTTTGGGAGGCTGAGGTGGGAGGATCACGAGGTCAGGAGTTCGAGACCAGCCTGGCCAACATGGTGAAACCTTGTCTCTACTAAAAATACAAAAAATTAGCTGGGCATGGTTGCAGGCGCGTGTAATCCTAGCTACTTGGGAGGCTGAGACAGGAGAATCACTTGAACCCAGGAGGTGGAGGTTGCAGTGAGCCGAGATCACGCCACTGCACTCCAGCCTGGGTGACACATTGAGACTCATTCTCAAAAAAAAAAAAAAAAGAAAAAATATTTTGGAGACAGCCCAAGTTCCTTTTGTACCTCTCCCTGATTGCATTTCCTCCTCTGCTCCTCTCACACACCTGAGGGAACCTCTGTCCTATGGTATGTATTTTATACACCATGTCCTATGGTGTGTATTTTTCTTTACTCTTTCGGCCCTCTTACTGTACTTTATGTGTCCATTATAATCAGGTGAAACATTTGTTTCTATAACTTGCCTCTTTTCATGCAACATTGATTTTGAGATTTACTAGTAAATCTCAATATATAATAATATGTTGTAAGTTCTTTGCCTTATTATTTGATTAGAGAACTATCACAGGGTGTTGTTTTATTCTGGTAGTTTGTTAGAAGTGTCACCTTTACCAGTTAATTAATATGTGCATATTAATTATGTAAATAACGTACGGCATGCCCCTTAAATTTTTCTGTTCCCAGGCTCCTGAGGTTATTATGTCTCAACATTATGATGCTAAGGCTGACTTGTGGAGCATAGGAACAGTGATATACCAATGCCTAGTTGGAAAACCACCTTTTCAGGTAGGCTGACTTTTTTCTTATGTCCTCAGTTTTGGGATCTTGTCATTTTATAGTTGCGTTTGATTTGTAAAATGAAGAATACTTTGAAAGCAGTGTTTTTGGCTCCTCTGTGAGTTACTTTGATTCTGTTATAGGCAAAAACTGCTTTAGTGAGTCAGAACGTCTTTTGGTTTTCCCCTTTTATCTGCCTGCCCTTTGTAGTTGGACTGGGCATGAAGTCTGTTGTATGTTGGGTTCGGGGCTAACAGCCTGGTGGGAAATGGGTGTGAATGGTGACACCAGAGCTTCCTAGTTAGCCTGGTTTTGGGATCCCGGAATCCACATGAGGGCTGGGGCTGGTCTGGGGAGATCTCTGGAAACCATCTCTAGCTCTCTATTTCTGACACTGCTAGGTGAGAGGGAGGTAATTATATACACTTTATGGAAATTATTATGGGTCTGTCTTCTCCTCCTCTCCCCCAACATCCTGCCAAAAAGTGACCCTGTAGAGTATAATCACGATGATTTCTCTTGAGTTCATATTGCCATGTTATAATTTCTTATGTTACAAAGAAGATCTTCGAATTTGAAAACTGAAACAAAGTGAAAATATTTGCCCGAGATAGTATTAAGAAAATTAGTGATGGCCAGGCGTGGTGGCTCACACCTGTAATCCCAGCACTTTGGGAGGCCGAGGCGGGCAGATCACCTGAGGTCGGGAGTTCGAGACCAGCCTGACCAACATGGAGAAACCCCATCTCTACTAAAAATACAAAATTAGCCGGGTGTGGTGGCACATGCCTGTAATCCCAGCTACTAGGGAGGCTGAGGCAGGAGAATCGCTTGAACCTGGGAGGCGAAGGTTGCGGTGAGCCGAGATCACACCATTGCACTCCAGCCTGGGCAACAAGAGCGAAACTCTGTCTCAAAAAAAAAAAA
Source organism: Homo sapiens (assembly GCF_000001405.40). NCBI lineage: Eukaryota > Metazoa > Chordata > Mammalia > Primates > Hominidae > Homo > Homo sapiens. The sequence goes on along the minus strand of NC_000017.11, from coordinate 19,842,202 downwards.
AAAAAAAAAAAAGAAAAAGAAAATTAGTGACACAGCCAGGTTAAACACTTTTAATTTCTTAGTCTAGTTTGCATGTAGAGGAGGCTTCACTAATTCAGCAGCTGTTGTTATCAGCTATTTGTTGTTGTGGAGAGACTGAATAGTAGCAGTATACATAGTTCTTTTCTTTGAATTCCTTTAGGGTCCTAAGGTAAAGTACACCTGAATTTTACCCAACAATAATGTACCTATTGGGCAGGCCGTGTAACCTTCAGAATAGTGGTCCTTAATCTATTCTAAGTTTCAGGCTCCTCTCAGAGTCTGACCTCAGAAAAGGTACTTCAGAAAAGGTACCTCAGAAAAGGTACGTTATACTCAGATGTACAGAATTTTCACACAATGTCATAGGTTTTATGAGTTCCTAATGACCAGTTATGGGTCCTTCAGCAATCCATGGCTTTCAAGTTGATAGTCTATGTTCTGTAGCAAGAATATGAGCATCATCTCTCTTTGCTTTCCTCCTCCCTCATACTTTCCCTCCTTTCCTGTCAGCAGTCCCTTCCTTGAAACTCCCACTCCCTCAATCCCTTAAAAAAAAAGCATATGAGTGTCAATCATATGATTTGAAAGTTTTGCCCCCATTGTTTAGGAAATTAAACCTTTTTTTTTTTAATAGGCCAATAGTCCTCAAGACTTAAGGATGTTTTATGAAAAAAACAGGAGCTTAATGCCTAGGTATGTGTTTAGATTACACTGGGTTTTACTATTTGTGAATACAGTGTTGTTTATTTGAACTGTTTGTGTTTTGTGTATTCTCATTTTTTAATTCTTTTTCAGTTGATAATGTGAAAGCATTTGTTACAACAAATTAGAAAATTGCTGGCACATCATAGGTGTCTGTGTAGTGCTGTACTCTTTTCTTTCTTTTTTAAAATGTAAATTTAAAAGAAAAAGATACGGAAGTTACATGTGTTCCTTGTGGGGAGGGTAATGTGGACAGAATAGAATAGATACGCATAAAGTAGGAAGTGAATTCCCCCCAGCTTTGCTCTCTTTAGGGGTAACAAGAGTTTGCTGTGTCTCTGTCTTCATAGTTTTTTGGGTGTTCTTTATACGTGTTTGAATGCTTGTTTTCCTTTTTTTTTCCTCTCGAACTTGTATCTTGAGATGAGTGCTTGTTTATGTATGTATTTATACACACACATAGTTTAAGACAAATTACATCATATTTTGTGAGTTGTTTGCAGCGTCCTTTTGTTTTTTACTTTGTAGCACATCACAGATGATGTTCCGCAGCAAGATGTAGAGAGGCACTGTATGCTTTTTTTTGTTTTTGAGACAGAGTCTTGCTCTGTCACCCAGGCTGGAGTGCAGTGGCATGATCTCGGCTCACTGCAGCCTCCCCCTCCCGAGTTCAAGTGATTCTCATGCTTCAGCCTTCCTAGTAGCTGGGACTGTAGGCACCCACCACCACGCCCCTCTAATTTTTGTATTTTTTTTTTTTTTTTTAGTGGACACGGAGTTTCACCATGTTGGCCAGGCTGGTCTTGAACTCCTGACCTCAAGTGATCCCCCCGCCTCATCCTCCCAAAGTGCTGGGATTACAGGCATGAGCCACCATATCTGGCCAACTGTATGCTTTTTTTTTTTTTTTTAAATGATTAATAGACTATTTAGGCAGGAGTACATATAGTCATCATTGACAGACTTAATATGAGAGGTTAAATGTTTGATCCAATTTTCCTTCCCGGATAAGTTTTTCTTTTCTATCCATGTCAGTTTTGAAAACACAATACCAGAAGAAGAGGGGCCCAAATGCACACAGAGCGCCCAAGAGTGAGTTTTTAGGAGTGGGTCTGAAATTAGGATAGACATTTGCTGATCTTGCATAGGTCCAACGAATCAAGGCAGGATCTTCGATGAGCCCTCTGCGGTTGGGGTTGTTGTACTGAAGCAGGTACTCTCATTTCAGCCCGGCTCTTATGGCCAACTGCTCAACTTGCGCCCGTCGGGTGTCCGGAGATATGTTGTATTCGGCTGGGTTGAGGGTCGGGGGCACAGTGGCCAGGCGTGATAGAGTATACTTTGGGAACGACATCTTGGTGACCCAGAGCTCAACTGCACCTGCCACTGTATGCTTTTAAATGCCACAGAGAGTCCCATAGATGTACATTATTTTATTTAATCAGATCCCTGTTTTCATTTTTTTGGTTACTGCAAACAGGCTCTAGTGAAGTGTGTGTGTGTGTGTGTGTGTGTATGTGTGTGTACTCCTTTGTGTATGTGTGCATTTTGTTAGGGTGGACTCCTAGAAATGGAATTGTCAGACCAAAAGATACACTCTCCAAATAGGCTGTCCCAGTGAATACAGCAAGATAGAAGACTGCTCCTTTTCCCTCATTTTTACCAACATGGAATGTTAGCAGATTTGATGCTGCACAAATGCATGAGGACCAGTTAGCTATTAATTTAATTTGCATTATTCTCTTTATTAGTGAATTTGGCTCCTTTGTATTTCTTTAATATCTTTTTCTTTTCTTTTCTTTCTTTTTTTTTTTTTTTTGAGACAGAGTCTTGTTCTGTTGCCAGGCTGGAGTGTAATGGCACGATCTTGGCTCACTGCAACATCCACCTCCCAGTTTCAAGCCATTCTCCTGCCTCAGCCTCTCAGGTAGCTAGGACTACAGGCAGGCTACCACACCGGCCAATTTTTGTATTTTTAGTGGAGACGGGATTTCACCATGTTGTTCAGGCTGGTCTTGAACTCCTGACCTCAAGTGATCCACCTGCCTTGGCCTCCCAAAGTGCTGGGATTACAGGTGTGAGACACCGTGCCCAGCCTGTTTAATATCTTTTTGTAATTCTTATTCTTTGAATTGTGTACTGCTATTAATTCATTTTCCTGTTGCTTGTTGTTTTCATATCGGATGTTAGGAAGTTGTATTAGTTCTCACTTGTATTTAAGTGCTGCCCTTTTCCAGACAGAAATGGAGGTGGCTACTTTGTAATAGAGAACATTATAACAACTATTAGTGCAAGATTGAAGCTATGCTAAAAGTCAACATTGGGCTTTTGAGGTGCCTTACTCCTGCAGATACTCAAAACAACAGCAAGCACAATACAGGAATCTTCTCAATTTGATGCTGTTTCTCAAAGGCAATTTAGTGCTTTTTTTCCTTCTTTTTTTTTTTTTCAGATGGAGTCTTGCTCTGTCGCCCAGCCTGGAGTGCAGTGGCATGATCTCGGCTCACTGCAAGCTCCACCTCCCGGGTTTATGCCATTCTCCTGCCTCAGCCTCCCAAGTAGCTGGGACTACAGGTGCCCGCCACCACGCCCAGCTAATTTTTTTTTTCTATTTTTAGTAGAGATGGGGTTTCACCGTGTTAGTCAGGATGGTCTCGATCTCCTGACCTCATGATCCACCTGTCTCGGCCTCCCAAAGTGCTGGGATTACAGGCGTGAACCACAGCACCCGGCTTTTTTCCCTTCTTTAGATGACTCTTACATGGTCTTCGTGGTATAAATGTATTGGTATTTGTGAAACCGCATACACGTTTTAGTTTACTATATGGAAGGCAAAAGTTAATGTTTATGTATATAAACTTATCACTTAGGTGGTTGTGTTTTTCCTTTCCCCCAGTATTCCCAGAGAAACATCACCTTATTTGGCTAATCTCCTTTTGGGTTTGCTTCAGAGAAACCAAAAAGATAGAATGGACTTTGGTAAGAAATAGTTTTAACTTTTGCATGTTTTCTAATTTTATTGTTATATATGCCGAAAGATTTAAAAACTAGAGATTTCAGAAAATTAAAGTCAGTTTCACTTTTCTTTTTGTTTATTTCCTTCACTGGTTTCGTAAATATTTATTGAGTGCTTATTACTATGTTCTAGGTACGAGAGATAGAGTAATAAAATCACTCTCCTCATGTAACATATATTCTAGTGGTAGAGACAATAAACAAATTAAAAACCATAATTATATATTATATTAGAAGTTGCTAAGTATTATGGGAATAAAGAAGTGGGGGTGGGGTGGGGGTGGGGATTGAAATTTTAAATAAGGTAGTCAGTGAAGACCTTACTGAGAAAGTGACATTTGAACAAAGACTTGACTTGAAATGAGAGTGAGCCATGTGGATATCTGTGGGAAGAGCTTTTTAAGCAGAGTGAACAGCCAATATAAATGATGAGGGCTGGGAGCATGCCTGTAAGCTTGAGGAACAACTAGAAGGCCAGTTGAAGACTTGGGCTTTTCCACAAAGTGTGATGGGAGCCATTTAGAGGGTTTTGAGTGGAAGAAAAGTGATGTGACTAATGTTTTTAAAAAGGATCAAGCTGGCTGCTGCTTGAGAATAGACTGTGTGCATGTAAGGGGAAGAGCAGAAGCTGGGAGACTAATCAGGAGACTCTTGTCGTTACCCAGGTGAGAGATGAGTGTAGCTTTGACTAGGGTAATAGTAGTGGAGGTGGTAAGAAATCTTTCTGGTGGTAGAGGCAACAGCATTCACTGATAGATTGAATGTGAGGGTGTGAGAGAGAAGACTCAAGGATGACTCCAAGGTTTTTGGCCTGAGCAGCTGAAAGGATGTTGTCGATTACAGTGATGGGAAAGACTATATGGATAGAGCAGGCTATGGGGACAAGATGAGGAGTTTCTGTTGGACATGTTAAATTTAAGATAACCATTGGATATCTAAGTGTCGATGTCAGAAGTGCACTTGAATTTCAGAAAAGTCTAGACTGGGGACAGATTGGGGAGTTGTCAGCCTGGATTTATTTATTTATTTATTTTTATATTTTTTGAGACAGGGTTTTACTCTGTCACCCAGGCTGGAGTGCAGTGGTACTATCATGGCTCACTGCAGCCTTGACTTTCCCAGGCTCAGGTGATCCTCCCACCTCAGCCTCCCCAGTACCTGGGACTACAGGTGTACAACACCACCTCTGGCTAGTTTTTGTATTTTTTTTGTAGAGACAGGGTTTCGTCATGTTGCCCAGGCTGATCTCAAACTCCTGGGCTCAAGCGATCTACCCACCTTGGCCTGCCAAAATGCTGAGATTACAGATGTGAGCCACAGTGCCAAGCAATATTTATTAAATAGATTCTTTTGTTTTTTTTTTTTCTTTTATTAGAGAAAAGGCCTCACTCTGTTACCCAGGCTGGACTGGAATGCAGTGGTGTGATCGTAGCTCACCGCAACCTTGAACTCCTGGGTGCAAGTGATTCTCCCACCTCAGCTTCCTTAGTAGCTGGGACTACAAGCCTGCACCACCACAGTTGGCTAATTTTTTGTTTTGTTTTATTTTGTTTTGTTTTTGAGACAGAGTCTCGCTCTGTCGCCCAGGCTGGAGTGCAGTGGCATGATCTTGGCCCACTGCAACTTCCGCCTCCTGGGTTCAGGCAATTCTCTGCCTCAGCCTCCCGAGTAGCTGGGATTACAGGCGCCCGCCACCATGCCCAGCTAATTTTTTATATTTTTAGTAGAGACAGGGTTTCACCATCTTGTCCAGGCTGGTCTTGAACTCCTGACCTTGTGATCCGCCCACCTCAGCCTCCCAAAGTGCTGGGATTACAGGCATGAGCCACCATGCCCAGCCTGTTTTGTTTTGTTTTTTCGAGACGAAGTTTTGCTCTTGTTGCCCAGCCTGGAGTGCAGTGGCATGATCTCGGCTCACTGCAACTTCCCAGGTTCAAGCTCCCAGGTTGCAGCCTCCCAGGTTCAAGCTATTCTCCTGCCTCAGCCTCCCAAGTAGCTGGGATTACAAGTGCCCATCACCATGCCCGGCTAATTTTTTTTGCTTGTTTGTGTTTTTGAGACGGAGTCTTGCTCTGTTGCCCAGGCTGGAGTGCAGTGGCGCGATCTCGGCTCACTGCAACCTCCGTCTCCCGGGTTCAAGCGATTCTCCTGCCTTAGCCTTCTGAGTAACTGGGATTACAGGCACATGCCACTATGCCCGGCTAATTTTTGTATTTTTAGTAGAGATGGGGTTTCACCATGTTGGTCAGGCTGATCTTGAACTCCTGACCTCATAATCCACCTGCCTCGGTCTCCCAAAGTGGTGGGATTACAAGCGTGAGCCACCATGCCCGGCCTAATTTTTGTTTTTTTTTTTTTTTAGTAGAGATGGGTTTTTGCCATGTTGGTCAGGCTTGTCTCAAACTCCTGGCCTCAGGTGATCCACCTGCCTTGGCCTCCCAAAGTGCTGAGATTACAGGTGTGAGCCACCGGGCGCGGCCCAGTCGGCTAATTTTTTTACCCTTTTGTAGGGATAGGGTCTCACAATGTTGCCAGGGCTGTTCTCGAATTCCTGGCTTCAAGAAATCTTCCTGCCTTAGCCTCCCAGAGTGCTGGGATTACAGGTATGAGCCATTGTTCCTAGTCAAAATAGATTATTTTCTAGTGTGCCATTTAAATTCTTTCATTGAGTGTTCTGGCTTTTTTGTACTATGTATTTTTTTTTTTAATGATTGCTCTAGGGATTACGGTATGCATCTTTTTTTTTTTGAGACGGAGTCTTGCTCTATCACCCAGGCTGGAGTGCAGTGGCGGGATCTCGGCTCACTGCAAGCTCTGCCTCCTGGGTTCATGCCATTCTCCTGCCTCAGCCTCCCGAGTAGCTGGGGCTACAGGTGCCTGCCACCACGCCTGGCTAATTTTTTTGTATTTTTAGTAGAGACGGGGTTTCACCGTGTTAGCCAGGATGGTTTCGATCTCCTGACCTCGTGATCCGCCCACCTCGGCCTCCCAAAGTGCTGGGATTACAGGCGTGAGCCACCGCGCCCGGCCTCTACAGTATGCATCTTAATTTATCACAGTCTACTTTATATAAAAACTAGTTGAGGCCGGGTGTGGTGGCTCATGCCTGTTAAGCCCAGCACTTTGGGAGGCTGAAGTGGGCAGATCACGAGGTCAGGAGACCAAGACCATCCTGTAGTCCCAGCTACTCGAGAGGCTGAGGCAGGAGAATGGTGTGAACCTGGGAGGCGGAGCTTGCAGTGAGCCAAGATCGCGCCACTACACTCCTCCAGCCTGGGTGACAGAGCGAGACTCCATCTCCAAAAAAAAAAGAAACAAAAACCAAAAAACCAGTTGAATTCCATTAAAATGTAGAAGCTTTGTTCCCTTAATATGGCTCCATTCGCTCTTCCCTTTGTGCTGTTGTCTTACATATTATGTCTATGTTGTAATCTCAGCAGTGGGGTGTTAGGACGATTGCTTTATACAGTCTTACCTCTTTTTAAGAAGTGAGGAGAAGAAAGGTGAAAAACATGTATAGCGTCTTTTTGTGTGTTTCTCTTTTTTTTTTTTTTCTGAGACAGAGTCTCACTCTGCACCCAGGCCTAAGTACGGTGGTAAAAACAAGCCTCACTGCAGCCTTGACCTCCTGGGCTCAAGTGATCCTCTTGCCTGAAACTTCTGTATAGTTGGGATTACAAGTGCACACCACCATGCCCAGCTAATTTTTAAATTTTTTGTAGAGAGGTTTTTGCCATGTTGCCCAGGCTGGTTGCCAACTCCTGGGTTCAAGCGCACATCCTGCCTCGGCCTCCCAGAGTGCTGGAATTATAGGTGTCAGCCATCATGCCCAGCCTTAGATTACTATTTTAGCCTATACATTTATCATTTCTGACACTCTTCATTTATTCTTACGGACTCAAGTTACTGTTTGGTGTCATTTTTTTTTTCTTTTTGTATTTTTTGTATCTCTTTTTTGTTTGGTGTCATTTTTTTAGTTCTAATATAATTCCATTCCTTTCCTCCTCTTTTGTGTTGTCATATATATTAATCTTTGTATGTTACAAAGCCCAATAGTACAATTTTATAATTATTTTATACAGTTGTCCTTTAAATCGGCTAAGAGAAAAATATATAATGTACTGTCTTCCATAATTATCTACATAATTACCAATGCTCTTTATACAAATTCTCAGAATCTTCATTTATCTGGGAATGTCATTATTTCCCTTTATTTCCCTTCACTTTGGAAAAGTGTTTTTTTTTTTGGTAGATACTGAATTCTTGGTTGTTAGGATTTTCTCCAGCCAGTACTTTGACTATGTCATCTTACTGCTTTCTGGCCTCCTCCATTGTTTCTGATGAGAAGTCACCTGTTAATCTTACTAGGTTTCCCTAGTAGGTGATGAGTCATTTTTCTCTTAGTGCTTTTGAGATTTTTCTCTGTCTTTGATTTTCAACAATTTTAACTGTGATGTGTCTAGATGTGTATCTCTGTGTTTATCCTGCCTGGAGTTTATTGATCTTTTTGGATATATAAATAAATGTTTTTCACCAAATTTGGGGAGTTGTCAACCATCATTTCTTAAAATATTCATTCTGTCCCTTTCTCTTTCTCTTCTCTGAGACTCCCATTGTGTGCACTTAATGGTCTATGCTTGATGATGTCGCACAGCTGAGTCTGTTCATTTTTCCATATTGTTTTTTCCTTTGAGTTTTTCAGATTGGAAATATCTGTTAATCTGTTCTCAGCCTTGCTGATTGTTTTATTCAGTTATTGTACTTTTTAACTCCAGATTTTCTGTTTGGTTCTTTTTTATAATTTCTGTCTTTTTCTTGATATTCTCTATTTGATGAGTCGCTGTCTCCTGCCTCAGCCTCCTGCATAGCTGGGACTACAGGCGCCCACCACCATGCCCAGCTAATTTTTTGTGTTTTTAATAGAGTCGGGGTTTCACCATGTGGGCCAGGCTGGTCTTGAACTCCTGGGCTCACGTGATCCACCCACCTCGGCCTCCTAAAGTGCTGGGATTACAAGCGTGAGCCACTGTGCCTGGCTGGCTTTCTCTACTTTTAAAAATGGGCGACAGAGCGAGACTCTGTCTCAAAAAAAAAAAATTTGTTTATAATAACTGCTTTAAAGTCTTTGTTAAGTTCAACATTTGGCCCCCTCACGACAGTTTCTATTGACTGCTTCGTTCCCCTGTGTATGGGCCATACTTCTTTGTTGCTTTGCATGCCTTGCGGTTTTTTGTCAAAAATCAAACATTTTGTTCAATACAGATAGCAACTTTAGATTTGAACCCTCCCCCTCTCCCAATTGGGGGTTGTTCTGTTTTTTTTTTTTTTTTTTTTTTTCCTTTGAGACAAAGTCTTACTGTGTCGCCCAGGCTGGAGTGCAATGGCATGATCTCAGCTCACTGCAAGCTCCGCCGCCCGAGTTCAAACAATTCTCCTGCCTCAGCCTCCCGAGTAGCTGGGATTACAGGTGCACACCACTACGCCTGGTGAATTTTTGTATTTTTAGTAGAGACAGGGTTTCACCACGTTGGCCAGGCTAGTCACGAACTCCTGACCTTAAGTGATCCACCTGCCTCGGCCTCCCAAAGTGCTAGGATTACAGGCATGAGCCACGATGCCTGGTCGGATTGTTCTATTTGTTTAGTAACTTGCGTGGACGAAATCTGCGGAATATTGTTTTCCTTGCAGTTTTTGAACATTGATTTATCTCCAAAATTGTTTTTGTATTTTTTTCAGTTAAAAAAATTGTAAAGCCCAGTTTCCTAGGGGTCACCCCTTTGTCTACAGTTTTTTAGTGGTCAGCCAGTTATTGGTCAAAGGTGGTGCTTTGAGATGGTAAGTTACCATCCTTTGTCCATAGATCTGTGTGTGGCTTGGGGAATGCACTAAAAGTTCAAGCACAGCTGGGCATGGTGGCTCACATCTGTAATCCCAGCGCTTTGGGAGGCCGAGATGGGCAGATCAGTTAAACTCAGGTGTTTGAGACCAGCCTGGGCAACGTGGTGAAAGCCTTCTACTAAAAATACAAAAATTAGCTGGTGTTGTGGTGTGGGCCTGTAGTCCCAGCCACTCAGGAGGCTGAGCTGGGAGGATTGCTTGAGCCCTGGAGGTCAAGGCTACAGTGAGCTGTGGTCATGCCACTGCACCCAGCCTGGGTGACAGAATGAGACCCTGTATAAAAAGAAAAAAAAAAAAAAAGAAAATGTTTCATTTATCTTGACTCCAATCTTTATTATTTCTTTCCTTCTACTAGTTTTGGGCTTAGTTTGCTGTTTTTCTAGTTCCATAAGCATGAAGTTAGCTTATTGATTAGATGTTTCTTTTTCTTTTTTTTTTTGAGATGGAGTTTTGCTCTGTCACCAACGCTGGAGTGCAGTGGCGTCATCTTGGCTCACTGCAACCTCCATCCAGCTCCTGGGTTCAGGCGATACTCCTGCTTCAGCCTCCAGAGTAGCTGGGACTACAGGCTCAAGTCACCACACCTGGCTATTTTGTATTTTTAGTAGAGACAGGGTTTCATCATGTTGGCCAGGCTGGTCTTAAACTCCTGATCTCAGGTGATCCACTTGCCTTGGCCTCCCAAAATACTGGGATTACAAGTGTGAGCCACCATGCCTGGCCTATTTCTTCTTTTTTTTGAGACAGAGTCTTGCTCTGTCGCCCAGGCTGGAGTGCAGTGGCACAGTCTTGACTCACTACAACCCCTGCCTCCTGGGCTAAAGCGATTCTTCTGCCTCAGCCTCCTGAGCAGCTGGGATTACAGGTGCCCACCACCACGCCCGGCTAATTTGTTTGTGTTTTTAGTAGAGACGGGGCTTCACCATGTTGGCCAGGCTGGTCTTGAACCCCCAACCTCAAGTAATCTGCCTGCCTTGGCCTCCCAAAGTGTTGGGATTATAGGCGTGGGGCACGGCACCTGGCCTTATTTCTTCTTTTTTAAAGGAGGTGTTTACAGGTATATTTTTCCCTCTTACTACTGCTTTTGCTACATCCCATAAGTTTTAGTATGTTGTGTTTTCATTTTCATTTGTCTCAAGATATTTTCTAATTTGCCTTTATGACTTCTTTGACTCATGGTTGCTTAAGAGTTGGTATCCTTTGGCTCTGTGTCCCACCCAGATCTCATCTTGAATGAGATGAGACGGGGAAGGGCTTGGTGGGAGGTGAGTGAATGGGGAGGGGCTTGGTGGGAGGTGAGTGAATCATGGGGGCGGATTTCCTCTATGCTGTTCTCGTGATAGTGAGTTCTCACAAGATCTGATGGTTTGAAAGTGTGGTACATCCCCTTCCTGCTCTGCAATGGTAAGACATGCTTGCTTCCCCTTCACCTTCTGCCATGATTGTAAGTTTTTTGAAACCTCCCCAGCCATGGAGAACTAAATTAAACCTCTTTTCTTCATAAAATGGCCAGTCTCAGGTAGTTTTTTTTTTTTTTTTAGCGACGGAGTCTTGCTCTGTCACCCAGGCTGGAGTGCAGTGGAGCAATCGTGGCTCACTGTAACCTCCACTTCCGGGGTTCAAGCGATTCTCCTGTCTCAGGCTCCTGAGTAGCGGGAATTACAGCTGCGTGCCACCACGCATGGCTAATTTTTGTATTTTTAGTAGAGATGGGGTTTCACCATGTTGGCCAGCTGGTCTTGAACTTCTGTTCTCAAGCGATCAGGCTGCCTGGGGCTCCCAAAGTGCTGGGATTATAGGCATGAGCCACTGCGCCCAGCCTCAAGTAGTTCTTTATAGTGTGCGAAAACAGAGTAACACAAGAGTGTTTTGTTTAATTTCCACATATTGTGGATTTTCCCGTTATTTCCTCTGTTACTGATTTCTAGTTTTTTTTTTTTTTTTTTTTAAACAATCTCAAAGGACAGGCATGAACCACTGCGCCCGGCCCTTGATTTCCACTTTTATTCCATTGTGATTGGAAAAGATAATCAGTCACCGTGATTACAATCTTTTAAAATTTATGGGCCAGGCATGGTGGCTCATATCTGTAACCTTAGTGCTTTGAGAGGCTGAGGAAGGAAGACTGCATGAGGCCAGGAGTTTGAGATTAGCCAGGGCAACATAGTGAGAACCTGTCTCTACAAAAAATATTAAAAATTAGCTGGGTGTAGTGGTATGCACCTTTAGTTCCAGCTTCTTGGGAGTCTGAGGTAAGAGGGATTACTTCAGCCCAGGAGTTTGATGCTGCAATGAGCTAATTGCACCACTGCATTCCAGCCTGAAAAAACAGAGCGCAACATTGTCTCTGATTAAAAAAAAAAATTATTAAGACTTGTTTTGTGGCCTAAGGTGTGGTCTGTTTTGGAGAATGTCCCATGTGTACTTGAGAAAAATATATGCTCTGCTCTCAGAGACTAGAGTACTCTGCGTGTGTCTGTTAGGTCCAGTTAGTTTATAGCACTGTTCAGTGCCTCCCTTTCCTTATTGATGCTGTATCTGGTTATCCTATCCATTACTGAAGGTGGGATATTGAAGTCTCCAACTATTATTGTACAAATCTCTTTCTCACTTCAGTTGTCAATGTTTGCTTCATGTATTTTGGGGCTCTGATTGTTTATAAATCTTAAATTTTCTTGGTTAATTGACCCTTCTATCATTATTTAATACCTTTTTTTTTTTTTTTTTTGAAATGGAGTCTCGCTCTGTCACCCAGGCTGGAGTGCAGTGGCGCGATCTCGGTTTACTGCAACAACCTCCGCCTCCTAGGTTCAAGCGATTCTCCTGCCTCAGCCTCCCAAGTAGCTGGGACTACAGGTGCCTGCCACCATGCCCAGCTAATTTTTATATTTTTAGTAGAGACAGGATTTCACCATGTTGGTCAGGCTGGTCTCAAACTCCTGACCTTGTGATCCACCCTCCTCAGCCTCCTAAAGTGCTGGGATTACAGGCGTGAGCTACCGTGCCCAGCCCCCCCCCTTTTTTTTTTCCTTGACAGGGTCTCATCCTGTCACCTAGTCTGGAGTGCGGTGGTGCAGTCTTGGCTCACTGAAACCTCTGCCTCCTGGGCTCAAGTGATCCTCTCACCTCTGCCCCTCAAGTAGCTGGGACTACAGGTGCAAAGCTACCACACCTGGCTAATTTTTGTATTTTTTGTGGAGACAGGGTTTCACCATTTTTTCCAGGCTGATCTAGAACTCTTGAACTCAAACGATCCACCCACCTTGGGCCTCCCAAGTGCTAGGATTACAGGCTTAAGCCAGTGTACTTGGCCTTATTTAACGTACTTTTTGTCTTTTATAACAGTTTTCAATTCAAATTCTATTTTGTCTGATAGTCAACTTTGCCCTTCTCTTTTGCTTAGTATTTGCCTGGGAATAGCTTTTTCCATTATTTTGCTTTCAAATATTTGTGTCTTTAGATTTAAAGCGAGTCTCTTTTTCTTTTTTCTTTTCTTTTTGAGATGGAGTCTTACACTTTCACCCAGGCTGGAGTGCAGTGGCACAATCTCAGCTCACTGCAACCTCTGTGTCCCGAGTTCAGGCGATCCTCTCACTTCAGCTGGGACCACAGATGTGCAGCACCATGCCTAGCTAATTTTTTTGTATTTTTGGTTTCACCATGTTGCCCAGGCTGGTCTTGAATTCCTGAGCTTAAGAGATCTGCCTGGGATTAGAGGCGTGAGCCACCTCACATGGCCTAAAGGGAGTCTCTGTTCTGTTTACAGATTATAGTTGGATTATTTCCTTTTAATCTACTTTGCCAGTCTCTGCCTAAGGAGATCTATTTACATTTAAAGTAATTACTGATGAGGAAAGATTTTCACCATTTTACTATTTTTATGTCTTACAGCTTTTTTGTCCCACATTTCTCCCATTACTGCTCTCTTTAGTGTTGTTTTTTATAGTAATGTGTTTTGATTCCTTTCTCATTTCCTTCTGTGTATATTTTTCCTTGTGGTTACCTGCGGATTACATATAACATCTAAAGTTACTGAATTCATATTAACTTTAGTTGCACACAAAAACTCTACTTCTGTATTGCTTTATACCCCCTTTATGTTGATATCACAAATTATATCTTTATGATAATTTTAATGCATTTGTCTTTTAAACTCTGTAGAAAGTGAAAAAGTGAAGTTACAAACCAAAATTACAGTACTATTGGATTTTAAATTGCCAGTGCATTTATCTTTTCCGGAGATCTTCATGTCTTCATGTGGCTTTTTACTGTCTAGCTCTTTTCATTTCAACCTGAAGTACTCTCTTTAGCATTTCTTATAGGGGAGGTCTTGTGGTAATGAATTCCCTCAGCTTTTGTTTTTCTGGGGATATCTTAATTTCTTCCTGAGTTTTGAAGGACAGTTTTGTGGAATGTAGAATTCTCAGTTAACTTTTTTTTCTTTCAGCACTTTAGATAATATCCCACTGCCTTCTGGCCTCAAGATTTTTGATGGGAAATTGGCTGATATTCTTATTAAGGATCCCTGTATATTACAAGTTGCTTCTCTCTTGCTTCCAAGATTCTCTCTGTCTTTTGAAAGTTTGATTCTGTAACTCTGTGTGGGTCTCATCAGTTTATCTTAAAGTTTTTGGAAGTTGCTTTTTTTTTTTTTTTGAGACAGAGTTTCGCCCTTGGTGCCTAGGCTGGAGCGCAATGGCAGGTTCTCGGCTCACCGCAACCTCCACCTTCCGGGTTCAAGCGATTCCCCTGCCTCAGCCTCCTGAGTAGCTGGGATTACAGGCATGTGCCACCATGCCTGTTAATTTTGTATTTTTAGTAGAGACGGGGTTTCTCCATGTTGGTCAGGCTGGTCTCAAACTCCTGACCTCAGGTGATCTACCTACCTCTGCCTCCCAAAGTGCTGGGATTATAGGCGTGAGCCACCACGCCCGGTCCAACCTAATTCTTATCTTAGGTAAAAACAGCTACTTGAAAATGTCAGACCAGAGAAATCATTAAGACATGTTTAATGAAAATACTTAGCAAATTAACCCTGATCTTGTAGTTTTTAGGGAAAAAAGTGTTTGACTTTTCCTGTAGTAATAGTTGTAATACTAACAGAGATTTGTGGAAATATACTCCAGGATTTTGGTTTGCTAATGTATAGTATAATAGGGAAACCCACATTGGTATTTAAATAAGTTGGACTAGAATTTGAATTCTAGTCCCTCACCTTACTAACTCTTTGACATTGGACAAGAAACATGGCCTTTGTGTGCTTTTAATTTTATTACCCATCATAGGAGGACATACTTCCTCAGATAAGGTTTGTGAAGCACCCAGTTCATTGTCTTAGTGAATGTTGAATACTCAGTAGAGGATAGCTGTAATTGTTTCCATGTCGGGGAAAAGATGAAATGGTCTGAATACCTATTTTCTTAATGTTTTGTAAAGTTGGACTAAAATTAAGTTCATGTAGTTGGAAATATTTATACCTATTAGGGAGAAGTTAAGCTGAGAGTTGCTCTGAACCATGAGAATTATGGTCAATAGTGAAACAACTATTATGGAGAATGGTTTTAAAATTATTGAATGTATTGTTTTTGTAGTTTCTTTTTTTTTTTTTTTGAGACGGAGTCTCGCTCTGTCACCCAGGCTGGAGTGCAGTGGCGCGATCTCGGCTCACTGCAAGCTCCGCCTCCCGGGTTCACGCCATTCTCCTGCCTCAGCCTCCCGAGTAGCTGGGACTACAGGCGCCGGCCGCCATGCCCAGCTAATTTTTTGTATCTTTAGTAGAGACAGGGTTTCACCGTGTTAGCCAGGATGGTCTCAATCTCCTGACCTTAGGTGATCTGCCTGCCTCGGCCTCCCAAAGTGCTGGGCTTACGGGCGTGAGCCACCACACCCGGCCAGTTTTTTCTCTTTTTAATGTGAAACCAGCATCAGGAATACTTGTAGGGGCGAAGGATAGTTTGTTGTATAAATCAGCTGTATCAATTTCCTCTTAGGACAATTAACAGCTGTAGTTCACATGGGTGCTTAACAAGGGCCTGGTGATCACAGTTCTCCTGTGGGGCTGTCCACTGGAGGGTGGCATACGTTAGAGAACATGTCTGTGTAAGTAGCATCAGAGTATGTTGTGCTGGTGATAGATGTTTTGAGAATTCGTAATTATTTAAAATTTGTTATTGATTCATTATTTTATATGATTATAAAAATAATTATTTTATAGAGGATTTATAAAAAATACGCTTTTACATTTAAAGGAAATGGAGCCTATATAAAGAAGTTAAATTCTGATCTCAAAGACATTATATTGAATACGTTGAGAAAAAATAACCTGGTTGATAGTTTAGTCAATGTCTCTTTAAAGGTTGCATTCTCATTTCTTGTTACAGAAGCATTTTTTAGCCATCCTTTTCTTGAGCAAGGTCCAGTAAAAAAATGTGAGTATCCATTTTTTGTATTTTCACTTAAAGAATGAATGCAAGCTTTAGGAAAAATTAATGATTTTTACTACAAAATTCATCTTTTATTGTGACTCCTAAAATTTCATTGAATTTATTTATTTATTTATTTATTTTTTTTTTTTTTTTTTGAGATGGAGTTTCGCTCTTGTTGCCCAGGCTGGAGTGCAGTGGCGTGATCTCGGCTCACAGCAACCTCCACCTCCCGGGTTCAAGCCATTCTCCTGCCTCAGCCTCTGGAGTAGCTGGGATTACAGGCATGCGCCACCATGCCCGGCTAATTTTGTATTTTTAGTAGAGATGGGGTTTCTCCATGTTGGTCAGGCTGGTCTCGAACTCCGGACCTCAGGTGATCCACCCGCCTCAGCCCCACAAAGTGCTGGAATTACAGGTGTGAGCCACCACACCCAGCTACTTTTTTTTTTAAACGGAGTCTTGCTCTGTCACTCAGGCTGGAGTGCAGTGGTACAACCTCTGCTTCCTGGTTTCAAGTGATTCTCCTGCCTCAGCCTCTGGAGTAGCTGGGATTACAGGCGGGCACTACCACACCTGGCTAATTTTTGTATTTTTAGTAGAGACGAGGTTTCACCATGTTGGTCAGGCTGGTCTCAAACTCCTGACCTCAAGTGATCCTCCTGCCTCAGCCTCCCAAAGTGTTGGGATTATAGGAGTGAGCCTCTGCTCCCAGCCTGATTTTCTTAGATACCTACGGTTGTGTTTATTTAATAACTGTTCTATTTTTCCTTCTGAAACGAAGTTGAAATAGTTTTAGTAATTGCTGCATTTTTAGTTTCATCAGCAGATGTGGTAATAAATAGGTAAATGCAGATTTTGGGGGAACACAAAGGTGTAGTAGTTTTGGCAAGTGTTTCTGTTATACAGGTCATGTGACTGCACTACAAAATGATGTAGTTCATTTGTGTTTCTTCCCCTAGCTTGCCCAGTTCCAGTGCCCATGTATTCTGGTTCTGTCTCTGGAAGCTCCTGTGGCAGCTCTCCATCTTGTCGTTTTGCTTCTCCACCAGTAAGTTACAGTTTATTAAAAATAATTTCAGAGTTAGTGCTATTACATCTTTTCTCAAATGGAGCATGCACATACACTGTGGATATTCTTTTTATGTGTAATGTTTACTAATGTAGCTGAGATTTGGGGGAAAGAACATGATAGTTGGGTCAAATGGACCTGCATTCGGGCCTCTGTCCATATGTTACTGTGTAAGCTCCAGAAAGAAATGTCACCTCTCTGGGCCATTTTCCTCTGAACAGTGAGTATAGCACTATCACCTTCTTATACCCTATGGTGTTTTGGTGATGATACTTGCAAACAGAGTACCCATTACAGGTGGATAGGCAATAAATATTTATTTGATCTGAATGCCGTAGACATGAGCTTGGATTTTTTTTGTATGTGGAATTTCTACTGAGGGAGGAGTCACCTCTGAGCCAGATTTCACTGACTTAGATTCTCTTAATCATGATTTCTGGCGCTTTAAGGTGGCTTCTACTCAAACCTCTTCCTTTCCCTGAAGCTCCCAAGGCATTTTCTTCATGGCTGTGTTCCCTCCCATCTCAGTACTTCTTCCTAATCCTGAGGCCTTCTGGTCACTCTAGTCACTTCTTCCTACTCCACTCTTCTCTTAGGCTTTTTTTTTTTTTTTTTTTTTTTTTTTTGAGATGGAGTTTCGCTCTGTCGCCCAGGCTGGAGTTTAGTGGCTCCATCTTGGCTCACTGCAACCTCCGCCTCCTGGGTTTAAGCGATTCTCCCAGCCTCAGCCTCCCAAGTAGCTGGGACTGTAGGCGCACACCACCACACCCAGCTAATTTTTTGTATCTTTTGTAGAGACGGGGTTTCACTATGTTGGCCAGGCTGGTCTGAAACTCCTGAACTCAAGTGATCTGCCCGCCTTGGCCTCCCAAAGTGTGAGCCACGGCACCCTGCCCCAGACATCAATTTCTTGAATGCCGCTGGCAGAAAGATAGGGGAGCCATAAAAGTGAGACAACTCAGAGGTTTAAGTGGATGGGGCTTGCAGCCTCCATGTACCTTACCTGTCATATAGGACACCTTTTTTTTGTATGTCAAGTAAGTGTAATTTACCTACCTCGTAGGGTTCTTCAGGGATAAGTGAGTGTAAGCACTTATTGCATGCAGGGTCTGACACATAGTATATAACGCAAGGGGTGGCAACTGTTAGGTAAAGCAGATGCAGATGTAGCCTGTTGCAAACAGACAAGTCTCAAAACTGGCAGCAAACCTTTCTTACACAGCCCCGCAAATTCATACCAAATAGATAAAGCAGATTATGTTAATAAGACTTATGTTATGTTCTGGTGAACTAAAAAAATTAAGAGCCAGACACGCTGGCACCAATCCTAGCCCTGCTGCTTGCCCACTCAGTGACTTTGGGCCGGTCAGTTAGAGAGGTGGGCCATGGTGTCCTCATCTGGACCATAGGCTTGTTTAACCTTTGCTTGCAGGGTCCTGGTAGTAAGATGTGGGAAGTGCCTAGCCATGGCAAAGTCTCAATAAATTGTGGCTATTATTATGAACCATATATTTGACACAATGTAATATGAAAAGCAAAGCTTGTGCTAGAGGAAAGAACAACAGGGAAGAATCTAATTTTGGGAGAGCAAACATAAAGGAGCCTGTGGGGTGATAGTGTGACTGAGGGATGAGAGAGGCCAGTAGGGAGGACGTTGAACTGGAAATTTTCTTTGACTGGAGAGAGCATTTTGGGGTTTTTGTTGGTTGAAAGAGGAGGACAAAATAGGAGCCAGGCTAGGGCTGCCAAGGAGTAGCTGAATGTAGAACTAACTGGAGGAGTGAAGAGAGGCAGGAGAAAGAGAAAGTCTTTTTTAGATGTTAAAAACTCTGGTGGACAAACCTATTTTTTCTGAGGCAGGAATATTGTTTGATTCCAGGAGTTCAAGACCAGCGTGGGCAACATATCAAGACCACCCATCTCTACTAAAAAAAAAAAAAAAAAAATAGCCAGGCGTGCCTGGGCATGACTGTAGACTCAGCTGTAAGGGAGGCTGAAATGGGAGGATTGCTTGATCCCAGGAGTTCAAGGCCAGACTGGGCAACATAGTAAGAACCTGCCTCTATTAAAAAAAAAAAAAAAAATCCGGCTGGGTGTGGTGACTCACGCCTGTAATCCTAGCACTTTGGGAGGCTGAGGTGGCCAGATCATGAGACCGGGATATCAAGACCGTCCTGGCTAACACGGTGAAACCCCATCTCTACTGAAAATACAAAAAATTAGCTGGGCATGGTGGCACGCGCCTGTAGTCCCACCTACTCGAGAGGCTGAGGCAGGAGAATCGCTTGAACCCGGGAGGCGGAGGTTGCAGTGAGCTAAGATCGCTCAACTGCACTCCAGCCTGAGCGACAGAGCGAGACTCCATCTCAATAAAAAAAAACAAACCAAACAAAAAACAGTAAACGGGCCGGGTGTGGTGGTTCATGCCTATAATCCCAGCACTTTGGAAGTCTGAGGCGGGTGGACCACTTGAGGTCAGGAGTTTGAGACCAGCCTGGCCAACATGCCAAAACCCTGTCTTGGTGTTTTTTCAAATAACAAAAATTGGCTGGGCGTGGCGGCGTGCACCTGTAATCCCAGATACTCAGGAGGCTGAGGCAGTAGAATCACTTGAACCCAGGAGGCAGAGGCTGCAGTGAGCCAAGATCATGCCACTGCACTCCAGCGTAGGTAACAGAGCGAGACTCTATCTCAAAAAAAAAAATAAAATAAAAAATAAAATAAGTCACTGGCATAAACATATCCTTTTTATGTCTTATTCATTAGAGTTCTTTAAAAAGTAAGGTTGGGCCAGGCTCAGTGGCTCACGCCTGTAATCCAGCACCTTGGGAGACCAAGGTGGGTGGATCGCTTGAGATTAGGAGTTTGAGACCTGCCTGGCCAACATGGTGAAAACCTGTCTCTACTAAAAATACAAAAATTAGCCAGGTGTGGTGGCGTGCGCCTGTAATCCCAGCTACTTGGGAGGCTGAGGTGGGAGAATCACTTGAACCCAGCAGGTGGAGATTGCAGTGAGCTGAGATTGTGCCACTGCAGAGCAAGACTTTGTGACTTTCTCTCAAAGAAAAAAAAAAAAAAGATAAGGTCAGCTGGGTGTGCTTGCTCACGCCTGTAATCCCAGCACTTTGGAAGGCCAAGGTGGGAGGATTGCTTGAGCCCAGGAGTTTGAGACCAACTTGGGCAACATGGTGAAATCCCGTCTCTACAAAAAAATTAAAAATTAGCTGGGTGCTTGAGCCCCTGACTTCGAGGTTACAGTGAGCTATGATTGCTCCACTGCACTTCAGCCTGGATACAGAGAGACCCTGTCTCAAAAACCAACCAACCAATAAACATCATTTTAGGAAGCCTTTAAAAAAAATGGAAATAAAGTGGAAAGCAGGGGAAAAAAGGAAAGTACGAACATTTGTATATAGTTTCCAGTTAGTGGGATTAGAAAATGGTATGGTTTGATAGACCTTACATTTAACATCATCTGCCAAAAATAAGATGATTTCATACATGCTTCCCCTTCTTTCTAGGACTGGTGTAGACTCATACAGAGGCTTGAGATACACAGGCATGTGATATAACGTTGTCGTTTTTACATTCTCATGTAAATATCTAGCTGCTATTTTATTCCAGAAAAATTCTAGGCCCCCCCCAAAACAAAAAATTACAAACAATAAAAAAACTCCAAATCACTCTTTTAATTATGATACTGACTAGAGATTAAATGCTATTTAGATGGTAAATCTTGAATATTTATTTATTTAGTGATTTTTTTGAGACAGAGTCTCACTCTGTCACCCAGGCTGGAGTGCAGTGGCGCGATCTCGGCTCACTGCAACCTCTGCCTCCCGCGTTCAAGTGATTCTCCTGCCTCAGCCTCCCGAGTAGCTGGGATTACAGGCATGTGCCACCACTTCTGGGTAATTTTTGTATTTTTAGTAGAGATGGGGTTTCGCCATGTTGGCCAGGCTGGTCTCGAACTCCTGATCTCAGGTTATCCACCTGCCTTAGCCTCCCAAAGTGCTAGGATTATAGGTGTGAGCCTCCTCGCCTGGCCTATTTATTCGTTTTATAACATTTATCGAATACCTACTTTGTGTGATGTTCTGGTTTATACTAATGAATGAGATGACCAGGTCCCTGACATTAAGGAGGTTTTAATTTAATTGTATGGAGAAGAGGTAGGTAACTCAGTCATTGCCAGAAGCATATGTATATGTATCTTCATTGCCTATGGGAGTGTGATTGGGGAACATCAAAATTAGATTAAGGATTTAGGAAGGCTGCTAAAAAGAGGGGATTGTTTGAGCTGAGTTTTGAAGAAAGATTGCAAGAATTAGTGAAAGAATGATATTGTAAGCAGAAGAATTTCCGTACATGAAGTCATAGAAGCGTGAGCCACTGAAGGAACTCTAGCTCTCCATGGCCATTTACATTTAAATTTGTTAAAATTAAGTGAATTTTAAAATTCATTTTCTTATTCACACCAGCCACATTTCAAGTGCTTAGTAGCCTTAGCTAGCTGGTAGCTCCCATAGTGGATAGCTCAAATATAGGCCTTTTCCATCATTGCAGAAAGAACAAGGCTGCACTCAGTAGTTCAGTTTGGTGGATGCAGAGAGCATTGGTGATGGGTGAAGGGAAAAGAAAGCTAGAGAGGTAGACAGAGGCCTGACAGTATTTGGAGGTCAAGCAAAGGAATTTCAGCTGCATTCTTAAAAGTTGTAGTGAGCTAGGCCGGACACGGTGGCTCACGCCTGTAATCCCAGCACTTTGGGAGGCCTAGGCGGGTGGATCACAAGGTCAAGAGACTGAGACCATCCTGGCCAACATGGTGAAACCCTATTTCTACTAAAAATACAAAAATTAGCTGGGCGTGGTGGGGCGCGCCTGTAGTTCCAGCTACTCGGGAGGCTGCAGCAGGAGAATCGCTTGAACCCGGGAGGCGGAGGTTGCAGTGAGCCGAGATCACGCCACTGCACTCCAGCCTGGTGATAGAGCGAGACTCCATCTCAAAAAAAAAAAAAATAAATAAAGTTGCAGTGAGCCATTGGAATGATTTTAGAGTGAGTGATATGATCCACTGTGTTTTTTAGCTAGATTCTCCCAAAAGCAGGGTGGAGGACTAGGTTGGAGTGAGAGAGGAAATACAGAGGTCTCCACTAGAGGAGAGAGGACACCTTGAGACCCTTGCACCTTTTATTTTATCATCATTGTTGTTGTCGTCATTACTGTTTTGAGAACGAAGCCTGAACTAAGGCGGCAGTAAGGAAGGAGAAGAGCCAGGTAAGAGAAAGGCAAAGAGCGCACAGATCTTGAAGATTGCTTGAACTTGGAACCTGAGGAAGAGTGAGACCTTGCTGGTGACAATGGCCGGCTGGCAAGGTCACTCTGAGGGAACTTGGGGAGCAGTGCTTTGGAATATAAAGGTGATGAGTTAACGTACAGGCATGAATGTGTTGTATAGGCAAGTGAACAAAGGGATCTAGAGCTCATCAGAGAGAATTTTGGCTGAAGATCAAAAAGTAGGAACCATCATTCTGTGAGTGGTAGTTAAAGGTAGGAGGGACAGTGAGCATGGTCACTCGGGTAAGTACAACAAGTGAAGCGTGAAGAGCCCAGGGTGGCTCATGGGGAACTCTCTACTCTTCTCCTTCTCCTCCTTTTTGAGGGGCAAATGAGAAGTATGTACTCACAAAAGAGACTCAGAAGGAGTCCCCAAGAAGTAGGAAAAACAAGAGATTGCAGGGTCACTGAATGAAGGGGCAGAGTGTTGAGAAGAATGGTCCACAGTACAGATGGAGCAAAAAGTTCAAGTACCTTAAGGAGTACGGGAAATACTTGCTGGACTTGACAATAGAAATTATTGATAATCTTAGTAAAGGCATTTTTATTCAAGGGTTGAAGACAGAGTGGGTTATGTTGAATTAAGGGATATATAGGATGTGACACATTTGAGTCAGTGAAGATGATAATTTCAAGATATGTTGTTTATAGGCTCATGCCTGTAATCCCAGCACTTTGGGAGGCTGAGGCGGGTGGATCATGAGGTCAGGAGTTCAAGGCCAGCCTGGCCAAGATGGTGAAACCCCGTCTCTACTAAAACTACAAAAATTAGCCAGGCATGGTGGCAGATGCCTGCAATCCCAGCTACTCGAGAGGCTGAGGCAGGAGAATCGCTTGAACCTGGGTGGCAGAGGTTGCAGTGAGCCAAGATCATGCCACTGTACTCCAGCCTGGGTGACACAGTGAGACTCCATCTCAAAAAAAAAAAAAAAAAAAAAGAAAAAAGAAAAGAAATGAAGAAGAGATGATAATTTGAGAGGGTTTTAGGGATTTGAGATGTGAGAAAGTTAAACATGGTTATCTACAGAGGGAAAAAATGCCATAACAAAAGGAGAGGATGAAAATGTCAGGAGCCGAGGGGAGTTGTTCTAGGCCACTGGGGACATAGAGGAGCATGGAATGCAGAGCACAGGTGGAGAGAGGAGCGCCCATGGAAGAGAAGCATCTCTTCCACTGTTACGAGAAAGAATGACCAGGGTGATTGTAGATGCAGGTAATTTTGTAAATAGCAGGAGAAGAAACTGGGAAAGTTCCTGCCTAAACCACTGGAAAGATATTGTGGAGTTAGAATCACATCTCAGCTTGACTACTTTTTAATTGTGTGATCTAGGGCAAATTACCTGTCTGAACTTTATTTATATGTGAATGGGCTAAAGTTAGATAACATGGAAAGCTCTTTTTTTTTTTTTTTTTGAGACGGAGTCTCACTCTGTCGCCCAGGCTGGAGTGCAGTGGCGCAGTCTTGGCTCACTGCAAGCTCCGCCTACCGGGTTTACACCATTCTCCTGCCTCAACCCCCCGAGTAGCTGGGACTACAGGCGCCCGCCGTCATGCCCGGCTAATTTTTTGTATTTTTTAGTAGAGACGGGGTTTCACCATGTTAGCCAGGATGGTCTCGATCTCCTGACCTCGTGATCTGCCCGCCTCGGCCTCCCAAAGTGCTGGAATTACAGGCCCAAAGTGCTGGAATTACAGGTGTGAGCCGTGATTCACACCCTGCCGGAAAGCTCTTTTAACAGTGCCTAGCGCATGGTTGAGGCTCAGTAGTGCTAGTTCTTCCATCTTCCCTTCCCTTCATTACCTTGAGATACAAAGTCTCTTCAAAAAGTGATAAGGAGAGATTGTGTCAAGTGCATGTCACACACATGAAAATAAGTGGTATCAGTGACCGATACCATGGCACAGTGACATTCAAAGGAGCAGCAGCAGTGAACCAGGTATTTAAGGCTTGGGTTTAAAGAGCATAATATAGTATTTTTCCGTTCCTTAAATAAAGGCAAAGATGAAACAGGTTAATAGGGGCTTGACACAATAAGCTATGAAGTTCATTGTTGTAGAAAACCATTGTATAATCAAGATATTCAATGAGTTGTCAACTAGGGTCCTTGCACTAGATAAACGACAAAAGATACGTAGCTAGTTAGCTCTTAAGTATTTGTTTAAATATATTTACATGCTTTTCTTCCCTTCCTATCCTATCTCCTACTAACAAATCAACTACTACCCCTGATAAAACAAAAACAAGAGGAACACAAGGATACCTGTAAGGTTTTCCAAATCTATAAATACATTTCTGGTCTTAAGTGCAGGCACCCTTCCTGATTTGTCTATTTTTTTACATAATGTGGTCTCTTGGTTTCCTGCTTATAATTTTTCTTCATTATATATTTAAAACGTGTGTGTGTAAGATGTCGTTAATTTAAAGTCTCTGGACATTTTGTGTTTAGTCATTAAGTGGAAAGTTATTAAGTATCTGCTTTGTTAGGCCATGAGCTAGAACCGGGGGATGTTGTGATGATAAAAATTTACTTTCTCAAAAACTTCAGGAGAGGGAGGCAAGTACATGCGGATAAGTGGTACGATATATTTTTAAGTATCATTTTTGGAAAACATTTCAGAAGTCTTTATGCAAACACTTTTAAAAGAAAGGTTTTCTAAAGGAAAGCTTTTCCAAAGAGATTTTTTTGAAACCTTAGATGGAATTGGACTTCATGCCCACTTTTGTGGGGGAAAAAAAAAAATTCCTTAGTCTAGTCACTATTCTGACTTGCATTTGATTATTAGACCAGTTTTAATTTTATGTTGTTAATTTTAGTCCCTTCCAGATATGCAGCATATTCAGGAAGAAAACTTATCTTCCCCACCATTGGGTCCTCCCAACTATCTACAAGTTTCCAAAGATTCTGCCAGTACTAGTAGCAAGAACTCTTCTTGTGACACGGATGACTTTGTTTTGGTGCCACACAACATCTCGTCAGACCACTCATGTGAGAATCTTTTCTACTTGTACACATTGTATTTCTTAATCTACTAAACTAGCATCTTTTTTTTAACCCATATATTACACTTTCTTGTGTAGGGCACCTTTTCAAATGAGCATTTTATTTAGTTGTTTGAATTCTCAGAATTATATTCCTACCTTTTTAAAATTTGCTCAATCATCTTCTATTAAACAATAATTTTGGATTCTGAAGGTACATGAAAACTTTATAGGAAATGATCTCAAATTCTGTTTGTATCCAAACAGAAAGAAATAGAGAAACCAGCAGAATGAGTGAAACTAAGGAAAGAAAGGAACAACTCATTTGGGGAAAAAACCTGAGTCAAAAGAGTGTTATAAACAATCTGAACGTCCTTCAGAAAATACTTATGTAAGTTAAGGAATGAACTTCATAAATATATGGGAAGAATTTTCATAAAGGAACTAGAAGCCAAGTGACTAAATAGAGCCAGTGTACTTTGGAATAGTGAAGGGTACCAGAAAACCTACAAAAAAGAGATATTAGGTAAAACTATTAAAAAGAAGGAGCCATGGTTTGATCATGAAGGAATAGTATCAGAAAAGCTAGAGATTTGATTACTTTAATAATTGAATAATATCAAGTGCTGATTATGTGCAGCAGTTTGTATCAGGTCTTTTTAGTTGTTCGTCTAGTGCTTATTTAGTAGATGCTCATTCTAGGCACTGTGCTAGTTGTGAAGACCATAATCCCTAAACTGAATGTAATTAAGTATTAGCTGGGTGTGGAAGGGAAAACATGGACCACAGCAGCAGTGCCATGGCAGTTTATAACCAGCATTATGAGAACTGAGAGTTACCTTTAAAAGTAATCTAGTACAGTGGTTTTCTTTTTTTTCTTTTTTCTTTTTTTTAAATTTTGTTATTATTTTAGGTTTTAGGGTACATGTGCACAACGTGCAGGTTTGTTACAAATGTATACATGTGCCATGTTGGTGTGCTGCACCCATTAACTAGTCAAGTGGTTTTATTTATTTACCAAAAGTAATTAAAACTTTTAAAATCATGAAACATTTTAAACAAAATAGTAGAGCAGATACTCAAGGTACCCACTAGGCTGTGTTACTTTTATATAGGTCAATATTTTGCCATATTTGTCTTAGATGTGTTTTTAAAATATATATAATGCCATAAGTTGCTGGGCGCAGTGGCTTACGCCTGTAATCCCACCACTTTGGGAGGCCGAGGTGGGCAGATCATGAGGTCAGGAGTTTGAGACCAGCCTGACCAACATGGTGAAACCCCGTCTCTACTAAAAATACAAAAATTAGCCAGGTATGGTGGCGCGCACCTGTAATCCCAGCTACTCGGGAGGCTGAGGCTGGAGAATCGTTGAACCCCCTCCAGGAGCACTGGGGTCCCTGGGAGGGGGAGGTTGCAGTGAGCTGAGATCGTGCCATTGTACTCCAGCCTGGGTGACAGAGAGTGACTCTGTCTCAAAAAACAAACAAAAAAACAAACAAAAAAAAATGCTGTTAAGTACAGCTAAAGTGCCTTTTCTCTTTCTGCTCTTGCTAGGGGTATATTCTTCCTGTAGATTTCATATTTCTGCATACAATTGTATCCATACTTAACACAGGGTTTTTGTGTTTTTATAGTTACAGGTTGAGCCTGCCAAATTAGAAAATCTGAAATGCCCCCAAATCTGAAACTTTTAGAGTGCCAGCATGATGCCCAATGGAAATGCTCACTGAAGCATTTCAGATTTTAGATTTTTGCATTTGGAATGCTCAGTATAATGTGAATGTTCTAAAATTCAAAATTCATTCCAATACCTGAATTGTATAATATAACTAAAACACAGTTTATCCATTTCCCTACTGATTTATAGTTGGGTTACTTCTACCTTTTCACTGTCCAAAATGTAATGAGCCAGGCATTGTGGTTCACAACCTGTAATCCCAGTAGTTTGGGAGGCTGAGGAGGAAGGATTGCTTGTACCCAGAAATTTGAAACCAGTCTGGGCAACATAGTGAGATTCTTTCTCTACAGAAACTAAAAGGTTAGCCAGACGTGGTGGTGCACACCTGTAGTCAGAGCTTCTCTGGGGGCTGAAGTGGGAGGATCGCATGAACCCCCAAGTTCAAGACCAGCCAGGGCATCATGGCAAGACCCCACCTTTACCAAAAATAGAAAAAGTAGCTGGGTATGGTGGTGCATACCTGTAGTCTCAGCTTGGGAGTTTGAGGCTGCAGTGAGCCATGATTGTGCCACTGCACTCCAGCCTGGGCAACAGAGCAAGACCCTGTCTCCAAAAAAAAAAAAAAAAAAAAAAAAATATATATATATATATATATATATATATGTATATAATAACAGACATTCTTGTGTACATGTCCCAGAATTTCTTCTAACTAAAAACTTAGATATCTACAACTTTATAATATATTGGTACAAACAACTTGTACTAATATTCTCTGTCATGCTGCCCTAGTGTTATAATGGTGTTCTATATTTTCTTCTAAAGATTTTTTTTTCCACATTTAATTTTACCTGTAACTCATTTTTGTAGATGGAGCAAGGTAGAAATCAGTCACATGTCCTATTTATTAAATATTTGTCTTTTCTCCACTGATACGCAGTGTCACATTTGTCATGTCAGCTTGAAATACAAGATGGGGTTTCTTTTTTTGTCTATATTATAAGAATTTTTAAATTTGTGTCAGTATGTGTGTGTGGTCAGGGAGGGAAGGAGAGGCAGAGAGCATTTCAGTATTCTTCAGAATCACTCTGGCTATTCTTGGCCCTTTCCCCCCACATATAGTTTAATTTCAGCTCAATAAGTTTATGAAAACCATTTTGGGATTTTGATGGGAATTGCATTGACTGTATAGTATGACCTATTCAAGGACAGGCAGGTTCTTTACAATATTAAGTCACCTAATTATGAATGTGTATTTCTCCACTTATTTAGGTTTCTTTAATGTGTTTTGATACATTTTTATACTTTTCTATATAAAGAGCATTCACATCTTTTGTTTTCTTCTAGTTATCTTTTTTCTTGTGTGTGCTGGTGTAAATGTTTCAAAACTGCTCCTGTCAAGATCTTTGTGCTGCCAAATCCTAGGGGTCAGTTCTCAGTCCTCATTGTCCTGATATATCCACATTTGTTACAGTTGATCATGCCCTTCTTTTTAATGATTAAAAATGTGCTATTGTGAAATGTATCATACATACAAGATGTTTAAAACAGTTATACAGTTTAAAAGTAATATATAACATAACAAGTACCTGAGTGCCCTGCTGATTTTTATCTTTTTTTGGTCATATTTTCCATCTTTTTGTCTTATTGCTCTAATTTATTAATGTTTCTTCTTACCCTTTTAGTGAGTTTTTCTTTTATGCTCTCATGTTTTAAATTTTCAGAAGTTCTTTTTCTCTGAGTATTGTTCTTATTTCAACATGCAGTATATTGTATGCTTCTTGATGATGGAGAATTTGAAAGTTGTTTGAGAGCTCTGTATGTGGGAGTGTCTCATTGACAGCAAGCAAGCCTCTTTGATGAATGATATGGCGGGGGCAATTCTTGGGACTATTTCCCTTTTGGAGGGCTACTCAGATCCCCCAAAAGACTCATCCAATCTTTTGCCTGAAGAGTATAAACCTGATATTATCTGGAGTAGCAAAATGGGGGAAGAAGTATGGAGTTCTCAATAGTCAGTGTAAAATTTCGTTTAATAACTCTTTTCCACTAATCTTTTTATCAGTGTAGTACCCTTGCTTTTAATTTTTCCTGCTGTTCTGCAGTTCAGAGACCCTCTGTTTTACTCTGTCCCAAGTATGAATGTACAGTTTTTTGCTATAGTGGGAGATGGGCATTGCCTACCTGCATAAGGTTGGGGAAAGGATATAAAATTCTAACTGCTTCTTTTAAAAAGAATTCTATATAAAAAAATACGTTGTATTATGTATATTTAAGGTATGCAGCATGATATTATGAGATATACAAATAGTCACTGGCTTACAATTTTTTGACTTTATGATGGTGGGAGAATGATATGCATTCAGTAGAAACCATCCCTCAAATTTTGAATTTTGATCTTTTTCTGTATTAGCAATATGCAGTACAGAACTCTCTTGTGATGCTGGGTGGCAGCAGCGAGCTGCAGCTCCTAGTCAGCCTGCGATCACCAGAGTAAACAGCTGATGCTGGAGATATTCAACACTTCATAAAATAGGCTTTGTGTGCCCAATTGTAGGCCAGTGTAAGTATTCTGAGTATGTTTAAGGTAGCTGGGCTTAGCCATGATATTCGGTAGGTTAGGTGTATTAAAAGCATTTTGACCCAGGACAATTTCAGCCTACAATGGGTTTA
Organism: Homo sapiens; assembly: GCF_000001405.40. Taxonomy (NCBI): domain Eukaryota; kingdom Metazoa; phylum Chordata; class Mammalia; order Primates; family Hominidae; genus Homo; species Homo sapiens. Next base: position 19,812,401 of record NC_000017.11, on the reverse strand, counting down.
TTCAGAAGTGACACCATCTTAGGTTGAGGGGCATCTATATATAGTAAAATGGTTACTACGGTGAAATAAATTAATGTATTCATCAACTCACAGTTACTCACCCCTCCCTCCATGAGCAGCTGTAATCTATTCACTTACCAAAAATCCTGAATACGATACACTATGATGAACTGTATTCTAACGGCTTCTAAATAGACTTTCAATCAATCCTGCTTTTAGTCCTACCTTCAGTGCTACTCTGAAAGGTATGTGGTACTGCTGATTACTAAGCATTTTGGAGTTCTGTGATGTAAATTGGTTTACTTCTGGGCTTTCCAGCTGGCTAAGGTTCTATCTTCTTGGGTCAACTAAGTCAAATACTACTCGTCCATCAACTTTATACCTTCCAAATTTTGGTGGCTGTGAACTTTTCTGTTCTTTTTGTCCTTGTGAGTTTAGGCTCTTCTCTTTTCTGTCCCGTTGCCTCTATAGTTTCAAAATTACAACATGGTATCAAAAGAACTCTATGAATATTACTTAAAATATGATTATTTATTGGTCCTATCTGACTTAAAATTTTTTAAAATGTGGTCATTGAAAGCCATTTAAGATCTTTTTTGTCCTTAGGATAATCCCATTGGGTATATGCAATCAAATTATTGAGTTTCAAAGTTAACTTGAGGCCAGGTTCAGTGGCTCATGTCTGTAATCTCAGCACTTTGGGAGGCCGAGGTGGGCAGATCACTTGAGGTCAGGAGTTCGAGACCAGCCTGGCCAACATGGGGAAACCCTGTCTCTACTAAAAATACAAAAATTAGCTGGGTGTGGTGGCACACACCTGTAATCCCAGCTACTTGGGAGGCTGAGGCAGGAGAATTGCTTGAACCTTAGAGGCAGAGGTTGCAGTGAGCCGAGATCATGCTGCTGCACTTCAGCCTGGGCGACAGAGTGAGACTCTGTCTCAAAAATACATAAATTAAAAAAAAAAAAGTTACTTGAAATAATTTCCCTCTCGTGATTAAGCTATCAGGTTGATACATGATTAGGTTCCTTTACTTTTGATTTTTAGGGATTTTATTTTCTTTTGATTTAATTTCGTTTGAAAATTATGTATGGTTTCAAACTCAAAGCTACGAAAGGAAGTACACTTAGTAAAATCTAGATTTTATCCCTGCCTCTTCTCCCTGTTTTCTCAATTCTCCTATAGACAAATATTCATTGTCTTTAAATAAAAATGGACTTCCCCTTTGCCCTGCTACTCTTTTTTCCCTTACCCTGATTTATTTTCCTTTATAATGCTTATTGCTACCTGACATTATTATGTTTTTTTTTTGAGAATGGGATCTTGCTATGTTGCCCAGGCAGGTCTCAAACTCCTGGGCTCAAGCTATTCTCCCGCCTCTGCCTCCCTAAATGATGGGATTCCAGGCATGAGCTACCACACCTGGCCTTCCATGACATCTTGTTCAACAACTCATGCAAGACCTGAGAGAGTGTTATGCAGGAGGATGGGGTAATCCGACATTTTACGGAACTAGAGTTTGTTATATGGTCAGTTCTTCTATTATGTTATATACATGTTCTTTGCAAAATTTTGCAATAAAGTTATGTGCAAATAGTATTAAAGGGCACAACTCTCAGAACTTTTGTCATTGACACAGAAAAAGGAACCTGATAAAAACAGCACAGTTTTTGCATGTTTAATGGGGAAGAAATATGTAAACACTGCAATAAATATGGCATTTTATTTTGAAGAAGACCTCAAATTTGCTTATAGAAGTGGGCATCCAAAGAGTTGCAGCCTATGTCTTCAGCTAGGTGTAGTTTTCTGAGGTCATCTATTATTTCTTATACATGAAATCATAACATAAGCCAATGGTAATTTTGCATCGTGCATGAAATCCTAATAATCATTTTGGAACAAATTTGTGTTTTTTTAAGCAGATGGTATAACAGGAACTGATTGTTCTTTTCTCTCCTTTAGGTGATATGCCAGTGGGGACTGCTGGCAGACGTGCTTCAAATGAATTCTTGGTGTGTGGAGGGTATGTATATTTACATTATCTTATTAAAATTTGTTTTATATTTTATTTTTGTGAGTAAGGTTATAGAACTTAGTGTTCTTGATTTAAGATTTATTTTGTTTTACAGTCCATTATTTCTGGTTTTTTTTTTTTTTTTTTTTTTTTTTTTGAGATGGAGTCTGGCTCTGTCACCCAGACTAGATTGCAATGGTGTGATCTCAGCTCACTGCAAGCTCTGCCTCTGGGTTCACGCCATTCTCCTGCCTCAGCCTCCCGAGTAGCTGGGACTATAGGTGCCGGCCACCATGCCTGGCTAATTTTTTGTATTTTTAATAGAGACAAGGTTTCACTGGGTTAGCCGGGATGGTCTCGATCTCCTGATCTCATGATCCGCCCGCCTTGGCCTCCCAGAGTGCTGGGATTATAGGCGTGAGCCACCGCACCCTGCCTCATTATTTCTTTTCTTGAAATTTTATTTAGTTATTTTTTTCTTTGAGATGGAGTCTTGCTCTGTGGCCCAGGCTGGAGTGCATTGGTGGGATGTTGGCTCACTGCAACCACCGCCTCCTGGGTTCAAGCCATTCTCCTGTCTCAGCCTTCCAAGTAGCTGGGATTACAGGCATGTGCCACCATACCTGGCTAATTTTTTTTTTTTTTTTTTTTTTTGAGACGGAGTCTCGTCCTGTCACCCAGGTTGGAGTGCAATGGCGTGATGTCGGCTCACTGCAACTTCTACCTGCCGGGTTCAAGTGATTCTCCTGCCTCAGCCTCCTGAGTAGATGGGATTACAGGTACGCACCACCATGCCCAGCTAATTTTTTGTATCTTTAGTAGAGATGGGGTTTCACCATGTTGGCCAGGCTGGTCTCAAACTCCTGACCTCAGGTGATTGCCCGCCTCGGCCTCCCAAAGTGCTGGGATTACAGTTGTGAGCCGCTGTGCCCAGCCTGAAATTTTAATTGTGATAAAAAACACATAAAATCTACTATTTCAGCCATTTTAATGTTTATAGTTCATTATTGTTAAATATGTTCACATTGTTATGCAACCAATTTCTAGGACTTTTTCATTTTGCAAATCTGAAACTTTATACTCATTAAATATTACCTCCCCGTTTCCCCTTCCCCTCAAGGCCCTGATAGTAACCACATTCTGCTCTCTGTTTCTATGAATTTGACTACTTTAGATACCTCATGTAAGTGAAATCATATAGCATTTATCTGTTTTGTGACTTGACTTATTTCACTTAGCATAATGACTGTAAGGTTCATCCATGTTGTGGTATGTGACAGGCTTTTTCCCTTTTTACAGCTGAATTATATTCCATGGTATGTATATGCTACATTTTGTTTATCCATTAATCCATTGGTGAACATTTGGGGTTGCTTCAACCTCTTGGCTATTGTGCATGCTGTTATAAACATGAGTGTGTAAATATCTCCTTAAGATCCTGCTTTCAGTACCTTTGGATATGTACCAAGAAGTGAGATTGCTGGATCATATGGTAATTTTGTGTTTACTTTTTTCAGGAATTGGCTAAATTTTCCATAGCAGTTATACCATTTTACAGTCCAACCAACAGTGCACAGGGGTTCCAGTTTCTCCACATTCTCACCAGCATTTGTTATTTTCTAAAATAACAGCCATCCTAATTAATGAGTGTGAGGTGATACCTCATTGTGATTTTGATTTGCACTTCTCTAATGATTAGTGATATTGAACATCTTTTCTTATACTTCTTAGCCATTTGTATATCATCTTTGGAGAAATGTCCAGTCAAGATCTTTGCCCATTTTTAAATTGAGTTATTTGGGTTTTTGTTGTTGGGTTGTAAGAGTTCTCTGTATATTTTGGATATTAGCCTCTTGTCAGGTATGATTTGCAAATATTTCTTCCCATTCTCTTGGTTGTCTTTTGACTCTTTGTGTCCTTTGATACATGAACATTTTTTAAGTTTGAGGAGGTCATATTTGTGTATTTTTTGTTTTGTTGCCTGTGCTTTTGGCATCATATTCAAGAAATCATTGCCTACTCTTATGTCATATTAAGCTTTCCCTCTATGTTTTTGTCTAGGAGTTTTATAGTTTTGGGTATAATGTTCAGGCCTTTAATCCCCTTTGAGTTAATTTTTGTGTATGGTGTATGATAAGATTCCAACTTTACTCTTTTGCATGTGGATATCCAATTTTCCCAGCACCATTTGCTGAAGAGACTGTCCCTGTCCCATTGTGTGGTCTTAGCATTCTTGTCTGAGATCATTTCACTGTATATGCAAGAGTATCTTTTATTTTTGAGATGGAGTTTCGCTCTTGTTGCCCAGGCTGGAGTGCAATGGTGCGATTTCGGCTTGCTGCAGCCTCCGCCTCCCAGGTTCAAGCAATTCTCCTGCCTCAGCCTCCAGGGTAGCTGGGATTACAGGTACCCGCCACCACGCCTGGCTAATTTTTTGTATTTTTAGTAGAGACGGGGTTTCGCCATGTTGGTCAGGCTGGTCTTGAACTCCTGACCTCGTGATCCACCTGCTTCAGCCTCCCAAACCTTAAACAATTTGATGTACTCTAAGGCGCCCCTTGAGTAGCACTGGTACCTTGGGGGCCCTCAGTGCACAGTTTGGGAACCACGGGGATAAGCAAATCTTGTACAATCTTGTTTCTTTCCTCTCTTTGAGGATATGGGAATTCAATTATGGGAATTGTATATTGCCAGATTTTCACTTCTTTTGATGTGCTGCCTTTTTTTCTTCTTGAGTCATCTTTGGCTCCTTTTTGGCTTCTCTTCCTATGGTCTAATTCTTGAACTTTCCTTTACCAGTGAATATGCATTTTTCTCTAAAGCAGCACTTCTTAGTAATAGTGCCTTCAATAGCTACATGGCAGTTTTCAGTACATGTAGGGAATATAATATCTATTCCTTGTGCATCCAGACAAAAAATAGGCATAGGCATGGGAGTTAGGATATCAGAATTCTAAGACTGGTTGTTGCCAGACATTGATGGAGGCCAGCTGCATACACAGCCCATGGTGCATTAGAGTGCACCATCTGAGTGGATTTCTACCCTTCTGATTGCTTCCCTTTACATGCAGTAACCCCTTTCTCACTAGAACCTTGCAAGCTGTGTGCCTGTGTGCCACACTAGGCCCTTTTCTGATGCTGCTTGGGTCTCTGGGTGATGAGCAGGTTATCTCCACTTGGCTCCCCATCACTTACACAGCCTCATGAGCATGAGCTCACAACTGTGGCTTAGCATTAGTCTGCTAGATTGAGTTTCACAGGAGCTCTTATGCATAGATCCTTCCTTCTTCTCTCCCTCTGTCCCTTGGCATTACTTCCAGCTGAACCCTTGCTTTCCTGATTACCTGTCACCCTTTCAGGATTTACTCATGGAGTCTTCTAAAACAAAGAGGCAACTGGGGATTTCCTGGTGTAAAGATTGTGTATTTGAAGAAGTTGTCATGCTATCACCTAGTCTTTATTTGTCCATTTGCATTTGTGCTTTCCTCTCAGCACAAGTAGATAGAATAACATGTGATTGTGCTTTTGTGTGGCCAGGCTGCCTTATCTTTCAAGTATTTCATATGGGTCCAAGATGACGGTCCACACAGAGAATGTTGTGAATTGTAGGCCCTAGTGGAGGTGAGGAAGATGTGCTGGAGACTCAGGACATACACAGACTTTCCCTCTCCTTAACTTGGACTCAGGGAGTTGAAGATGGTTAAATATTGGTGTTAATATTAAGTTGTACAGGAAAATGGCTGCAGTTGTCTTAGCTAGCTAGAGATCTGGAATTTGTCCAGGGAAGACTTTCTAGACCCTGAGCAAGTCTGCTTGCAGGTCCTGTCCAGAGACTATCTGAGATAACATTTGCAGAACACCATCCATGGCTGTTCATGTCCTCATGCTGGTAGGGGGAGGAACCAGAGGTGTTAGAGAAGCCAGCTGAGATTACCTGAGAGAGGTGCTTAGAATTATGAGGTTGCTAAGTTTACTTCTTTGGGTACCTTTATTTAGCTTCTTCCCTTTGGAGATTAACCAGTACAGGAAAAATTTTAGAGCTTGATAATGTGTATTTAAAAAAAATTCCCTGATGTACTTTAGCAGGGAATGAATGCTTCAAAAACTCTGTTTACTTACTAAATTGAAACAATAAAAAAATGGCATTTATTCTTTCACATTCTGATAATTGATGACTGTGTTGGTTATTCTGTTGTTAAGGAACTTGGGTTGTCAGACCTATGAGTGCACTGGCTTGCAGACACCAGAGCTGATTAGTGAAGTACTGTTAAGCTGTTTTAGTGGTAGTAGAGGGTTTGTGTTTTTGGGATTTTGTTTGTTTGTTTTTAGGATGTAGATAAACTGAAGAATCAGATGTGTAGATATTAAAAACATTATTGTATTTAAAGATACTAAATGGAAATACCTAAATAAAAATGTATAGAGAGAGCTCATAGAAGCACACTAAATGGCGTATCATTAGGAATTCCACTTGGCTGTAAACCACAGGGTCCTAACTATAGAGTGGTTGAACACTTAAAGGTTTTCTCTCATGCAGAAAAGTCACGATAAACAGTTGTTTCCTTAGTTTCTGTGGCTCAAGGAAGTTACGTGTCTTCAGGTCTTTTGGCCTTTTTTTTTGTGGTTCAAAGGTATCTGCTGAAGCTCCAGCAAGCATGCTCACATTTTGAACAGGAAGAATGAGTAGAAGACTTCTGCTTATATCTCACTGACCAAGAAAGACATATGGTTATGCTTGGCTGCAAGGGAGTCTGGGATATGCTGCAATTAATTGGGCATATTATTGCCACTAATAAAATTTAAGTTATTTTTTAGTAAGACATAAAGGCTGAATGGATATTGGGAAAGCAGCTAACATCTCCACTACAAAAGTGTTTTGTATTTCTTTTTACTTTGAAATAAGTCATCTCTCTTAGGGCCCAGTGTTATCTCTGATATGTTTTTAGGATATGTTGTAAAGTGAATTGAAAGTGGTATAAGGACATTCTATTTCTGAATTTATGAAAAGTGAGGAAAGAGGCTATTAAAGAAACCAAATACTGACACTACAAAATGTGGACGTCAGATGAGTTGCATGCTTTGAGAGTTTGTGCAAGATGTTCTCCTTCTTCATAAAGTCAGAGCTCTTTGAGAATGCTTACAGCATTCATGACTTTTGCAAACATTCCAGTCATCTTTGTTGTTGAACTTCCCGTTCTTTTACCCAGCATATTTTCCTGGATATTTTTTCTCTCACATAGTAATGAATAGCAGAATGTGAGTGGATGAAACAGTTTTGCTGACCTGTGGACTTTTCCTGTTGTTGTAAAGGAACTTTTTTCCAGGTTATTATAATTCTTAGTCCTCAATATGCATATGAATGCCAGGAGTTTTTTAGATAATAAATGTGATTTTTTTTGGCTTTATATATTTTTTAACAAGATCATTTCTTATTAAGGTAGTGGAGTGACCATTTGGCTCTTTCTGGAATTTTCTCTAAATATAACTAATGGGTCAAATGAAAGAAAAACAATCCTACCACTGTTTCTTTCCTTTTTCAATAAATTACGATTGCAGGCAGTGTCAGCCTACTGTGTCACCTCACAGCGAAACAGCACCAATTCCAGTTCCTACTCAAATAAGGAATTATCAGCGCATAGAGCAGAATCTTACATCTACTGCCAGCTCAGGCACAAATGTACATGGTTCTCCAAGGTAAGTTAGTAGCTTTTTTCTTGCTTAATTCTTTTTCATCTCCTTTAAAAAAAATTTATTGATATTGGAAGATATGTTACTTTCTGTGGCATAGTGTCTTACATGTGTGTATAATGGGAACGCACAAAATTGAATAATAAAGTTTTATAATTGATGAATTTAAATGCTATTTAAGCTTAGCTTGATAATATAGTATGATATGTATATATTTGTATATATTTTATATATGTTAAGTATACATGTGTATAGACATATATACTTAAAATGTATAATTACTTTTAAGAATTGAGGAAGAACTTATTAAAAAATGAAATCCCACCAGTTGTAGCAGATTATTTACATATTGTTTACTTTTTCCCCCATCCTGAGACCTTACTAAGATCATATTAAAGGAATAACAAAGGTACAAGTCCACAAAAACAAGTGAAATAAGAATAGATTATTCTTTTTTTTTTTCTTTTTCTTTTGTGCTTTTAGAGACGGGGTCTCACTACATTGACCAGGCTGGTCTTGAACTCCTGGCCTCAAGCGATCCTCCCGTCTCAGCCTCTCAAAGTGCTGGGATTACAGGCATGAGCCACCACGCCTGGCCAAGCATAGGTTATTCTTACTCTATTCAGTGAGAGAGAGAGTTCAGTAAATTTCTGGAAAACAGAAGGGGATAGAAGAATGGTACTTGATTTAGCATGGCAGACATAAGTATGCACGTAATCAGGGATTCTGACATAAGGAGAATCACTGTGCCCCACAGTACCCTCAGAGAGACCTAAATCTCAGAGCACCCAATAGAGTGGAGGGAGGAAATAGCACTTTGACTTCTGGTAACTAATTCTACATATATGTATGTCATGGACATAGTCTACATATACAGGCCTCTCCTGTGTATGAAATTGCATTTACACAAAGTTGTTAACTGTTACGATACCAAAGGATGAAAAATAAGCCAAGTGGCCACTGGTAATGAACTAATTTATTAGGATCCATCTCTGATAATGGAATATTACACACCTTCCATTCCACAAAGAGTGAAGGAGTTCCCTCTGTGCCAAGATAGAAAGATTTCCAAGTTATATTATAAAATGAAAAAAGTAAAGTGATTAACAGTATATTGTACAGTGGTTCTCAAAGTTTAGTCTGTGGATCCCTTCAGAGGGTCCATGAGGTCAAAACTATTTTCATAATAAAAATTAGACGTTATTTGCTTTTTTCATTACATTGATACATGCACTGATAGTACAAAATGCAAAGATGGATAAAGCTATTGGTACCTTTGCCTGAATCAGGGTGGTGGTACCCAAACAGTACTATTAGTCTTTGTATTCTTCTCCACTACACACTTGCAGTACAAAAGAATGTCCTTAATGAGGCAGTAAAAATTAATATTTTTCTTTGAAAAAATCTTTGAGTGAGATGTACACATAAAGCACTTTTGCCACATATTAGAGTAGTTATCTTAGGAAAAGCATTGTATGATTGTTCTAGTTCCAAGTTGAGCTAGCTGCTTTGTCATAGAATACCCTTTTTACCTTAAAAAATGGCTGATAAACTATGGTTATGGGTATCAAGCAGCTATTTTGTCAAAAATGGTAAGTCTTTCCACTTTGAAGAAAACAAGTGATGATAAAACTTGAGCTTTTAAGCAAAAATTGGAATGTTGGAAAAATTCAGTGGTGAATACAAGTTTGACAGCTTCTGTTATACCTTGACAGGTGTTTCTTTTAAAATTGAGGGTGATATTTTGTTATGAATATGACTTTTTGATATTGTTTAATGTATCAGCATTGGAATATCTGCATAACTCAGTGAACCAATGTTTTCCAGATTACTGAATGGTTAAAAAAAATCATGCACAGGTAAAAATTTCATTCAAAGTGCAAGATTCTTTGCAAAAGAATGGAGTCTCACATAATGGAGTATGAGTTCATTAATCTGGTTTCAGATCCACATTGCAGCCAACCTTTTAGCAACGACCACTTGCTGAGTTTTGGTGTAGTATCAAAGAAACGTGTCACAGTTAACCTGAAAAGGCTACCAAAATATTCCTTCCTTTCACAGTTACACATCTGTGGAAGGCTGGATCCTCTTCATATTCTTCACTCAAAATAACGTATCTTACAACAGATTGAATGCAGAAGCAATTATGAGAATCCAAATGTCTTCTGTGAGCCATTAGAAATTTATAAAAATATATAAAATAATGCCATGCTTCTTACTAATTTATTTTGTTTTGGAAAATATGCTTATTTTTCATAATCTTATATTACATGGAATAAGCTTATTAATGAGTTAATAATTCTTAAAAATTCTCAGCTTAATTTTGAATACAGTAAATATCAATAGATATAAATTACATAAACAGAACTCTCTGGGGTCTTCAGTAATTTTTAAGAGTATAAACAGGACCTAAGACCAAAAGGATTCAAAATGATTGATATGTAATATATCACCTTTGGTGTTAAAACATGGTGAAAAGGAGTATATATTTAGTTTATTTTGTATATGCATTAAGGAACTCTGGAAGGATATACTAGAAACTAAGAATCATGGTAACCTTTTGAACAGAATTGGGGAAGTGTTGGGAATTAGGCAGATAGAATAGAAAAATGAGAGGGAGACCTCACTCTTTTTATGCATCTTATAATTGTTCCATGTGACTGTATTACATATTTTTGAAAACTACTCCGTGGCATATTGTTAGGAAGTTTCAGAAAATGCAGGAATAAAAAGAGAGTTCTAGAACCTTTTATAGAAGGAATAATTTACTTTTCAGATCTGCAGTGGTACGAAGGTCCAACACCAGCCCCATGGGCTTCCTCCGGCCGGGATCATGCTCCCCAGTACCAGCAGACACAGCACAGACAGTTGGACGAAGGCTCTCCACTGGGTCTTCTAGGCCTTACTCACCTTCCCCTTTGGGTAAGTAGAGTTTAAAAACAGTTGTTTTCAACCTTTTTTTCACTGTAATAAATCTGACATGACACATTTTCTTTAGGAACTTCGGCTCATGATGGCAGTGATTCTCAGCTGATTGGAGGCCATACCCCGTCCCTCCATCTTTACCCCAATCCCAACTCCCTCTTTTCTTTTCTTTTTCCTTTTCTTTCTCTATTTGAGACAAGGTCTCACTCTGTCGCCCAGGCTGGAGTGCAGGGGGCATGATCTCGGCTCACTGCAGCCTCTGCTTCCCAGGTTCAAAGGATCTTTTCACCTCAGTCTCCCAAGTAGCTGGAACTACAGGCGCATGCCACCACACCCAGCTAATTTTTTTTACTTTTTTATTTTTACGGAGACAAAGTTTCACTATGTTACCCAGGCTGGTCTCGAGCACCTGGGCTCAAGCATCCACTCGCCTTGGCCTTCCAAAGTGCTGGGATTATAGGTGTGAGCCACCGCGCCCGGCCCCAACTTCTTTTTGAGAATCTCTGTATAAATTTGTTAGGATCTCTACTGGAAATACAATAATATAAATGTAATTTATGTATAAAAAGCATCTCCTTTGGGATTGGGCTCTAAATGCAAAGTCAGAAACCCTAGGTTGAAGTGCATAAAATGCCTTTTCTACTTATCACTCATACTTATAAGGATTACTGTATAGCAGCTCTGGGTCACAATTACCAGAAACCTTCCAGTTCTGGTAGGCATGTGGTGGCAGCTTTGTTACAGATCTTCCCACTTCTCCTGGTACCGTAATAAGGAGAATGCCAATACAAACAAAACACCAGAAACAACAAAAACCCTACCAAAAGGAAAAACAAACCATGTACCATATCTTCAGTGAAACCAAGGGACAGAAATAAAAGCTCAAACTGCAGAAATATGTGTGAGAGAGCCAAAGCCATTGAGACTACAGCAGCTGTATGAGAGGCAGCACTGAGGTGGTGGGAAGAACAGGTGGTGCACGCAGGGCCTGGGGGTGGCAAATCTCAAAACTGTAAAAAAAATACTTCCAGGAGAGGGCCCCACCTTCAGTCAGAACTGCTGAAGTAACACTAAGATGGAACAGGAAGAAGTCTCCAGAGACAAAGAGAAGGGCTTTCCTCAGGAGCCCTGTTTAAAACAAGACAAAACACACAATGACAGTGTTAAGAAAAAGAAAGAAGTTTAAATTGCCACATTACCTGTTGCAATGGTTTCAAAGCTGTTTTTAGATGAAAAATCTTTAAATAAAATTTTGGCCCTTTCTCACCCCTGTAGCAGCCCCTGAGGTACTTCAAGGTCTCCAAAGATAAGGTCCAAATCTCATCCTTGCACACAAGGATAAAGCCCTTCCCTAAGGATCTGATCTCTGCCCGCTGCTTAATCCCTTGGAATGAGCCCTCTTGATATAGACATGTTTCTCATCTGCTTAAACTGCCTGAAGCCTTCCCTAACTCTCTCTCTCTGTGTTAGTTTTAATTCTCAGAGAAATGGATGCATAGAACATATTAGATATACAAGAGAGTGACTTGGGGAAACTTCTGTGAAGAATGAAGGGGAGGAGCAGGAGGAAGCAGGGAGGGCCCTCAGACCAAGACATAGGTCCAACACCTGGAAAAGGAGGGCAGGAAGGAGGAAGAGCTGGCCAGGAAGAGTCTCAGACTGTGGTGTAGGTCTGAGAAGGTTTCAGCCAGACTGAAGAAGTAGCCCCAAGCACTGGATTGTCTTGTTAGAGGAATTCCCTGACCCGCTTCAACAAGCCTGAATTAGTGTCCCACCATATGCAGTCATTGGCTGGGAACAGCCCTGGGGGAAGCCTAGCCTTGGCACCAGAGGGACTGCAGCTGGGGCTCTCTGTTAGCTGTGCCCTGCAGCTCCACAAGCCCGGACACTTTGTACAAACTCTTTGTGCTTACCTGTCTTATGGACATACCTGTTAGGAGCATTTATTTGTTTATGTGGTTTTTCTTCCCCTAATGTTCTTATTTCAAGGCAGATTATATGATACTTTTTATCTTAGTGTGCAGCACCCAGCGGATTGGTTGTCCAGTAAATGTTAGTTGAACTAAACGTTTGTTACTTAAAATTTTCTAACCAGTAGTTTACTGTGCAATTTGTGCATGTGTTGCCTGTTGCCATCTTTTATTGGTTTTTGATCATTTTTCTTCCTTTCCCCATCTTTTTTTTTTTTTTTTTTGTAGTTGGTACCATTCCTGAGCAATTCAGTCAGTGCTGCTGTGGGCATCCTCAGGGCCATGACTCCAGGAGTAGAAACTCCTCAGGTAGGATAATGTATTTGGTTTATTAATAATTTGAATTGTATTATAAATGGATTTGAGTTGTGTTTTTCTAGTTTTATCAAAGAACAGAATTGATATGAAATATCTCCTCTGCCATCCTGATTTTTAGAATCTTGGTCTAATGTGGTTTAATATGTCATAAAGCTAATCTACTACCTCCTTTTGGATATGAGATTCCTTAATGAAAATAAGTCTTAGAAATTAAATAACTTGGCTAAGTTTTGGTTATTTTCACATAGATAATGAAATTTATTTATGGAGTGAAATTTTATTACTTTAATACTATTGATTAATAATACTTTTTTTTTTTTTTTTTGAAATGGAGTCTCGCTCTGTTGCCCAGGCTGGAGTGTAGTGGCATGATCTTGGCTCACTGCAACCTCCACCTCCTGGGCTCAAGCAATTCTTCTGCCTCAGCCACCCAAGTAGCTGGGACTACAGGTGAGCAACACCATGCCCGGCTAATTTTTGTATTTTTAGTAGAGACGGGGTTTCACCATATTGGCCAGGCTAGTCTCGAACTCCTGACCCTGTGATACACCCGCCTCGGCCTCCCAAAGTGCTGGGATTACAGGTGTGAGCCACCATGCCCGGCTGATTAATACCATTTTTGGTAAGAGCCATGAGTCAGCATCAGATAAAATAATATAGATTTTAAAAATTATATGTATTTGCCTGAAAAGATATGTGTGAATCATGTCTTTATAAGTTAAAGACACTTTATAAGTTAAATTCTGTTGTATGGATATTTAAGGAGTTGGCCAGTTAAAGGAATCCTGTGTTACTTAGAAAAGCACTCTTTAACAAAGCTTAAATAACTTTATTCAGACCATAAGATTTTAACACAAATTTATTTTTATAAAGGGCAGTAAAATTAAATATCAGGTTTGGAAAGAGATGAAGCCAGAAGTGGTCAATAGCAAAGCTTCTGTTGGTTTCTGTTTTTAGAAGAATGATGGTTAGGTCACTAAGAATATTTGCACGCCCTTTATATTATTCTTGCTAGTTTGGCTTCTAAGAAACTCCAAAGAGTGTGTAACTGGAGTCAAGGATTAGTGGACCTTGGGTTGGAAACAGCAAGGTTTGTAGGGGGGAAACAGGGATCTCTTAGGCTCTTGATTTGGTGTCCCCTGAAGAGGCAAGGATATCTGCAGGCAAGTGTTATCTTTGTGAGAATATGGATGCTTTCGGTTTTAAGTGTGTAATTTAATGGACAAAGTACAGAAAATCCACATGCTTGTTATTTTTACACAAAGTAAAATCTCAGAAAGGTCTGTTATCTTATGATCTTCTTTCCTACACGTTATATATATTTGTTTATTTTGTTTTTTTGAATAAGGAGTTATTTTGAGTTAGTTCGAGTTTTCTTTTAGTTGCTGTGTGAGAAAAGAGAATAATTACATAGATTTATCCAGGTATGTATTCATATAGAGTAACAATCATCCTGTTCAATGTAGGTTTTTGTTGTATTCATTAACTTTAATCATTAACGATATTGTTCTCTTTGGTGCTAGTCAGACCTTGCATTAATCTGAGTTATTTGCTATCTACTGATTAAAAACAGCTAATAACCTGTAATCATTAAATTCTGTCTCCTGAGAATACGAACAATGGACTTGTTTTGCAAAGGATGACAGAAAAATAGTCTCTTGCCAAGTAAATCACTTTTAGAATGTCTTATGAAAAATAAGATATTTATCAGAATTCTCATTTTAAAAATTGTCTTCTTAATTTTTACATTTTTGCACTGCACTTCTTCACTTCAGGTTAATGTTACATTTGTTTTCTTGTTAGGTTCTCCAGTGCCACAAGCTCAGTCCCCACAGTCTCTCTTATCGGGTGCTAGACTGCAGAGCGCCCCCACCCTCACTGACATCTATCAGAACAAGCAGAAGCTCAGAAAACAGCACTCTGACCCCGTGTGCCCATCCCATACTGGGGCTGGGTACAGCTACTCGCCTCAGCCCAGTCGGCCTGGCAGCCTTGGAACTTCTCCCACCAAGCACTTGGGGTCCTCTCCACGGAGTTCTGACTGGTTCTTTAAAACTCCTTTGCCAACAATCATTGGCTCTCCTACTAAGGTTTGTTTATTAAACCCTTTTGTAGGTCAGGAACTGGTATAGTACTTTATGGAAAGGATTCATTATGAGAATAGCTATAATTTTTTTATTTTATTTTTTGAGACAGAGTCTTGCTTTGTCGCCCAGGCTGGAGTGCAGTGGCACAACCTCAGCTCATCACAACCTCCACCTCCCAGGTTCAAACAATTCTGGTACCTCAGCCTCCCGAGTAGCTGAGATTACAGGCATGTGCCACCATGCCCAGCTAATTTTTTTTGTATTTTTAGTAGAGATGGGATTTCACCATGTTGGCCAGGCTGGTCTTTAACTCCTGGCCTCAAGTGATCTGCCTGCCTCAGTCTCCCAAAATGCTAGAATTACAGGTATGAGCCACTGCTCCTGGACAATAATAGCTATAATATAATGAGCACTTTCTGTGTACCAGATGCAGCGTAAGTACTTTATTTGCAGAATGCTTTTTGTGTATGATCCCATTTAATCCTGAAAAAAGGAAATTGAGGCTTAGAGAGTTTAAATTAATTGTGCAAGGTCACACAAGCTGTAAATAGAGCTGCCAGTGGGTTTGACTGACTCCAGAGTCTATACTCCTGCCAGGTCTCACCCGCAGACCCTGACCAAGTAATGGATGAAAAAATGCACTCCAACACAGACATCCAGTGAAGGAGCGGGCTAGGGGACCGGGCCGTTCACAGAAAGAGTTGTAGCAGCCACAGCCCTGACATGCTGGTGCTGCAGGCATTTATTTAGTACAGATTTAATGACAAAGGCCTTGAGTCAACATACTTGTAAGTAATTGTGCATGGATGATTAAAGGCCAGGTTCCAAGGCCTAAGTAAACTAACTTATCTAGATCAGTTTTTTTACATCCCCTTGTTATCTAACCTAAGCTTTCAGGAACCAGATAAGAGAATCTGGTTGCCTTCAGCCAAATCCTAACTTTTGTAAAACCTCCCGGCCTTCCAAGAAGGTTTGCATCTTTCTACAATTTTTCCCACCACCCGACCTATCTCCTACATGCTCCTGACTACTGGGTCACACAAACCTGCCAGTACTGAATAGTTCATGCATCGTATTAACTAGTTTACATATATATATATATATATGTCTCTTTAGACCACAGCTCCTTTCAAAATCCCTAAAACTCAAGCATCTTCCAACCTGTTAGCCTTGGTTACTCGTCATGGGCCTGCTGAAGAACAGTCGAAAGATGGGAATGAGCCACGGGAATGTGCCCATTGCCTCTTAGTGCAAGGAAGTGAGAGGCAGCGGGCCGAGCAGCAGAGCAAGGCAGTGTTTGGCAGGTAAAAGACTGTTTCCATTCTAGCATTAAACATGAAAACTGTAATAGTAAAACATAGATTTCTGTTATAAAAGCAGCAAGACTACATTAGTGTAGCGGGTGATTTATGCCATATGGTTATTGATATGTACCACGTACATTTAGAATCTCTGAAAACCACAGATGCTTCCTGTAACTATGTAAGTACATAGTTCTTCCTGAACTTTTTGAATATTCTATTTCTGTCCTTTATTTGTATTATTGAAGTTTATCTCTACCCTGAATTGTTTGGTATCTATTTCTTGTTTCCTCATTCTCTAACTTCCTATTAACCCTTCTAGTTTTAAAAAGTATACTTTTCCTTTATTAAAAACATCACTATTCTTTTTAGATCTGTCAGTACCGGGAAGTTATCAGATCAACAAGGAAAGACTCCTATATGTCGACATCAGGGCAGCACAGACAGTTTAAATACAGAACGACCAATGGATATAGGTAAGAAAAATGTAGTTTCTTTTTAGGCAGGTAATTTGCTAGCATATGCATTTGTTTCTTACTGCTGTTGTAACAAATCATCACATGCTTGGTGGCATAAAACAACACAAATGTATTATTTCATAGTTCTGGATGCCATCCCTATCCTCTCATCTTCCTTCTCAGTAGCCCATTCAGAATAGGACCTTATTCAGTATCTTGATGAGCAGCAGCCTGTGCGTTACTAATGGAAGGAGTTCTGACGAAGATTTTTTTTTTTTTTTTTTTTTTTTTTATCAGTAGGGTAATACTGGTCGAAGTTGGCCTAAACCTACATGTACTCCTGAGCATTTACTTTACAGCAACTGGATTTTATAAAGACCCATAGGTCACTGAGACCCCTGAACCTTTCGGAGTTGCTCCAGAGACTGTATGTTCATGACCACCCATGTATATCTAGATTACTTGGCCTGTGTGTCAAAAAACAAAAACAAAATGGAGATTCTAGACTGTAATTCCGTATTCCAGACTTGCTTGCTTAAATTTTCTGGGTTTTTTTTTTGGGAGATGAAGTCTCGCTCAGTCGCCCAGGTTGGAGGGCAGTGGCGCAATCTTGGCTCACTGCAAGCTCCGCCTCCCGGGTTCACACCATTCTCCTGCCTCAGCCTCCCAAGTAGTTGGGACTATAGGCGCCCGCCACTACGCCTGGCTAATTTTTTTGTATTTTTAGTAGAGACAGGGTTTCACCATGTTAGCCAGGATGGTCTCGATCTCCTGACCTCGTGATCCACCCATCTCAGCCTCCCAAAGTGTTCTGGGGGTTTTTAGGAATCAACATGTGTAATACACTCCCAGGTGATTATTGTGGACACCCAGATTTGAGAATCACTATTGTAATCTCCTTGTTTTTTTTTTTTTTCTCTATGACTTTTTAATTTTCCCCATGAGCATCCAAAGGAGGAAATATCTGAGCCAGCATCGTTTCTTTCTAATCCAAAGAGAATACTGTAGGATTTAATATTTCACTGTACTATCTTCTTCCCTGCATAGTTTCTAAAGAGAAGTCTGATGTAATTCTTACCCTTGTTCTCTGTAGGTGAGGTGTGTTTTTGTCCTTGGCTTCTTTCAAAATTTTCTCTGTCTTTGATTCTCCGAAGTTTGAATATGATATGCTTAGGTGCAGATTTTTTCATATTCATTCTGCTTGGTGTTTTCTGTTTCCTAGGTCCGTGGTTTTGTTCTGTCATTAATTTTGGAAGTTTTTCAGCCATTACTGCTTTGAATGTTTCTTCTGCTTCTCTCTCTCATTCTTCTGGTATTCCCGTTAAGTATATGTTCTACTCTTATAGTTGGCTCATTGTTCTTAAAAGTCTCATGCTCTACTGACTGAGCTAGCTGGGCACTGGCTCCATTGTTCTTAGTCTGTTCTTTTTTTCTTCTTCTTCTTCTTTCATTCTTATTTCTCTTTGCTTTTTAGTTCAGGAAGTTTCAGGAAGATATTCACATATCTTCAATCTCACTGATTCTTTCCTTGGCAAAGTCCAGTCTACTGATGAGTCCATCAAAGGCATTCTTTGTTTCTGTTACTGTGATTTTGATTTTTAGCATTTCCTTTTGACTCTGAGTTTCCATCTCTCTGTCTGTATTACCTATCTGTTCTTGCATGTTGTCCACTTTTTCCATTAGAGCCCTTAGTATATTAATTATCATTACTTTAAATTCCCAGTGTGGTATTAAACAATTCCAGTATCTCTGCCATATGTGAGTCTGGTTCTGATGTTTGATTTGCTCTCTCTTTTCAAACTGTACTTTTGCCTTTTAGCATGCCTTTTAATTGAGGCTGGGTATGATGTACTTTGTTTAAAAACTGAGTTAAATAGGCCTTTAGTGTGAGGTTTTTTGTTTATCTGGCCAGGAGTTAAGCTTTATTTAGTGTTTGCTGTAGCTGTAGGTATCAGAGGCTAAAATTTTCTCTGGTATCCTTGTTTTTGTCTCTCCGGTTGTCTTTGGGTTTCCCTATACACTCCTTCTTAAATTGCATCTGGACCTTGCCTAACTCTGTATTTTCTTCCAAGAGTTTTATAATTCTAATTTTAAAAGTGTAAGATGTAGCTCTTATGCTTATGTCTGTGGTCCAGTTTGACTTAATTCATATGGATGATGTGGTGAAGGGATCCAGCTTTATTCTTTTGGATGGGCTATTCAGTGGTCGCAGCACCATTGAAGACTATTCTTTCCCTGTTGTGTTGTTTTGCTAGCCTTGTCAAAACTCGGTTGACCATTGATAGGGTTAGGTTTTGTGTCCCCACCCAAATCTCATCTTGAATTGTAATTCCCATAATTTCCATGTGTCAGGGGAGAGCCAGGTGGAGGTAATTGAATCATGGGGGCAGTTTCCCCCATGATGTTCTCATGATAGTGAGTTCTCACGAGATATGATGGTTTTATAAGGGGCTCTTCCCCGCTTTGCTTGGCATTTCTCCTTCCTGCTGCCTTGTCAAGAAAGTGCCTTGCTTCCCCTTTGCCTTCCACTGTAATCGTAAGTTTCCTGAGGCCTTCCCAGCCATTCTTAACTGTGAGTCAATTAAACCTCTTTCCTTTATAAATTTCCCAGTCTCGGGCAGTTATTTATAGCAGTATGAAAATGAACTAATACAACTATAAATATGTTTATTTCTGGACTCTTAACTATTTCACTGATCTATATGTCAATTTATGCTGGTACCATACTGCCTTGATTACTGTAGCTTTGTCTTAAGTTTTGAAATCAGGAAATACGAGTTTTTCTTTTTTGTTCTTTTTCAAGACTGTTTTGGTTATTAGGGGTGCCTTGAGTTTCCATATGAATTTTTGCATCATCTTGTCAGTTTCTGTAGAGAGACTGGCTGGGTTTTTTTTTGTTTGTTTTTTTGTGTTTTTTTGAGACGGAGTCTCGCTCTGTCGCCCAGGCTAGAGTGCAGTGGCATCATCTTGGCTCACTGCAAGCTCTGAGAGACTGGCCGGGTTTTTGGTGGAGATTGCATTATTAGATCACCTTAGTGAATATTGAAATCTGTCTTAGTCCATTTTGTGCTGCTATAACAGAACATCTGAGACTGCGTAATTTATGATGAACAGAAATTTACTTTCTTACCATTCTGGAGGCTGAAAGTCCAAGTTCAAGGCACTTGATCTGGTGACAGTCTTGCTGCATCATCACATAATGGAAGGCAGAAGGGCAGAAGAGGGCTTGTCCTTTGACCTCAAGCCCTTTTATAATGGCATTAATCCATTCATGAGGGCTTTTGGGTCTTGTTTCCTCTTTTCTTAGTCTGGTCAAAGGTTTGTCAATTTTATTTATCTTTTCAATAAACTAGCTTTCATTTCCTTGATCTTTTGTATTGTTTTCTTAGTTTCAATTTCATTTATTTGTTCCCTGATTTTTATTATTTCTTTTCTTCTAGTAATTTTAGGTTTCGTTTGCTCTTGCTTTTGTAGTTCTTTAAGATGCATTGTTAGATTATTTGAAGATTTCTTCTTTTTTGATGTGTAGGCACTTTTAGCTATAAATTTCCCTCTTAGTACTGCTTTCACTGTAATCCCATAGGTTTAGTATGTTGTGTTTCCATTATTATTTGTTTCAAGAAATTTTTCAATTTCCTTTCTCCATTGACCCACTGGTCATTCAGGAGCATATTGTTTAATTTCCACGTATTTATATAGTTTCCAAAATACCTCTTATTAATTTCTAGTTTTATTTCATGGTAGTCAGAGAAGAAGCTTGATATTATTTCATTTTTTTTTTTTTTTTTTTTTTTTGTAAACAGGGTGTTGCTGGAGTGCAGTGGCACGATCTTGGTGCACTGCAATCTCCACCTCCCAGGTTCAAGCAATTCTTGTGCCTCAGCCTCCCTCGTTGCTGGGATTACAGGTGTGTACCACCATGCCTGGCTAATTTTTATAATTTTTTTCTTCTTTTTAGACAGAGTTTCGCTCTGTTGCCCAGGCTGGAGTACATTAGTGCAATCTTGGCTCACTGCAACCTCCTCCTCCTGGGTTCAAGTGATTCTCCTGCCTCAGCCTCTTGAGTAGCTGGAACCACAGGTGTGTGCCACCATACCCAGCTAATTTTTGTATTTTTAGTAGAGACGGGGTTTCACCATGTTGGCCAGGCTGGTCTGGAACTCCTGGCCACATGTGATTTGCCTGCCTCGGCCTCCTAGAGTCCTGGGATTATAGGCATGAGCCACTGCACCCACCTAATTTTTGTAATTTTAGTAGAGACAGGGTTTTGCCATGTTGGCTAGGCTGGTCTCGAACTCCTGGCCTCAAGTGATCTGCCCGCCTCAGCCTCCCGAAGTGCTGCAGCTACAGGTGTGAGCCGCTACACCTGGTTGTTGTTGTTGTTTAATGTTTTATGACTTGTTTTGTGACATAACATATGAGAATGATCCATAAGCTGAGAGGAATGTATATTCTGCAGCCATTGGGTGAAACGTTCTGTAAATATCAGTTAGGTCCTATAGTGCAGATTAAGTCTGATGTTTCTTTGTTGATTTTCTGTCTGGATGATCTATCCAAGGGTGAAAGTGGAGCGTTGAAGTTTCCAGCTATTGTATTGGGGTCTATCTCTGTCTTTAGCTCTAACAATATTTGCTTTATATATCTGTATGCTCGTGTAGGGTGCGTATATATCTACAGTTGTCATATCCTCTTGCCGAATTGACCCCTTCGTCATTATATAATGACCTTTGTCCCTTTTTATGGTTTTTGTCTTGAAATCTATCTTGTCTGATGTAAGTATAGCTACTCCTGCTCTTTTTTAGTTTCCATTGTGTGGAGTATCTTTTTCCATCCCTTTATTATCAGTCTACATGTGTCTCTATAGGTGAAGTGTGTTTCTTATAGGCACCAGATAGGTGGGGCTTATTTTTTTAATCCATTCAGCCACTCAGTGTCTTTTAACTCATGGCTGAAGAGTTTAGTTCATTTATATTCAATGTTTGTATTGGTAAGTAAGGACTTAATCCTGCCATTTTGTTATTTGTTTTCTGGTCTTCTTTTTCCTTCCTTCCTTCTTCCCTCCCTCTTTCTTGCTTTTAGTGAAGGTGATTTTCTCTGGTGGTATCACTGATTTTCTTGGTTTCTATTTTTTGTGTATCCAGTGTATGTTTTTTTATTTGAGGTTACCATGAGGCTTGTAAATACTATCCATTGATTCAATTTAATTCAATTTTTTTATTTTTGAGATGGAGTTTCGCTCTTGTCACCCAGGCTGGAGTGCAAGGGCACGATCTTGGCTCACTGTAACCTCTGCTTCCTGGGTTCAAGCGATTATCCTGCCTCAGCTTCCCAAGTAGCTGGGATTACAGGCGCCTGCCACCACACCTGGCAAATTTTTGTATTTTTAGTAGAGACAGTGTTTCACCATGTTGGCCAGGATAGTCTCGAACTCCTGTCCTCAGGTGATTCACCTGTCTTGGCCTCCCAAATTGCTAGGATTACAGGCTTGAGCCACCACTCCCGGCCCTATCCATTATTTTAAAGTGATGACAACACTGATTGCATAAACAAGCAATAAGAAAACTAAAAATACTCTATCTCCTTGCTTCTTAACTTTTTGTTGTTTCTCTTTATATGTTATTGTACTGTCTATGTCTTGAAAAGTTGTAGTTATTATTTTTGATCGGGTCATTGTTTAGTCTTTTCTACTTAAGGCCAATAACCCTTAGTTTTTGTTTTTTTTTTTTTTTGGCAGCTTTTTTTAGATTTGTAGGCTTGCTTCATTCTTTTTCATTTTTTTCTTCTGTTTCCTCTGTATTTTCAGATAGCCTATTTTCAAAGCTCACTAATTCTTTCTTCTGCTTGATCAATTCTGCTATTAAGAGACTCCATTGCATTCTTCAGTGTGTCAATTGCATTTTTCACCTCTGGAATTTTTACTTGATTCTTTTAATTATTTCAGTCTGTGTTAGATTTATCTGATAGAATTCTGAATTTCTTCTCTATATTATCTTGAATTTCCTTGAGTTTCCTCAAAACAGCTATTTTGAATTCTCTGTCTGAAAGGTTATGTATCTGTTTCTCCATGATTGGTCCCTGGTGCCTTATTTAGTTCACTTGGTAAGTTCATGTTTTCCTGGCTGGTCTTGATGTAGATTTTTGTCCGTGTCTGGGCATTGACATGTTAGGTATTTATTGTTGTCTTCACAGCCTGGGCTTTGCAATCTGTACCCGTCCTTCTTGGGGAGACTTTCCAGGTATTTGACGGGACTTGGGCTCCAAGCCCAATAATGCTGTAGTTCTTGCAGACTCATTGACTTGGATAAGATCCAGAAGAATTCTATGGATTACCAGCTAGAGACTTTTGTTCTCTTCCCTAACTTTTTATCAAAAGGTGAACAACTAATGGCGTGTCTCTCTTTCTATGCTGAGCTACTTGGAGGTGGGGGTGGGGTGATGCAAACACCCCTGTGGCCACCACCACTGGAACTGCCTGGGTTAGACCTGAAGCCAGCACAGCCCTGGGTCTTGCCCAAGGCCCTCTTTAATCATTGCTTGGCTACTACCTATGTTCGCTCAAGCCCCAGGACTTACAATCAGCAGGTGGTGAAACCAGCCAGGTTTGTGTCCTTCCTTTCAGGGCAACAAGTACCCCAGGCACCAGGCATGTCCAGAGATGCTATCTAGGAGTCAGGGGTTGGAATAAAAAACCTTAGAAATCTACCTGGTATTGTATCCTACTGCAGCTAAGCTGCCACTCAAACCGCAAGACAAAGTCCTTCCCGGTCTTTCCTGCCCCTTCCACAGGCAGAGGAACCTATCCCTGTGGCTGTAACCACCAATGGCCCACAAGGAGTTCTGCCAGGCCACCACTGATGTTAACTTAAGGCCCAAGGGCTCTTCAGTCAGCATGTGCTGAGTGCTGCTAGGCCTAAGACCCACCCTTCAGGGCAGGTCCAGAAATGTCCAAGAGCCTAGGCCTAGACTTGGGAACCCCAAGAGCCTGCTTGGTGCTCTATCCCACTGTAATCAAGCTGCTACCTGAAGCCAGCATGTCTCAGAGTCTCACCCAAGGCCCAAGCATGCTCCCTGGGTAGTATTATTGGTTATTCAGGGCCCGAGGACTCTTCAGTCAGCAGGTGATGAATCCTGCCAGGACTGGGTCTTTTTTTTCAAGGCCAGTGAGTTCACTTCTGGCTCAGGGTGTGTTTAGAAATGTCAACAGGAACTAGGGCCTGGGATGGGGGTCTCACGACTCTGCCCGGGGCTCGTCCTACTGTGGCTGAGCCTAGTATCCAAGACATAAGAGAAAGCCCTTTTTACCTTTATCTCTTGTCCTCAAGCAGAAGGAAGGAGTCACTTTTGTTGCTGTGAGCTGCGCTGCCTGGGTTTGGGAGGAGGAGTGGCACAAACACTCCCTTAGAAGCCCTGTCTGATGTCTCTCTAAGTCATGCCCCAATCCACTGGCTTTAAGCCCAGCACGGCACCAGGATTTGGCTAGGAATTGCAGTCCTTGTGTCCTAGACTGCCTTTCAAGTTCACTTGGACCCGGAGCGCTTTAGCTTGTGGTGGTGAGGCTTGCAGAAACTCACATTCTGGCCACTCAGACAGGCACTTTCCCTCTAGCTACAGCTGGTCCAAATGCTCCCTCCGTGGGCGGACACCAGCTGAGTTCAGCATGGTTTTCCTTTGCACTGTGACAGGACAGCACTGAGTTCAATGTGCAATCCCCAAATTGCTGCACTCTCCCTCCCCCAAGTACACAGATTATTTCCTTGCCACACACAGCTGCTGCCAGGGGAGGGGCGGAGGGTGGTGCTGGTGATTCAAGACTGCCTTTCCTACCCTCTTCAGTGCCTCTTTCAGTGATATGAAGTTAAAACCAGGTACTGTGATTACTCACCTGATTTTTGGTTCTTATGAAGGTGCTTTATTGTGTGCAAATTTTTGGGAGGTGGGTTGTACAATTGGTGGAGCCTTCTATTTTGCCATCTTACTCTGGTTTGTAATTTTATGTCTTTGAAAAGAAGCTGAGATAAGAAAGCAAGTATGTATTTATAGTTTGTTATATTAACTTTCTTACTTATCATTTCTGGTTATCTTGGTGTGTTTTTGTGGATTTGAGTTACCATCTGGTGTCACTTCCTTACTCTAATATAGTTTTACTCCCATCTGACTCCTTTATGTTCTTATTATCAAATATATTTCTGGCTGGGTGCAGTGGCTCACGCCTGTAATCCCAACACTGTGGAAGGCCGAGGCAGGAGGATCACTTGAGCTCAGGAGTTCCAGGCTGCAGTGAGCTATGGTCACACCAGTGCCCTTCAGCCTGGGTGACAGGTGGAGACCCTGTCTCTAAAAAAATAAAAACTAAGGCTGGGCGCAGTGGCTCACGCCTGTAATCCCAGCAGTTTGAGAGGCCAAGGCGGGCGGATCACAAGGTCAAGAGATCGAGACCATCCTGGCCAACATGATGAAACCCTGTCTCTACTAAAAATACAAAAATTAGCTGGGCGTGGTGGCACGCACCTGTAATCCCAGCTACTCGAGAGGCTGAGGCAGGAGAATCAGGAGGCAGAGGTTGCAGTGAGCTGAGATCGTGCCAATGCACTCCAGCCTGGCGACAGAGTGAGATTCCGTCTCCAAAAAAAAAAAAAGTAAATAAATGAACATTACATTTCTATATGCTATAGACCTGACAGTGCAACTGTATACATGTTTTATACAGTTGCTTTTTAAAATCAGTTAACAGAAGAAATATACAGTTTGTGTTTTGTAATTATCTTTACAGATTGGGATTACTATTTGGAGTTAGTTACTTTTGGTCTGAAGAGCTATCCTTTGTATTTCTTGTAAGACAGGTCTGCTGGCAGTAAATTCTCTCAGCTTCTGTTTATTTGGGAATGTCTTTATTTTGATTTCTTTTCTTTCTTTTTTTTTTTTTTTTGAGACGGAGCCTCACTCTGTCACCCAGGCTGGAGTGCAGTGGCATGATCTCAGCTCACTGCAACCTCTGCCTCCTGGGTTCAAGAGATTCTCCTGACTCAGGCTCTTGAGTAGCTGGGATTACAGGCACGCATCACCATGCCCGGCAAAGTTTTGTATTTTTAGTAGAAACAGGGTTTCACCACGTTGGCCAGGCTGGTCTCGAACTCCTGACCTCAGGTGATCCACCCGCCTTGGCCTCCCAAAGTGCTGGGATTACAGGCATGAGCCACCACACCTACCCTAGTTTAACCTGTTTTTATTCCCAGTTCTTGGCGTTCATTTTTTTAGTACTGTCTTCAACATGTATAACTTACAGTTCATGTATTTTAGAAGTATACAAACATAACTCTGAATGCTAAATTTTGGTGTGAAGAAGATTCACACTTGAGATTACTATAAGTTATTTTAATGAAAATATTGTATTACGTTTTCTGATTTTAAGAGCAATAAGTACTTTTTGTAAGAAGAGGGAAAAAAAAAAAACCACTAGACTCCTGATATAAAAGTCAGTATCCCCCTGCAATCCCATCTCCCAGATATAAACACTATCAGGGTAATATGACCTTCTATAAACTTTTTGTTGTAGCTCCGGCAGGAGCCTGTGGTGGTGTTCTGGCACCTCCTGCAGGTACAGCAGCAAGTTCCAAGGCTGTCCTCTTCACTGTAGGGTCTCCTCCACACAGTGCGGCAGCCCCCACTTGTACCCACATGTTCCTTCGAACAAGAACAACCTCAGGTAAGGAGCATTTGTTATATTACAGTCTTTGGCTAGTATTTGGAATGTAGTGTTTTGACAAATGACTCAGTGTTGTAACTTGGACAAGTCACTTAATTCTCTGGGCTTCAGTTTCTTTACCAGTGAAATGGAGATTACTATTTTCTTTATCTTAATGGGTTATAAGAAGTAAATGAGGCATCATTTGTGGGGAAAAAAACTTTGTAAAGTGCTATATTATATATTAAAATATAAATATATGTTGTATATGTTTTTACAAAATGACATATAGTATAAATATGACTTCTTCGTGAAGAAGCAAATCGTATATGGTTCTTCTCAGCTTATATATTAAAGGGTTACTTTAGTAGATCCAATAAATTATTTGAAAATTATAGGTTTGGTTTTTTTTTGGTTTTTTTTTTTAAAGAAACTTGTTTTGGCTAGGTGAGGTGGCTTATGCCTGTAATCCCAGCACTTACTTTGGGAGGCTGAGGCAGGCAGATCACTTGAGGCCAGGAACTCGAGACCAGCGTGGCCAACATGGTGAAAACCTGTCTTTACTAAAAATACAAAAATTTAGGCAGGTGTGGTGGCAGGTACCTGTAATCCCAGCTACTCAGGAGGCTGAGGCAGGAGAATCACTTGAACCTGGGAAGTGGAGGTTGCAGTGAGCCGAGATTGCGCCATTGCACTCCAGCCTGGGTAACGAGCGAAACTCTGTTTCAGAAAAGAAAGAAACTTGTTTTATTTATTTATTTTTAATTTTTTGTACTTTGGGTCTCAATCTTTGCACTTAATCCTATATACAGTTAGAAGGCTAATAGATTTATCATTTATAATCTGTAAATAGGTTAATACCAAAACTTAAGAAAGTATTTAGATTGGACTTGAAATCAATAATTTGATGTCTTATCTGTTGTATCATGAGTCAAGTTATCTTATTCTAAATAAGTTGCTGATCAAGAGACCAGGTTAATAAGCAAAGGATAGAAATAGATAAGAGAAAATAGATCTAAAATTATGTTTTTAAGACGATTAAAAACCTTGAATAATAAGAAAATACCATTTTACGAAAGTAACATTTTATATCTGTTAACTATACCTATATCTTAAAAAGTACAATGCCCAAGACTGGGCATGGTGGTTCATGCCTGTAATCCCAGCACTTTGGGAGGCCGAGGCAGGAGGATCACTTGAGGTCAGGAGTTTGAGACCAGCCTGGGCAACATGGTGAAACCCCATCTCTACAAAAAAAATACAGAAATTAGCCAGACATGGTGGCATACGCCTATAGTCCCAGCTACTTGTGAGGCTGAGGTGAAAGAATTACCTGAGCCCAGAAAATCAAGGCTGCAGTGAGCTGTGATCACGCCACTGCAATTCAGCCTGCGCAACAGCAAGACCCTGACTCAAAAAAAAAAAAAAAAAAAAAAAAAAAAAAGTATCATGTCCAGTGTTATTGAGGTTTAGTAGGATCTATGTGCTTACTCAGGGCTGCGTTAGAGAGTACTATAACAGTTCTTAGGAAGAGCTGTAAAAATATTTATTGATCTATGCTAATTCCATTCCTTCTTATACCACTTCAGAGTATTTATCACAAAGAAATTATTCAAAAGAAGGAACAACTGTCTGCATTTCATTACAGTGCTATTTGTAATATGAATAAAATCAGAAATAGTATAAATGACTCCAGATAAACATTATATAATATATATAAATTTAATGAATCAGTGCATCCATTGAGTTTTATAATTATGAGGCCCTGTGGAGCAGCAAGGAGAAATGAATATGATCTAAATTTGTTTAAAACAGAGTATAAAAAAACTAGCTCTGATGATGTCTAATATAAAATATATAGACAAGGAATAACAATGAACATGGATAAGTAAAAACTATTAATATCCTCAAATAGTACATAGGGGGTCAGTGAGTTTCTTTTAACGAAACTTTCCTTTGTCACCTCAGCAGGTTTGTTTAGTAAATAAGAGTAGGAGTGGGTGTGAAAGCCCTAACTCTGGACACTGCCATGTATCCTCTGTTTCCTTGTAGTGGGGCCCAGCAACTCCGGGGGCTCTCTTTGTGCCATGAGTGGCCGCGTGTGCGTGGGGTCCCCGCCTGGCCCAGGCTTCGGCTCTTCCCCTCCAGGAGCAGAGGCAGCTCCCAGCCTGAGATACGTGCCTTACGGTGCTTCACCCCCCAGCCTAGAGGGGCTCATCACCTTTGAAGCCCCTGAACTGCCGGAGGAGACGCTGATGGAGGTAGAAAAGAGACTATAGTGGTGTGAATGTAATGTTGATTTGATATGAGAACATTCTAGTGATGACAAGAACAAAATACATTAAATAGTTAGGAAGTTATGTTCTCTTTAACGTGCCTTTTCTGTTTGAAAAGTATTGCTGATGTCTTTTTAAATTAACATTGACAGTGACACTCATCCATAATAAGCTTTGGTTTATAGGAAGAAACACATAGATTCTGTGTTTTTCTTTCTTTCTTTTTTTTTGAGACAGAGTCTTGCTCTGTCACCCAGGCTGGAGTGCAGTGGTGCAATCTCGGCTCACTCCCACCTCTGCCTCCTGGGTTCAAGCAATTCTCCTGCCTCAGCCCCCACGAGTAGCTGGGATTACAGGCACACGCCACCATGCCCGGCTAATTTTTGTATTTTTAGTAGAGACGGGGTTTCACCATGTTGGCCAGGCGGGTCTCGAACTCCTGACCTTGTGATCTGCCCACCTCTGCCTCCCAAAGTGCTAGGATTACAGGCGTGAGCATTCTAGTACATTCTATTGCATGTTCCAGTGTATTGAAACATACAGTGCAATATGCTGTCACAGAGCAGAGAGACTTTTAGAAGTCAATTGGCTTATTCTCCTGTCACTAGGAAAATGATTCTCATCTTTATTTAACCATAAAAGAGTGGGAAACTTTTAGGCTTGAGATTTCAGAATGCATTTATAACTAAAAACAAATCTCAAAACAACAATCTAGAATACCCATTTATTTATTTATTTATTTGTTTGTTTGTTTGTTTGTTTATTTGAGACAGAGTCTTGCTCTGTCACCCAGGTTGGAATGCAGTGGTGCGATCTCAGCTCACTCTAACTTCCACCTCCTGGGTTCAAGCCACTCTCCTGCCTCAGCTTCCTGAGGAGCTGGGACTACAGGCACATGCCACCACGCCCAGCTAATTTTTGTATTTTTAGTAGAGACGGGATTTCGCCATGTTGGCCAGGCTGGTCTCAAACTCCTGACCTCAGGTGATCCACCCGCCTTGGCCTCCCAAAGTGCTTGGATTACAGGCATGAGCCACCATGCCCGGCCTAGAATGCCCATTTTTAAATGACAGCCCTCTGAATGCTGTTATGTCTACCCACACTCCCCTCTTTAACTAACTGAAAAGATCACAGAAAGTTAGAGCTTTGGTATTAGTAATCACTGTTAACTGAAAAACGACCAGAAATTAAATAAAGCAACTCTGAAATTATAAGAAGTCAGCAGAATTCAATACAGTATCAAGAAGTGTGATTTAGCACCTATAGTATCCTTGTAATCTTTGTGTCTACCTTGTCACGTTTTTGTCTCATGTATATTGATTTAATCGTTCAGCTTTCTTTTCTTTTTCTGGTAAAAGCACAGCGACCCATCCTGAGTTTACTTATGTGGGTACTCTGATACACATACACAAACACATGCATATACCTATATTTGGTTTCATTTGTGTTCATTTTCTTACCAGCTTTCTGAAATTTAAAAATTTCAATCTCCTTTTGTCATTCTGATACTCATAAGTATAGAAAACATGATCAGCGGCCATGGTTTATGTACAGAAATGAGTATGTACGTATTTTTAATCTGAAATTTTCTAAGACAAATTGACTTTGCTGCAGCGGGAACACACAGACACCTTACGCCATCTGAATGTGATGCTGATGTTCACTGAGTGTGTGCTGGACCTGACAGCCATGAGGGGAGGAAACCCTGAGCTGTGCACATCTGCTGTGTCCTTGTACCAGATCCAGGAGAGTGTGGTGGTGGACCAGATCAGTCAGCTGAGCAAAGACTGGGGGTGGGTGCCCCCTTGTCATTCATTTCCAGACTTTTCATGCTTTGTCTAAACTTGTGTCTAAGTTGTAGGTATTGTCATCCACTGAAGATCATATCTCATTATTAAAAGCTAGGAGTCTCAATTATTTCTTTGTACTACATTTCACTATATGAGCCAAGACCTGGAGATTATGCAACCTCAGTGTTGCCTTTCCTTGTAAATTATACTGTTGAAGTTCTTTTGTGTAAATAGATTGTATTGATTTTTATCTGAGTGTATCCGTTATTTTCACAGTACACACATCTTTAACTATGCCTTGTCCCTTGAGAGTTTACTTGTGCATTAAGAAATTAAGGAGGGCTGGTCGCAGTAGCTTATGCCTATATGTAATTCCAGCACTTTGGGAGGATGGGGCAGAAGGATTGCTTGAGCCCATGGGTTCGAGACCAGCCTGGGCAATATGATGAATCCCTGTCTCTACAAAAAATACAAAAATTAGCCGGGCATGGTGGTGCGTCCCTGTGGTCCCAACTATTAATATTCGGGAGGCTGAGGTGGGAGGATCCCTTGAGCCCAGGAAGTAGAGGCTGCAGTAAGCCAAGATCAAGCCACTATACTTCGGCCTGGGGGACAGAGCAAGACTCTGTCAAAAAAAAAAAAAAAAAAAGAAAAGAAAGAAGAAAAGAAATCAAAGAGGATGCTATTCCTTTATAGAAAGGCAATTTTAATGGTGACCTGTTGTGTAGAGTGCCACATCTTACATTAGTTCACAAGATAACCCTCTGCTACTGTCTTTTGGGTGCAGGCGGGTGGAGCAGCTGGTGTTGTACATGAAAGCAGCACAGCTGCTTGCGGCTTCTCTGCATCTTGCCAAAGCCCAGATCAAGTCCGGGAAACTGAGCCCATCCACAGCTGTGAAACAAGGTATGGGAGAAGGCAGCGTGTAACTCCAGGGGTCAGTCCTTAAGTTGCTCTTTCCCATCACACTGTGAGAGAGTGTCTGATGAGTACTCACTGTTGTTTTTATTTTTCAGTATTCTTAAAGGGAAAAGATGCTGGGTTGTTAGCTTTTTGCAGTTCAATTGATAGAAGTCTGAAGTGCATTATTCTCAATCTTTTCATATTGAAAGAGATAACATGAAAAAATCCTATTTCTGGTCCTTTTTTTGAATGATCACATAGTGACACCTTCCCTATATATCAGCAGGAAAGATACATATAACTGTGTCTTTATTTCTGGAGGAAAATTAAAATTAGTTCCCATCTCAATTTTTTTTCAGTTGTCAAGAATCTGAACGAACGATATAAATTCTGCATCACCATGTGCAAGAAACTTACAGAAAAGCTGAATCGATTCTTCTCTGACAAACAGAGGTTTATTGATGAAATCAACAGTGTGACTGCAGAGAAACTCATCTATAATTGTGCTGTAGAAATGGTAACCCTTTCTAAGGTTTAATATTGTATAGTACTACTTATCTTTAAGTGTCTTTTTAATTGAATATCTATATGACAGCTATCCTTTTAAAAGATAATGTCTCAAGTCCCAAGTATTGTGGATTGCCTTCTACTAAAGAAGTAATTGGATTTAAGCAACTGTTAATGTCATTTACTGGATGTATTTTAAGTAATTACAAATCCGTTTACCACATTTGCTATAAGTTTATTACAGCTCTTATTAAACATTGCTGGCATTAGGCATGATCTAATCTTTTTTTTTTCTTTTTTTTTTTTTCTTGAGACGGAGTTACTCTGTCGCCCAGGCTGGAGTACAGTGGCACGATCTCAGCTCACTGCAACCTCTGCTTCCCAGATTCAAGTGATTCTCCTGCCTCAGCTTCCTGAGTAGCTGGGATTACAGGCACTTGCCACCATGCCCAGCTAATTTTTGTATTTTTAGTAGAGATGGGGTTTTGCCATGTTGGCCAGGGTGGTTTCCAACTCCTGGCCTCAGGTGTTCCACCCTCCTTAGCCTCCCAAAGTGCTGGGATTACAGATGTGAGCCACCGTGCCCAGCCGATCTAATCTTTTTATAGTGTGCATCTAAAAGCATTAGCAGGATCTGTTTCTGCATTTTCTGCTGTTTAAGAAAGTTAGGCTTGATAAAACTCTTAGGAAAAACACTGCTTTATTAATCAATCCACACAAATTTATGTGCTCAGGTCCCACTTACTGATATTGTAGGATAGACACAAAGTAAAACCTTCTTTTCCTATTTTCTGGTTTTAATATTGGAAATAATTTGTTTTCTGCCTCTCGGGGAAAAATTACTCTAAAGTATAAATAAAAATAGAGGCTGTTGAAAAAGTAGTTAAGTGGGGGAAAATTCATTAGTTAGCCAATCATATGTTTTTCTTTTTTTTTTTTTTTTTTTTTTTGAGATGGAGTTTTGTTCTGTCGTCCAGGCTGACGTGCAGCAGCATGATCTTGGCTCACTGCAACCTCTGCTTCCCAGGTTCAAGCGATTCTGCTGCGTTAGCCTCCCATGTAGCTGGGATTACAGGCACCTGCCACCACACCCAGCTAATTTTTGTGTTTTTAGTAGAGACAGGATTTTACCATGTTGGCCAGGCTTGGTCTTGAACTCTTGACCTCAGGTGATCCACCCACCTCGGCCTCCCAAAGTGCTGGGATTATAGGTGTGAGCCACTGTGCCCGGCATGCCAATTGTATTTCTAACACATTAACATAATAGATCCCCCTTTCCATTTTCTATTTGTCTACTGTGAACTGTGCTGTTATATTACATCCGTGGCCTTATTTTGAAATTTATTAAAATAACCATAGGAAAATAACTTTGGAATATAAATTCTTGACAAAAATAGTATATATCATATTGCTGTAAACTATTGAGATGAATAATATGCACTGCATCACTGTATGCTGAGTTGAGACCTCATATGATAAATTATTTTTAGAATTTTGCACCAGAAAAATGTCCTCCATATGGAATTATAATGCTGTTTTTCCTTCTCAGAATAAAGAGCCCTATAACTTATAAATTCCTCCGTTCGTCCTGGCTGCTTAGTGAGCTTAGAGGCATTAACACTTAGTTATTTTTTTCTTTTTCCTTGTCCTGGCTCTGATCTTCTGTATCCATTTTATTTGCTTTATTGTTAGCTGCTTGAAATTATTTTTTTTGAAGGAGAGAGAATAGCTAGGTGCAGTGGCATGCACCTGTAGTCCCAGCTACTCAGGAGGCTGAGACAAGAGGATTGCTTGAGCTCAGGAGTTCAAGATTAGTCTAGGCAACAGAGCGAGACCCCATCTATATAAGAATGCATAAATACATTTTAAAAATTAAAAACAAAAACAAGATATAGCATATTAACAAGTAAATTCGGATACTGGATTTCTGAGAGTTCTGGTACTTAATGATCAAAGAGAAAATCAGAATGTCGATGGGGAAACCCCTGTGAATAATGCTACCATCCCCTCTTTCTGGAGAGCCCCTTCCCACATTTTTCCTCACCTGATTCACTTCTGCTGTTGTTGCTTTATGATTCAGCACAAACAGCACCTCCTGGAAGCTTCCCCTAATCATCTTCTCCTTCCGTAATATAGGTTAGAGGCATCCCCTATGTATTCCGTATCATCCAGTGCTTCCTCCTGTAACACCGTGTGTGCCTTGGCATTAGAATTGCATTTTTTGCAGGACTGTATCTCCCTCCAGACTGCAAGCTCTCCTTCATTGTAGGCGCAGTGCCTGGCACTTTGTTAGGTGCTCAATAAGTATCTTTGAATGAATGAATGACTACACCCAAAAATTATTTGGCTAGAAAAAGAAGCCAGTAAAGCCAGCAAGTGACTATTAGCATCATTTAATTATATTATTGAAACAAAATCTACTTTAATGAAATTTCAGGTTACCCTTATATGGAAGTGTGTGTTTAAAATCAATTTATAATGAAGTCATAAAAGAGCCAGTTTAGAAGGGTTCTAGTATGAAATTTATGAAGCATACCTCTGAATACCAGAAGGCTGTGTTTGAAAGCAGACCGACTTTTTATGAAGTTGCTCTTATATATTGCTCATCCCAAAGAATCTTTGAGTTTTATGTAGTTTTGCAGACTGTATCACTTTACCAAAATGTGTTAATTTTAGGTGGATTCCATTTAAAGCTTCATTGCCCAAATGGATTTGTATTTTCTTGGAAAAATTGAGAGAATTGTGTTTTTGTTGACTGGTTCCAGGTTCAGTCTGCAGCCCTGGATGAGATGTTTCAGCAGACCGAAGATATTGTTTATCGCTATCATAAGGCAGCCCTTCTTTTGGAAGGCCTAAGTAGGATTCTACAGGACCCTGCAGATATTGAAAATGTGCATAAATGTAAGTTGACTTACAAAGTAGTGTATTTTTTTACTTCATTTTAGTTGTCTATCACAAGCATAGTACAAAGAGCTTGGAGTTTGGAATTCTGCCTTGGTTTGAATCGTGGCTTTCCAGCCTTGTGCAAATCACAGCCTTTGTGTGGCCTCA
Source organism: Homo sapiens (assembly GCF_000001405.40). NCBI lineage: Eukaryota > Metazoa > Chordata > Mammalia > Primates > Hominidae > Homo > Homo sapiens. The sequence continues at coordinate 19,777,430 of NC_000017.11, read as the reverse complement.
GCTTCTTTTTCATAAAATAGGAGTAGGGCCAGGCACAGTGTCTCACGCCTGTAATCCCAGCACTTTGGGAGGCCAAGGTGGGCGGATCACCTGAGCTCAGGAGTGCAAGACCAGCCCGGCCAACATAGCGAAACCCCGTCTTTATTAAAAATACAAAAATTAGCTGTGCATCATGGCGCATACCTGTAAGCTCCACTGCTCGGGAGGCTGAGACAGGAGAATCGCTTGAACCCAGGAGGTGGAGGTTGCAGTGAGCTGAGATTGTGCCACTGCACTCCAGCCTGGGCGACAAAGCAAGACTCCATTCTACGTAGTTAGGTAGGTAGGTAGATAGGTAGGTAGGTAGGTAGATACATACATAGATACATAGATAGATATATAGATAAATAGATGCATAACTAGATAGATACATAGATACAGCAGTGCCTGCCTTGCAGGGTTGTTGTGAGGATTACAGGTGATGCATGAAAAGCACTGGTGACTGCGTAATTCATCTTTAGATTTCTACACGGTGTTACTTTGTTGGCAAGTGTTCGTATATGTAGGAGGACTTTAGTTTTATTATTAAATGTAACTGTTTTAAGCCTCATGGGCTTAGTGACTAAAGAGTCCTGTGAAACTTCTGTGTACTGCAGACTTGGTATAGATAGCAGACTGGAGATTGATGGGATACCAGGATGTTATTACTTATCACATACAAGCCCAATAATCTGGTTTTTTAGGCAGAGGTGGTGGACTGGTTGGAGTGTATGTGGTCCTGCTACATTTTGAGTAGCCACAGGAGGATGGCAGTTCTAAGAGTATTTGCAGTTATGAGCAAGCTAGTTATGTAGCAAGCTAGCTGATGTGCTTACCTAAATTTTACCACTTTGCAGCACTAAGCTAGAAGTCATATCTAAACTATTACCAAGCAGAAAGAAGAAAACATATTCAGAACTGTTAACTTTGGGGCAAAGATAGAATAGAGATGACAATATAGTGATTTTTTTCATTAGTTCTTCATTTTTGTTATTTTATTTCTAGATAAATGTAGTATTGAGAGAAGACTGTCGGCGCTCTGCCATAGCACCGCAACCGTGTGAGCAGCAGGCTCATCCCGTGGACCGGTGGTGGGAACGTGAGGTGATGCCTTTGGGATTACAGCTTGAGTTCTGTCACCCCATCCCCAGGAAACTGTAGCTTCTTAACTGGTGACTACCAAAGAACAAGCAGTGATTTGAAAAAGGAAAAACAATCCAAAAACTACATATTTGTAGGAAATCTGCCTTATTGGAGAAAATCACCCTTTCCCTTTTTCTTTGTAGAAGCAGGAGCAAGAGTGTTTGGCTCCCAGTTTGGACTTGGTGAATAAATGTACCTTAGAACTAGGATAATCGGTACAGTTATTCTTAAAGATAATTAAAAATGAAACAAAGTGAGTGCTCGTCACTGGGTTCATCAGAGCAGTGTGTGAAATTCCATGTGTTTGCTGAGGTGTAAAGGTAAATGTATTCACCCCTCATCCAGGCAGTTTGATATTTGGAGTAAGTTTGTTTAAATCTGAGCATGCATCTTTAAACAGCTCAGGAAGAAATAGCTTAAGAAGAAGTGAAACATGGATCTTGGAAGAAATTTTGAAATCTTCAATTTGATCCTAATATGGATACATGTTAATCTTCCAAAATCTTTCATATTGCACTAATTTATTAAAACAACTGTGTATTGGATTTTGTAATTTAACTAAGGCACAATGGACTTGTTTAAAATATTTTACTTGATTGTATACATAGACCCTTTCCAGAATTCACATGTAATCTCCAGTGAACTTTTAAGTGGTTAAAACTTGTATTCATGTGAACCTTTGCACATTTTTTTTTTTTACTTCTTTATCTACACCTACAGATTTTCTCAGTAATGTTTTTGTTAGCTTTTGGTTCCATTTTTTATTGTGCATGCAGAATGTACATTGATGCCTGTGACCTTAGGTTTATTAAAGGCTAGGTTTATTTGGGCAGTATTAGAAACAAAATCATGGATCAAGAGATACTCTTGATAATTTGAATAGGGCCAAAACAAAGTTGGTGACCTAAAGGCTTGTTAGTGATGTGGAGTTCCTACATGCAGTGAGTGGAAAATGAAGTTCGTTTTCTCTTAGGAAAATGGGCAGCTGTCTTCTGCCTAATGTGTATTTTTCATGTTAATTCTGACAGTTCACCAAATAGCTAGTCATGGAGAATGCAGGCAGTTAACTTAATATCCCTCCAGGAATGGTTCCTACGTTGTGTATTACTTGGTTTCTTTTACTTACCTGCTTGAATACTTGAATAAACCATTCACCAATTTTAATCCTTTTATTTTAATCCTTTTACATAAAATAATCTGAACTCTTTGACAAATTGCACAGAGCTCTTTGGCATTAATCTAATTTTAATGTACTGATAAAAACAAACATGGTTTTCCTTTACTTTGACAAAGTAATGTAATTTTTACCTTATTTATCTGTATGAAATTCCAGTAGTTAATTTGAACATTTATTTATATGACGTTTGTATTTTTAGGTCTTTAATACAGTGTTTCTACCTCTCATTTGTAACTGCATGCATTATTCTTGAAACTAGGTAAAACTCACTGAATTGTTGTGTAATAGCCTTTTTATTATTGCCTGTACAAATGTATATTAAGGTAAAATAAAACTGACAAAGTGTTTCTAGGGTGTAGCTGGGTACATATTAAGTGGCTTGTTGAGCCAGGTACTTCCTTAGTGAGTTTAGAGACTTGGCCATGAATATCCTTTGTCCTGCCCCAGGATTTAGATCTTGGCTACTGTCATGCAGGCTTCCAGGAACATAGACTGTTTTACCTCCACAACCCTATTTGTTATTAGTGATACTTTATTTTATATAATATTTTTTATTCACAGTGAAATTTCATTCATGTTCTTTCAGTTATCACCTGTGTTATCTCAGTTGTAGGTTTATTCTATCCTCTCCTCTTCCTCTCCCATTTCTTTTTTAAGACAGGATGAAACAGGTTCAGAGAGGGGAAGTGATTGGCCTAAAGTCAGGAACTAGGCAAGTGGTCAAGCCATGCTTTGTGACTTTCAAGTTAATTCTTCTTGTTCTTGTATATTAAAGGTCTTGGGGTAGATGGTGTGTGTGAAACAGTGAAGTCTCAACAGCAGAAAAGAACAAAATGTAAATTCATGAATAATGGTTCTGGTTATACTTCCATTATCAAGGCTAATTAAGAGATTTTGCCTTGAGTATAGCAATAATAAACAAATGCTTTATGTTTCCCTGAGTATTTTTAAATTTCATATCGTGTTTCATAGAGTGGAAATGTACCAGTTCATACATTCATGGGTTGACACCTGTATTCAAGCCATAACCTGGAAAATTGCTGACCAGCTATTCCTGCTCTAAGGGTTTGCTTTAACTATACCCTCCACTGGACTATATATAGAGAGAGAGCCTATGCTGTATATAGTTGGTTTCCCACAGTCCCTGTCCCCTCCTTCCATTGAGAGAAGTAACTAGAGCAACAGTTGTTCTCCCTCGCTGGAGTGGTGAATAGGAGCCGGGAGGAGGGGACTGTTAGGGTCGGGCTGCCTCAGTCTCCACAGTAATTAAGAGGAAATTGAGTTGGATACAGCGGACATGAGGCCTGGAATGGGTACCCCAAACCCATGCATCTTAAGTGTCTGGGTCCCCACGCCCCCTTCTGCCTGCCAGGAGTACTCTGTGCAGCCATCCTGTAACTGCTTCAGTCCAGAGAAGGATAGCATCCATCCCTCCCTCCAGCTCGCCTCTCTGCTGAGGCTTTCTCCTCTCCACTCAGCATTTGCAACAGCTTCTCTCCTGGCACTTGTCTGGGAATATCAAGTTAAAAATTACAACACCCAATTTTGATAACTTTAGTTGAGAGAAACAACCTCTAGTGAAGACTGATAAGTAACTTATTGCCCGTAGTCCCATGTTCCTTTGTCTCCACCAAGAGGAATTACCAGCCCAGCAGTTCTGCCCTCACTAGAGTCCCGTCCAGGAGCTTGAGAGGAGAGGATTTTTAGGGCTGGATTGCCTCAGTCTGCACAGTAATAAGTTGAGTTAGACACAGTGGACATGAGGACCTGGACTCAGATATCTGAAGAATCCTTATTATTTTTTTGTTGGCTTGTTTTGAGACAGAGTCACCCTGTTGCCCAGGCTGGAGTGCATTGGCGCAATCTTGGCTCACTGCAACCTCTGCCTCCCAGGTTCAAGTGATTCTTCTTCCTCAGCCTCCCAGGTAGCTAGGATTACAGACATGCGCCACCACGCTCAGCTATTTTTCGTATTTTTAGTGGAGATGGGGTTTCACCATGTTGGTCAGGCTGGTCTTGAACACCAGCCTCAGCCTCCCCAAGTGCTGGGATTACAGGCATGAGCCACCGTGCCCGGCCAAAATCCTTAATGTTTTTGTTTTTTGGTTTTTTTTTTTGAGACAGTCTTGCTCTGTCACCCAGGCTGGAGTGCAGTGGCACAATCTTGGCTCACTGCAAGCTCCGCCTCCGGGGTTCATGCCATTCTCCCGCCTCAGCCTCCCGAGTAGCTGGGACTACAGGCGCCTGCCACCACGCCCGGCTGATTTTTTGTATTTTTTAGTAGAGGCAGGGTTTCACCGTGTTAGGATGGTCTCGATCTCCTGACCTCGTGATCCGCCCGCCTCGGCCTCCCAAAGTGCTGGGATTACAGGCGTGAGCCACCGCGCCCGGGCTATCCTTAATGTTGATATTAGTGGTTAGCACATGTTTTGGAGGAGGACTTCACACTTTTTAAACTATGCTCCCTCGTATTTTCTATAAGCAGTCTTAAATTCTTTCTGGAATAAAGCAAGATTGATCAGTATTTCTCAAGGAGGATTATTTGGCAGGCAGTAGCTACTGCTCAGAGAACTTGGTATTGTTACATGCATCCTGGAAGTATCTGTGCCTATTTCTAGACGGCCTCAGACCACTTTTTTCTGAGTCCTGGACCCTTGAATCTGCAGCCAAGCAAGCTCTTGGGTCCCTCCCAAGTCTCATGTTTAGTAAAGCCCTGTGAGAATAATTTTATTGGTGGAGGAGTCAAGATGATACTTCCCTCACCTGCATCAGAGGAAACCACATCAGAAACAATCCACCTAGAAAAACACTGCATACGGGAAAGCTGACAACTTGCCCTGAGAAATCACAGCTTTGGTGCAAGAGGTGAAGCCGAACTGGTAAAAGATCAAAGTGAATTCAGAGATCAAACTGTACTAGGGAAAGGAGCAGAGGCTGAGATCTTGCTGCCAGCGTGACCTCTCACAGAGTGGCCCAGCAGAGGCTGTGCAGAGATGGCCAGAGCCAGGACCCAGCCCTGTGGAGCCCCTGGGCACATGTGGTCCCGAGTGAAGCCGTGCCTGTTGCTCTGAACAGGTGGGATCAATCTGTAGGTTTTTCCACTTTTCACAGAGTGTGGCTCTCTTTAGGTCTGCACTCCCTCTCTGCGCAGGGCGGACCTCCCTGGGCTCTGCAGCATGATCTCCTGTCCCAAGACAGTCGTGCTCTTGGACAGTTAGCTTCTGTCATTAGGAAGTGCCCACATGAGCTCTTGTTTATTGGAAACCGTGTTCTATGCCTCCTTTGGGGTTTCTGCAACTCAATTTGGCAGGTAGCTTAGTGGTCCACTTGGTCTCAAATTCCAGCTCCACCATGTGCAGTTGTGTGTTCTTTGGCAAGTTCCTCCCCTCCTCCGAATCTGTCAGTGGGGGAAGAGTGCATGTCTCACAGAGTTGAGGTGAGAAATAAGTTAATGAATATGAAATTCTTTGCCCAGCCCCTGGCACGTGGAAGGGCTCAGCAATCCTGTATCCGTTGTAGTGGTCATCACTCTGTGGCTCTTCACTGCTTTTGTTTTGTTTTGGGAGGGGGTGGAGAACAATTTGTTCTGTGTTTGTGTGGGGCAAGGCCTGTCTTCAGGGCTCTCTCCAACCACGTACGCTCTGGCTGGAGCTTCTGAAAGGACACAGTTCTTGCATAGAAGTTGCTTTCTCCAGCTTGCCCACCAGGCAGTCTGGCTTCAGACATCTATGTTGCCCTTTTAAGTCAATTTGGCTGTTTAAGTGGAATGTTTGTGTCAGTCTGATAATTGTTAATTCATTTGATCCTCATACCAACCCTTACTTGCCTCCTTTTACAGATGGAAAAATCAAACTTGGACAGTAATTTCCACAAGGAAAAGCCCCACAGCTGGAAAGCGGTGGGAGCAGGAGGCCACACTGGGTACAGGAGTACCCATCTCCCCACAGGAGCCCCACACTGTCTCACCCTTAGGAAGCCCAAATGCTCACTCCTTGAGTTTCTAATGCATTCTTTCTGATGTACAGGAAGAGGGGAAGGAAGGAAGAGCTTTTCCATTTGGTGCTCCAATGTCTCCTGCTGGACCCATCTGCCTAGTGGAAGGCAGCAAAATTTCAAGAAACAGGTGAGGTTGAGCAGCTTGGTGCAACCCCATGGGGCCTGGAGTTGGAGCTCAACAGCAATGGATTTCAGAGACCACCCTGAAACTCCCAGTAAAAAAGACTTGGGAGACATGTTAATAAACTCAAGCATTTGATCGACCCACTTTTAAGTGTTCCTGTTTGCTTGTTTTTGCATATGGCAGTGAGATTGAGCAGCAGGGAATTGTTTCAGTGGGAAGTGGGAGGACTCTCAAGTCTAGATGTGCCCAGAGGACCCTCCCCTGCCATAGGCCCTGCCGCCTGCTGGGGCCAGTTCCTTCACTGATGGCAGTAGACATAGCCCCTTTCTCCAGGAAAGCCCTTTAGAGGCTGCCCTGCTGAGGCTGCGTGCACTCCCATTCTCACCTCGGCCTGCCCAGCCTAGCTTTCAGTGCCAGTCCCCTTTGGCTTACGCAGGACGAGGATGGCATGTAGAACCCCATCTCCAGCCACCAAGTCCACCCAGCTGCTGCCTTCTCCTACCTTCTGTCCTATTGTTCCCATCTCAGCCCACATGGGGGCCCTTGTTTACACTGGCACCCCCACCCGCTACTACAGGGAGAGGCTGGGGAAGAAGATAGTGGCTGAGCCTGGCCAGATCTCTGGAAGGCCTCTCCCAAGTCTCACGGGCAATAAAGTGACTTCTTGTCTAGCACATGGATTCCCTTCAGGAAGCAATGATGGGAAACCTACAGCCAGGGCTTCTGAGGGGCCCTGGGTGGCTAGAGGTTATTGCTCCACTTCCTCTGGAAAATTTCAGTGAAGATGAAGATGAGTTGATAAACTTTGGAGCTAAACCAAAGATGACTGATTTAGGTAGGAATTCTCATAAAGAGCAGGAAGAGTGCAGGCTGCTGATTTGATATGGAATGCCTTGTGGTTGGAAAATGGATTTAGTTTCTAGTAGAAACCCAGAATATTTTGAGCACGAACAGTTTTGTTTTCATAAATCCCTTTTACATTCTGAGAAAGAAAACAGCACCCCCATACACCTGTCTCTTTGGGAGAACTTTCCTACAATATGATGAAAGTATGCACAAAAGGTTTGAATACATTTTAAGTGTTTATAAGATGATAAAGATATATCTGTGGGTGTCCAATGGAATAAGTTTTCCTTCCCTATCTGTAGTGTCTGATGGACTTGGAAAATGGGAATTATTTTAGAGGGTGGGTGAGACTTGTTTGTTTGTTTGAGGCGGAGTCTTGTTCAGTCACCCAGGCTGGAGTGCAGTGGTGCGATCTCAGTTCACTGCGACGTCCGCCTCCCAGGTTCAAGTGATTCTCCTGCCTCAGCCTCCCAAGTAGCTGGGATTACAGGTGCCCACCACTAGGCCTGGCTAATTTTTTGTGTGTTTTTAGTAGGGATGGGGTTTCAGCATGTTGGCCAGGCTGGTCTCAAACTTCTGGCCTTCAATGAACCACCGCCTCAGCCTCCCAAAGTGCTAGGATTACAGGAGACATTTAATTTTATATTCCATAATGCTGATATTTTTCACCATGAGCTTATATAATTAAAAAAAAATTTTTTTTTTTTTTTTGAGACAGAGTGTCACTCTGTTACCCAGGCTGCAGGCTGGAGTGCAGTGGCACGATCGCAGCTCACGCAACCTCTGCTTCATGGGTTCCAGCTATTCTCCCACCTAAGCCTCCCAACTAACTGGGATTACAGGTGTGTGCCACCACGGCTGGCTAACTTTGTGTGTGTGTGTGTGTGTGTGTGTATTTTTTTGAGATGGAGTCTCACTCTGTCGCCTTGGCTAGAGTGCAATGGCGTGATCTCGTCTCACTGCAACCTCTGCCTCCTGGGTTCAAGTGATTCTCCTGCCTCAGCCTCCTGAATAGCTGGAATTACAAGCACGTGCCACCATGCCCAGCTAATTTTTGTATTTTTAGTAGAGACGGTTTCACCATGTTGGCCAGGCTGGTCTCGAACTCCTGACCTCAGGTGATCCGCCCACAGCCTCCCAAAGTGCTGGGATTATAGGCATGAGCCACTGTGCCTGGCCTAATTATGTAATTTTTAAAAACAAGGTTTTTTTAAGTATAGGAAAACTAAAAGACTAGGAAAGATTTGCAGTAAATTCAACAGATGAAGGGAGGTTAAAGTAGGGGAAAATGTTAGGAGAAAATCCAGAAATTCTCTTTGCTCCTGACAGCCCCACTTCACCAATGGTGAGCAGCAGAGGGGCCTGAAAGGGTAGTGGGTTTGAGAGGCCCTGGTGTCCTGTGGGGCCCTGCCACATGCCCTGGTTGCCTCCTGTGTGCGCCGACACTGACCTGGGTGAGACGCCTCACTCCCTGGGCTTCCCTGTCCTTGTCAGTAAAGCAGAGACAGAAACACAACATGCCTCTTGGGTTTCCTGCAAGAGTTAAATGAGCTGCCGTGGAAAGTGCACATGGCAGTCCCTCCCTGAGGCTGGTGTGGCCAGCAGTGGGAGTAGCAGAGGGAGGCTGAAAGGACACGGGAGGCCTCAGGATCCACTCTGTTGTTTCTCCTCATTGGCCATCAGATGTGCTTCCTCTTTGTCACATCTGTATTTTGGAAACGTAAACCCTCCTTTCCATGGAACATGTGCTAAAATAACATTTCTTAGAAAAATTGGTCTCAAGAATATATCGTTCACTCAGTAACAAAGGAGTCAGCAGTGTGACAAATGTCAATTCAAAACGGACCTGAAAACTGAGGTCTGTTTTGGAAACAGGATGCTTATTACATAAGTAATTTGTGAAAAATAAGTTGCTTATTTTGGTAAAGGTCACAGTTTCCTTTTACGTCTATGGTCATAGAAACATTATATGGGTTGTTACGGAGGAAGTCTGGGGCAGGATGGTCCAAGATAACCAGGTGTGTAGACCAGGGGTTGACAAGCTTTTCCTGTACTGAAAAATACAAATATTTTAGGTTTTGAAGACTGTCTGGTCTCTGTCGCAACTGCAGGAGTCCCACCTTATTCATGAGGTTATGCTCCAAGACCCCCCAGTGGATGTCTGAAACCTTGGAAACTGCCAAACCATATATGTATGCTGTTTTTCTCTATACAATCACATAGTATAGGGTGGATCACATATGCGGCGTGGACATGACAGACAAAGGGAATGATTTGTGTCCCAAGTGGGATGGCAGAAGACTACATCACACTGCTCAGAATGGTGTGCAACTTAAAACTTAGGAATTGTTTATTTCTGGAATTTTCCATTGTTTTCTTTCTTTCTTTTTTTTTTTTTTTTTTTTGAGACAGAGTCTCTGTCGCCCAGGCTGGAGTGCAGTGGCATGATCTTGACTCACTGCAACCTCTGCCTCCTGGGTTCAAGTGATTCTCCTGCCTCAGCCTCCCCATTAGCTGGGATTACAGGCCTTGTGCCATCACGCCCAGCTAATTTTTACATTTTTTGTAGAGACGGGGTTTCGCCATGTTGGCCAGTCTGGTCTTGAACTCCTGACCTCCGGTGATCTGCCAGTCTCAGCCTCCTGAAGTGCTGGGATTACCGGCGTGAGCCACCGCATCCAGCCTTAAACAGAATTTAATGAACTGTTAGTTTACAGCATGCAAATTTTTCTCCATTGGTAGTTTTGGAACATACTTGTTTTTCTGCTGCTTTGAGAAATGAGGTGTTCTACTTTTAATCTTCCTGTGTGTTATTTGGACAAGTTACCTTCCCATCCTGAGCCTCAGTTTTTCCATCCATTAGAGAAGATAAGAGGACTACTACTTTCTAATCCTACCTGTGTGGGGAAAATGCTCTTTGCACAGTGCCTGGCATTTAGCAAGTGCTCAACAAATGGTGGCAGCAAGCAAAGTGAAGCTCTCCCTGCCATGCTGGGATCTGATGCCCCTGTTCCTAGCAACAGCTGCCTACAGTGCCGGGGAGCCAGGCCTTGGGCTGTTGCCCTGTCTCTCAGCAGGGCTATGTAAGCATATTGATTTTTGCAAAACCAAGTTCTGGTTCCTTGCTGTGGGGCTGACAAAAAACCATGGGGTCGATCCTCTATAAATATTTTAGCTATGTCCTCTGTTTTTTAAATACAAAATGTGTACTCTAGCCCTTGCCTGTCTGAATTGAAACAAACTCTTTTGAGGTCATGTGCCTCTGGACCCCCACAGCCACACACTGTCAGCGGCAGGCCCCACCCCTGGGACTCATGTCCCACCTCAGTGCCTTCTCTGCCTTTGGAGAAGGAGCTTAGGTCAGGCCCCACACACCTGTCCAGCCCCATGTGTCTCCCCGACCAGCCCTACTGCCAGCAGCGCCCCGTGGGCTGAGCCAGACCTGGGCCAGCCCTCAACCGGCAGAGGGCGCCCGCCCCCAGGCAGTGAGGCTTCTCAGGCTGCTCCCTGAGAAAGGACAGTGTCTTGCATGGGGAGGGGAGAAGGGACAGTGAGGTAACTTCTTCCCAAGGGGTCGCCAGCAGGGACCCCTTTGAGAGTCTGAGGAAAACCTCAGAAAAGGCACAAACTCACAGAAAACGTGAGAGCTGCCCTCTTGGTGCCCCCCTGTCACTAGATGTTGGGGACTCCCAGCTCCCCGGAAGCCCATCTCCCTTCTTAAGGGAAGCAGTGAGGTGAGTCCTCAAGTCCCTTTTCCCCAAAGAAGCTCTGCTGTCTTGCCCCAAAGATTCCTCGATCCCCTCTTGGGGCTGGTCAGATCTGCCCTTGGCTTGAGAAGGGGCTGGGGAGCGAGCCTGCCCCTAAGGAGACTCGGACCTGCAGAACTAAGGGCCACCCCCAGGAGGGAAGGGCTGCCCTCAACACACGTCCCTTCTGGGGCCTGCCTCTGCTCGGCAGGGCAGGGGGTGCCCCATGTGGAGGACTGCTCTAGATGGGCTTTTGTAGGTGAGAAAGGTAAGACCTCAGGCCTACTAGCGCATAGAAGAAAAAGATTCTGGCCGGGCTTGGTGGCCCATGCCTGTAATCCCAGCATTTTGGGAGGCCAAGGCAGGTAGATCACCTGAGGTCAGGAGTTCAAGACTAGCCTGGCCAACATGGTGAAACCCTGTCTCTACTAAAAATACAAAAATTAGCTGGGTGTGGTGCCTGGTGCCTGTAATCCCAGCTACTTGGGAGGCTGAAGCAGGAGAATCACTTGAACCCAGAGGGCAGAGGTTGCAATGAGCCGAGATCACGCCATTGCACTCCAGCCTGGGCAACGGGAGTGAAACTCCATCTCAAAAAAGAAAAAAAAAAAAAGCCTGCTGCCAGGAGGTCTGATGTGGGGCAGGTGGGGTCTAGGGTAGGAGTTCCCTTCCCTGGATGTTTCCTATGCCAGAGGCTAATGGACAAATTTTGAGAAATTGTGATGTTTGGCTTGATATTGGGTCTTTTTTTCCTGTCATTCATGCCCTCGAAGCCATTTGTTAAGCACCTGCTCTGAGTTGGTGCTATACTATGACACAAGGGAGAACGCCAGGGCATGGCCTGCCCTCATGAGGCACACACTGTAGATAGGACGTTGATAAAGACAACATGACAATTGTGACTAATGCCACAGAAGACAGGTAGATGATGTTGTTATGTGGACTTGTGGGAGGGGAACTGGACCAGCCAAGGAAGTCAGGAAAGAAGGGAGCATGAAGCCGGCGGAGAGGGGAGTGTTCTGAGCCGGGGACCAGCATGTGCAAAGGCCAGCAGGTTTGCTTTCTGCAGTGCAGTAATCACTTTCGGAAATCATCTTGTGTGTATTTTTACTTGTTTATTATTATTATCACCTCACTAAAATGTCAGCTCTCTAAAGCCAGGAACCTTACTGTCTTACTGTGTCCCTAGCTCCTAGGACAGTACCTGGGAGATAGTAGGTACTCAACATATATCTGATATTTGTGGAAAATAATGGCTGACATACACTGCATGTCTTCCCCATGCCAGTCAGTTTTTTTTTTTTTTTTTTAGACGGAGTCTCACTCTTGCCCAGTCTGGAGTGCAGTGGCGCGATCTCAGCTCACTGCACCTCTGCCATCTGGGTTCAAGAGATTATCCTGCCTAAATCTCCCAAGTAGCTGGGATTACAGGTGCCTGCCACCACGCCTGGCTAATTTTTGTAGTTTTAGTAGAGATGGGATTTCACCATCTTGGCCAGGCTGGTCTTGAACTCCTGACCTCAGGTGATCCACCTGCCTCAGCCTCCCAAAGTGCTGGGATTACAGGTGTAAGCCACTGCGCCCTGCCTGCCAGTCACAGTTCTAAGCATTTTATATGAACCCACAGCCAGCCCATGAGGAAACTGAAGCTTAGAGAGGTTAAGTAACTTGCTTAATTTCTCATAGGTGGTGAGTCCCTGAGCCAGGATTCTAACTCAGGCAGGCTTCCTCCAGAGCTCATGTTCTTACAGCCCATCTCTAGATGTAAATGAAGCAGATGGATCTGCTTAGGTGCAGCTTTAAGCATGTTTATGTATATGTGAGCAAGTCGGGGATTTCAGCTCACAACAGAACACAGGCTGTCAGCACTGTCACTGTGTGACTGCAGGTCAGAGAGTCTGGGTGGGAAGAGAGAGAGGGAGAGGTATGTTGATGAGCTTGCAGCCTTTTTTTTTTTTTTTTTTTTTAAGACGGAGTCTGGCTCAGTCGCCCAGGCTGGAATGCAGTGGCGAGATCTTGGCTCACTCCAACCTCTGCCTCCCGGGTTCAAGCAATTCTCCTGCCTCAACCTCCAGAGTAGCTGGGACTACAGGCGCCCGCCACCATGTTTGGCTAATTTTTGTATTTCTAGTAGAGATGGTGTCTTACCATGTTGGCCAGCTGGTCAGGAACTCCTGACCTCAAGTGATCCACCCACCTCGGCCTCCCAAAGTGCTGGGATTGCAGATGTGAGCCACCGTGCCCAGCCTTGCAGCCATTTTTAAGCATGGGATGTGGCTTAATCAGATTGGCAGGTTGCAGAAAAGATGAGAGGGGCACAGATGGATTCAGGGAGACCAGATGAAACTTACTCACATGAGAATGATGGATGATTTCAATAGATGAGTAGGAGTTAAAATGCCTTGGAGATCAATAGGATGTGGGTATCTATCAGTATTCTCAGTTGCTAGAAAGTGTATGAGTTAATTTTTGCTGTATAACAAGCCACTCCAAAACTTAATGGCTTAAAATAATAAGCATGTATTATTTCTCATCATGCTTATGGGCGAGTTAGGCAGTTCTGGTCTGAGTCAACATGGCTGGTGGTCAGTGGTCTAAGACAACTTCACTTGGGTTTGTAGACTTGCATGATGTTTAGCTGGGACATCAAGGATGACTTGGCCTCCTGTCTGCCATCATCTGGCAGGCCAGCTCAGCCTTGTTTACATGGTGGTGTCCCATGGTAGGTGGAGAGCAAGTCCCAGGGCGCAATCACCAGCACCCTACGTGTCTCTGTGCCTCATATTTGCCAGTGTCCCATTGGCCAAAGCAAGCCCCATGACCAAGCCCAGATTCAGGAGGTGGAGAAATCCCCCTATTGATGGGGTTTATAGCAAAGGCACATTGTAAAGCTCTGTACATACAGGGATGGGAGGAATTCCTATGGCCATTTTGTGCAGCTTAGCAAAAATGGGAACATAGGAACAACTTTGGCTTATTTAAGCAGAAAAGAACTTGTTATTTTTTTTAAAGGCTATTTGTAAGAATTTGGGGGAGGCCTGGAGAGCTGGGGAAAAAAAGTCAGAAATGAAGCTGCAGAACTGGAATAGGCAGAGGATGTCAATGCATTGCTGACACTGTGTCCGCTGCCTCTCGGGAAATTTGATCTTGTGGCAACCACTACTGCTGTCAGAGAGAAAAACCCCTGAGGTCCCCACATCTTGGCTCTTTTAAGGTCCAGTGTCGGCCTGTTGGATTGGTGAAGCTAGGTCACATGCTAGGAGACCCTGTCTGCAAGGTGGGCAGAGCTTCCAGCAGCGTGCCTGGCATAGCCTTTGTATAGAGAGGAGAGGCTGGGGGGAAGGAGAGACACAGACATGCGGGCAGTGGTGCATGGCTTTGCTGATTGGTCAGGGGCTTAGAAGAAGCAAGATTGGCAAGTTGGAGCGAAGGCGATCTGGAGAAGACTTGTGATAACCCAGGCAGTGAGCAGACAGTACTGTGTTTAGTGTCAGCGCCCACCAGAGGGGCACAGGACAAACCAGGTGGACAGGACGACTTGTCCAGTGAAGGTCAACTGGCCTCCATCCTTGGCCACCCTGATGCTTGCACCGTGAGCCCAGGATAAGCCTGCCATGGTGAAGGAGCTGCAGGCTACCCGTGGGCCCAGCAGGCTGATTTTGCTAAGCTCAACCTGCCAGCAGCAGAGGGCAGTGCTGAGTCCTCCGGGTGCACCATTGCCAGGGGAGACCAGCCAGACCGTTGCTCAGGCGCCCCCGCGGAAATAGCCAGGACCCAACTCAGTGTTGCCCTTGCGCTGGCTCTCCTTCCCCGGCCCTGCTTTTGAGGGATGCTAAGTGAGACTGCTTTGAGCGTCTCCCTCCGATGGAGGGCTGAGGCTGCTGGCACCCCTCCTTGGTGGCACCTTTGGGAGAGCTTTTCTATGTATCTTCTGAAGCTTGGGGGACATGCTAGGTGGGTGTCTGCTGCCTGAAAAATCAAATGGCCAGGAGTTCATTTCTGGCCAGCTGCTCTCAAACACTTTGTAGGCCAAAGACTGTGCAGCAGTGCCAAGGGGGCGATGTGGGCAGAGACGCAGGCAGGGAGAGCTGGGGGTCCTGTCCAACATGGCTGCTCCAGGGCTTGGGGTAAGGGGGCCTTGGCAGGAAAGCAGGGGGTGTCTGTCAGAGGCTAAGGAGCAGCAGAGGAGCATGAGCCGTCTGTAGAGATGGCATCTCCTCCGTCAAAGGGAGCCCAGGGCAGCAGTCCTTGGGAACAGAGGGTGTGGGAGGCTGTCAAAAGCTGCTGTGTGAGCGAGCAAGCCTCGGACCTCAGAAGAAACCACCTGAGACTGGCGCGAGACAAGAAAGCTGCTCCCCAGCCCCTTTGCCTACCTTCCCTCTGTGATCTTAGTGGAGCCCGGGCTCACTGAGGCCGAGGAGGAGGAGGAGGAGGAGGAGGAGGAGAAGGAGGAGCAAGGTGGGGAGGCTGAGAAGCCTATAGGGCCTCCTGCCCACCACAGCACCTGCAGCTGCAGAGGCCCACGGGGTGAGGTACTTGGAAGAGGCTCCAAGGATTACCCCAACGGGCATTTTTTTTTTTTTTTTTGAGATAGAGTCTCGCTCTGTTGCCCAGGCTGGAGTGCAGTGGTGTGATCTCGGCTCATTGCAACCTCCGCTGCCAATGTTCAAGCGATTCTCCTGCCTCAGCCTCTCGAGTAGCTGGGACTACAGGCGTGTGCCACCACGCTGAGCTAATTTTCTTGTATTTTTAGTAGAAACGGGGTTTTGCCATGTTGGCCAG
Organism: Homo sapiens; assembly: GCF_000001405.40. NCBI lineage: Eukaryota > Metazoa > Chordata > Mammalia > Primates > Hominidae > Homo > Homo sapiens. The sequence continues at coordinate 19,761,598 of NC_000017.11, read as the reverse complement.
GCTGGTCTCGAACTCCTGATCTCAGGTGATCTGCTTGCCTCGGCCTCCCAAAATGCTGGGATTACAGGTGTGAACAACCACGCCCGTCCCCAACAGGCATTTTTTTTTAACTGACTGAAATCAAGTTGTTATTCATGATCGGAGAGGGAACATCATGGACTTGCCCCAGTTCTCGTCCCAAGGTCCAGGAAGAACTAGCTGCAGAGCTCAGAGGAGAGAAAAGAGAGTTGTTTTTCTGACGGCAAACTCTGAGACCTGCCTGTTCACTGTAGCGATTAAGTAACCTCCATGAAAATAAGTGTTGTGAGGATGTGGAGAAATTGGAACCCTTGTGCATGGCGGTTGGGAATGTTAAAATGGTGCAGCTGCTGTGGAGAACAGTCTGGCAGTTCCTCAGAAAGTTAAACGTAGGATTACCACATGATCCAGCAATTCTGCTTCTGATTATATACCTGAGAGAAGCGAAAGAGGGTCTCGAGGAAATCCTCGCACCCCCATGTTCATTGCAGCGTGATTTGCAATAGCCAAAAGGTGGAGGCAGCCCAAGTGTCCACGGGCTGGTGAGTGGAGGAGTAAAATGAGGCATAGACAGATGGTGGGATGTTATTCAGCCTGAAAAAGGAAGGAAATCCTGACGTGCTGCAACACGGGATGCATCTTGAGGACATCACGCTGAGTGAAAGAAGCCAGACACAGAAGGACAAATTTTGTATGATTCCACTTCCATGAGGCACTGAGTCGTCAGGTTCATAGAGACAGAGGAGAATGGTGGTTTCCAGTGGCTCTGGGGAGTTTTTTTAATGGACACAGAGTTTCAGTTTGGGGAGGATGAAAAAGTCCTGGAGATGGATAGAGCTGATGACTGCACACAGTGTGAATGTGCTTAATGCCACTGAGCTCTACACTTGAAAACGGTTACAATGGTGAATCTATTTTATGTATTTTTACCACAAAAGAAATATGAAAAAAATAGGTCTACATGGAAAAATAAGGCACTTGTTTGCCAGTGTTTGTTCCTTAGTTCCAGCTCTGATCCTGCTGGCCCCAGACAGGCATCATCAGTTATGAGAGAGCACCTTTCTCCTGACCAGGGCTGTCACTGTGTAAAGCTCATCGCTCACAGTGGGACCTTGGCAGTGTGAGCTGAAGGCGCATGGAAGAAAAAGTCGGTGCAGATGAGATCAGAAGCCGAGGGCTCTGGCGCTGAGCATCTTAGTGAGGAGGGCCAGGTGGGCCTCCCTAAGGGAGAGGGAGAGAGGAGGGGCCTCGGGCCATGGTGTCAGCTTCCGAGGAGCTGGGATTTGTGGAGACAAGCACTGTCCTGCGGCCTGGATGCACCACAGGGCTTGGAGGAGCCCTCTCCACCCCAGGTCCTGAGGCGTGAGGGGCCTGGAGAAAGGCAGCACCCTTGGGAAGGAGGGCCGCAGGGAAGCCGCCCTGGTCCTTTGGGCAAACAGATTTCGGGTTCAGGAAGGGAGGAGGAGGACTGTGCTTTCCAGAGGGCCCAGAGGCAGGGTTTGGGTGGATGGATGGACAAGAGGGTGGCAGGAAGGAGGGGTGGGGCGTGGGGCGGGGCAGCCAAGGAGCAGGGAGCGTGGAAATCTCGAAATGACAGGTGAGTGGGGAGTGAGGCCCCATGGATTCGTGCAGGAGGAAGGCATTAGGCCACGTGTTGAGATGCTTGCTTTTGGTGGCAAGCAGGCCTCGGGGCTAGGGCTGTGCGTGTGAGTGTGGGGCCTCACTGAGCACAGGCATGGGAGTCCATGGACACTCCCTGTCTCCTTCCCGCTTCTCCTCCAGCAGGCAGGAGGAATGAGGCAGATGTGCAGAGACAAGCAGGGGGCAGGGAGGGCAGAGGGAGAGGAAGGGAGACAGACCACACCCTCATGCAGCGGTCCCCAGGCCCCGAGCTTGCTCCTACACCTGCATCGCCACAGCTTGCTCCTACACCTGCATCACCAGGGCTCCTCCCAGAGGGCCAAAGCAGCATCTTCTCTTGGTGCTTGTCATTTGCAGGAGAGGCCAACTAATACACGTCCACCTGAAGTTTACTCTGTGCTCCCTACTGCCCCCAGAACACAGTCCAAGCACCTCCGCCCTGCATTCAGGGTGACCCAGCTCCGCCCCACCCATCGCACCCCAGCTCTGCCCCACCCATCGCACCCTCTCAGGCCTCCATGAACAGACCTGGTCAGGCAATGCGTTTGTGCTTATTCGTCAAGACTGGTCTCGAACTCCCGACCTCAGGTGATCCGCCTGCCTCAGCCTCCCAAAGTGCTGGGATTACAGGCGTGAGCCACCACACTCGGCCCATTCTCTTTTATCTTTCCCACACTGAAACTCTGTTCCCATTCAACACTCATTCTCCATTCCCCTCCCCTCAGCCCCCAACAACCATCATTCTAACCATTCTATTTTCTGTCTCTATACATTTCACTTCTCAAGTACCTCGCGTAAGTGGAATCATACAGGATTTGTCCTTTGGTGACCAGCTTATTTCACTCAAGGTTCATATCCATGTTGTAGCACATGTCAGGATTTCCTTCCTTTTTTTTTTTTTTTTGAGACAGAGCCTCGCTCTGTCATCCAGGCTGGAGTGCAGTGGCACAATCTTGGCTCACTGCAACCTCTGCCTCCCGGGATCAAGTGATTCTCCTGCCTCAGTCTCCCAAGTAGCTGGGATTATAGGTACCCGCCACCATGCCTGGTTGATTTTGTATTTTTAGTAGAGTTGAGGTTTCGCCATGTTGGCCATGCTGGTCTCAAACTCCTGACCTCAAGTGATCTGCCCACCTTGGCCTCCCAAAGTGCTGGGATTACAGGCATGAGCCACCATGCCCAGCCTCCTTACTTTTTTTTTTAGAGACAGAGTCTTGCTCTGTTGCCCACCACTGGAGTGCAGTGGTTCGATCATAGCTCACTGCAGCCTCAAACTCCTGGGCTCAAGCAACCCTGGTGGCATGTGCCACTATGCCTGGCTAATTTTCTTTTTTTGTAGAGATGGGTGTCTCACTATGTTGCCCAGGTTGGTCTTGAGCTCCCGGTCTTAAGTGATCCTCCACCTCAGTCTCTTGGGTCGCTGGGAGGACAGGCATGAGCCATGGTGCCTGGCCTTCCTTCCTTTTTAAGGGTGAATAATATTCCATTGTATGTGATTTTTGTGGATGGTTTTGAATGGGTCTGGGGGGCTCTGTGGTTGTCTTAGTGATTATGGGGCGGAAGGACACAGCTGGAATGGAGCGTGCTCCAGTTTGGGAGGCACTGGGAGACTCACCCACTCTCCACCCATCACCAGGGGTCCCAAGGCCTGAAATGCCATCATCTTGGGCTCTGTACATCCTTCGTGTGCTCTGGGCCTTTGCCCTGTGGAGACCTCTCCCAAGGATGAGGGAGCAGAGCCGGCCCTTCCATATCTTCCAGCATCTCTGCCATGTAAACAGAAAACTAGACATTGGAGAGCTGGTGAGAGTTGAAGGAATCATGAACCTAACAGGAGAGAAACAGGACCTTTTTCCTTCCTTCCCTGGAGCCTCCCTCACACACAGATGGGCTCCCCACCACTCTGCGCCAACCATGGGGCTCCAAGGGACTCCCTGATGGAGATGGGGGTACCTGCAAGGAAAGGGGTGGCGTTTCATTGCCCGTTGGGATGTCTTCTCATACAAAGGACTAGCTGAGCCACCGTCTGTGTCATTTGAGCTGGTTGAGCAAGAAAAAAGAATGAGACAGAGATGGCTGGGCAGAGAGGGGCTGAGTGCGGTGCCTGCACAGGCGTCTTGCATGGGGACAATGCGTTCGCTCCCTCTGGGCCAGCTGCACCCCAGGAGGCTTGCTGGGTGGGCCACCTTGCCGATGCCATGGCCAGGGACCTGCTGGTGAGGTGAGGGGCCCCATGGAAGGTACTTGGCGGAGAGTATGGGGGGCAGCAGGAATCTCCCTCCCTCTCCAGGAACCCAGTGGTGGGTAAGCACTGCAGGGGCTGTGAAGAGCAGCACCTCCCAGGAGCACCAGTTAAGTCAGAAGTCCTTCGCTCTTGCCCATTTTTCTCCTACCAGCCGATATTCCAGAGGGAAAGGGAGACCCAGGGTGGGCGGGGTAATGAGGCCTTCCTTGTCCCCTTCCTCAGGGCCACAGGCCCAATCCAGGCTGGGCAGAAGCGCATTCACTAGGGTCAGCTTAATAAATTCTCCTGGACCTGGCGTTTTGATATGGGACACCAGCCAGGAAGGGATGGGAGCTGTTGGGGTGTCCTAGGGATGGATAATAAAGGTTGGACAAGGGACAGTGGGAGGCAGTAATTGGGAAAAAAGTCATTTTGTATTCATACCTCACTTGGGCCAAATAATAGTGTAAAACTAAAAGTACAGGAGGGCTCTGTACTTTTAGTTTTAAGTGGGGGGCAAAAACCTTGGGGCACAGAGGTGGGGAGGGGGAGGGGTGCCCATCCCAAATGCTACAGCCAAGGCCTGGGGTGGCAGTGGAGCGGAGGTGAGTCTGAAGCTCGTGTCCTGGCAAAGGAGGGCAGCCCAGAGTGGGAAACAGTGGGTAGAGAAATGCGCCTGTGATTACGGAGCAGAGACGGGAGGACCCATCGACACAGCGGAAAGGTAGGAAGAACTCACAGACAAGCCAGGGGAAGTGGAAGGAACAGCACTGGAGGCAAGAGGAAATAACCGGAGGAAGTAAACCGCTCCATACAGGGGGAAATTGAGAGGATAACCCCAAGTATTTCAGCCATTACACAAAGAGAGGCTGTCAGGATATTGTCTGAAAACAAGCCCTAGCTCTGCAGGATTGACGGGATGCATGCGGAACAGCAAGGTCGAGAAGGGCTGGGGGCGGTCCGTGTGTGGACAGATAAGACACAGACGTGGCGTGCCAGCAGTGTGAGCCACAGACAGGCGGACTTTCAGCTTAGAACATGTGATGATGAAAAGCAAATCTTATAAAGGAAAAAAGTCATAGACCCATATGGACTAAGCAAAATGATGGTTAAATACACAAAGCCAAAATTACTAGAATTGTAAGGAGAGCTTGATCCAAATACAGTTACAGTGGGCGATGTCAATACACAGCTCTCAGGCCAGTCAATAAAAAGGAATGATATAAAAGAATAACCAATACATTTGATTTAATAGGTGGAGATTCTTTTTTTTTCATGTGTGTAAAGTATAGTTGTTAAAACAGCAGAAACAGAGTAAAGAGGCCGTGGCTCCTCTGGGGCAGTGGCAGAGCAGGCCCCTGCATACTTACTTAGACCTGGGGAGGAAGGGCTCTATGCTCCAGCAGGTCTAGGGCTGGCAGGCAGGGAGGTGGGTTCTCACGTGTTGGCCCTCATGGCAAAGAATGGAGATCTGGTGGGGCTGATGGTGGGCTGGAGAAAGCCTGATCAAGATGTAGCTGTGGCCTCAGCCCCCTCCTCCAAGTCCCACACTGCAGGTAATCAGCAAAGAGAGCCCTGGCCCAGCACAGGACACGCCCCAGGTGGCGTTTTCACATGAGGCGGTCAAAGCACATGGCCAGCTCGTTGTCATCCAGCGCATTGCACATGGTGTGGTTGCGGTGCTCCAGCAGGAGGGCCAGGTAGAGGAACAGCATAAATGGGTTCCCCCAACCAGACTCCTGGGGTGGGGGCAGCCCCATTGGTGGTGTGGGTGGCAGGGACTTTCCAGGGTCTTTCTGGGAGCCTACCTCTCGCACCAAGGGGGAGCCGACAGCATGTCAGCAGTGGCAGACGCCTCCTGGGTGGATGGTGGAGATAAGGAAGATGGGGAACCAGGATGGGAAAAGGAGGAGAGCAGTGGGTCTGGGGAGTTTGGCAAAGGCTTGGAGAGGGACTTGGAGCTAATAAGGGTGGTTGGGTGGGGCAGCTGGACCAGAGGGTCCCTCCCGAAGCCCATGTTATCCCTGAGTTGCTGGAGGCCATCCAGGACGGCTTGTCTCAGGTGACACCCCCTGCTACCAGGCCCCTGGCTGGCTGTGGCCAGGTGGTCAATGGCATCTTCAAAGGTACTACCTCCTCCACTGGCAGGCCTTAGCATGTGCCTGTCACACGGGCTGCCCCCTGTGGCCACCAAAACCAGTGTCTGCCACTTAGCTGGGGGATCCAACCAGTTCTCCCTCATGTTCAGGAGGATCAGGGGACAGCGAACTTCAGGTGACCTCACACATGTAGAGGGCATCTTTGAAGGCGAACTCTCGCTTGAGCTCCAGCAGCAAATTCAGAGGAAAAGCAAACACTTTCACTCCTGTGTTATAATAGGAAAACAAAAATAAAGGACCTATATAGTTTAAGCACCAAAAGAAACTAGGAATTGATAGAAACGGAAATCAATGAGCTGGGAAACCAACACGCATCCCATTCATACTTCTTTTAGAGTGGATGAGCGACCCCACGCATGGACTGGTCTCTGCAAGCACTGATGAGACAGACCTGGGCACATCGTGATTTGCAGTTTCCCTGGGAAGGGGAATGGGGATAGCAGACACGTTCAAGACTAGGAATGAGAATAGAATTTGGAGAAAACCGTATTCCACACTCTGGCAATATGTTTGCAAACCTGGGGGGAAGGACTCCCCAGGATATGAGTCTCCTCAAGGGGATGCCAGGTCAGATTCTCGGGTGAAACCTGGCTCGATCACTCACTAGCTGTGTGACCTTATGCAAATCACTTAGCCTCTGTGTTCTTCAGTTCCTCATCTCTCATGGAAATAATGATAGTTTCTGCCTCTTGGGTGCTTGTGAGGACTAAAGGAGTTCATACATGGAAGTGCTCAGACCTGGCACATAGCAAAGGGTCAGGAAGGGGTGGAGTTGTTATTAAACGATGCTGGCACACAGGTTGTGCATCTGCAAAAAAAAAATACAACGTGTGGGCTGGGCGCGGTGGCTCACGCCTGTAATCCCAACGCTTTGGGAGGCCGAGGCAGATGGATCACAAGGTCAGGAGTTCAAGATTGGCCTGGCCAAGATGGTGAAACCCCATCTCAACTAAAAATACAAAAATTGGCCGGGCGTGGTGGCAGGTGCTTGTAGTCCCAGCTACTCAGGAGGCTGAGGCACAGAATTGCTTGAATCCGGGAGGCAGAGGTTGCAGTGAGCCGAGATCGTGCCACTGCACTCCAGCCTGGGTGACAGAGTGAGACTCTGTCTCAAAAAAAAAAAAAAAGGAAGAAAGAAAGAAAAAGAAAAAGAAAATCAATGTGCATTTCCATTTGCATTTGTAAAATCAACTCTTGATGGATTCAAAGTGAATAATAAAACAATAAAAATCTTAGCAGAAAATTAGGAATTAATCCTGGGGCAAGGAGTACCCTCCTAATCTAAACTAAAACAGGAGAGTTCTATTTAGCTTTATAAAAACTTTTATATAACAAAATATACCATAAATAAAGTCCGTGGATAAATGATAGATTCAGGAAAATACTAGTGATGCAGATGGCTGTAATATACAAAGAGCTCCTAGACACTGACAAGGAAAACACAAACCCTTCCAAGAAATGGGCAAATGCCAATGGCCATTGCACAGTGAGGAATGCACCAGCCACTAGGCGGCAGGGAAACGGCAGAGTGCCACACACTGCCAGGCCAGCTGGAACTACAACAGCCCCTTAGGGCCACCTTGGTGGATAGTCACCGGCAACACCTGTGAAGACTGACAAAGCCAGCATCCCTGGGATCTAACACGCAGAAATACACACGCCAAGACATGCAAAGCGGCCCATGGAGCATTGATCCAAAGTGGAAGGCAAAGTGGTCTCCCATCCACGGGGAACATTGTGGTTGCTTGCACATTCTACATGCTTACCACTGCTTTCACACGGCCATGAGGAGGAATGGACTCCAGCTCCCGGCCGCCCCGGAGGGAGTGGGGTCAGAAGATGCAGAAGAGGGTGCATGATGAGGCTCTGCTTTTAAAATGCTGACAGCTTCCAGTGTGTCATGTACATTTTTGTGTATGTCAAATAAGCACTGAGAAAAACTTAGGGAAAATATTGTGGATTACAGATGAGACACTCATATTGAGAAAGGGGCAAACCAAGTACGTACAAAAGAAAAAGTCTGAGCTAAACAATGTGTATTATGTTTGTAAAATTACATTTGTGTGATTATTGTGAAGAAACAAAACTTAAATTTTCTTTGCATTTTTCGAGTAAACATTATATTTCATGTGTGATGAGGGTGCATTCCGTGTCCGTTAAGATCCAGGACGGGGCTTCCCAGACCCCAAGAGACTGGCAGTACCAACCCAAGCGTGCCCTGGCATGTCCTCCTGGCATGCCCGCTGTGTCCCTTCCAGGATGGCCGGGGTGTGGGCTGGTCTGCAGAGGCTCTGCAGCTGGGGCTGCAGCCAGGCGGTGACTCAGGCAGGTTCCGCCTGGGCTAGGAGGGCCGGGCATTCCTGCTGTGAGGCTGCCCGTGCCTAACTCACCATGACTTGCACTTTGCTGCCATCCTGCCTGGCAGGCTGACTTAGCCAGGATGGCCCTAGTACCCACTTCCCCTCCAGCCAGCACTCATGCCTTCTGCCCCGCTAAGATGCCCTTTGTCCTGACTCGGCAGAGGCTTCCTGGGAGCCAGGGCCTGGGCCTGGGAGCCACAGCTTCCTGGGAGCAGGAAAGTCCAAGGGAGATGGGGTGAGGACTGGGGCCTCTGCAGCATCTTAGGGGAGGCTCCCCCTTGCTCGCACTCACCTCCGCTGGCTGCAAACCTGCAGCTTCTCTGACCCAAGGCACTATGACTGGCAGCAGATAAAGAGATGAAGAAGCCCCAGAAGTCCTTTCCTACAAGTCCCCAGAAGGTGTGGACACAGTGGGGAAATTGCCCCGGGCACAGCCAGTTCTGCTGACTTCATGCCTCTCCAAAGAGGGGCTTTGTAACAGTAACAGAGGGCTTTGTAACAGACTGACTGCTCTTGGCTGGGCACGGTGACTGGATTACAGCTCTCTGTGGCCTTCAACTCCTGGGCTCAAGCGATCCTCCCACCTCAGCTTCCCCGAGTAGCTGGGACTGCAGGTGCGTGCCACCACGCCCAGCAGATTTTTACATTTTTTGTAGAGATAGGGTCTTGCTTGGTCACCCAGGCTGGTCTCAAACTCCTGACCTCAGGTGATCTGCCCGCCTCTTCCTCCCAAAGTGCTGGGATTACAGGTGTGAGTCACCGTGCCTGGCTGAACACTAAGTCGTATTATTTCTACCTAAATATGTGTTTGTACGCACTAAGCAAGCTCTCTTTATTCCCCCACCTCCCCACCCTTCCCAGCCCTGGTAACCACCGATCTATTCTCTATCTTCATGAGATCCACTTGTTTGGCTCCCACACATGAGGGAGAACATGTGGCATTTGTCTTCCTGAGTCATAACACTTTTAACCAACGGGGAGGTCCCTGAGACCCACTGCCTAATTTTCTCCTTTCTACTCTCTCTTTTTTTTTTGAGACAGGGTCTACCTGGTCACTCTGTCCCCCAGGCTGGAGTGCACTGGCATGATTACAGCTCACTGAAGCCTCGACCTCCTGGGCTCAAGTGATCCTCCCGCTCAGCCTCTCAAGTAGCTGGGTGCATGCCACCACGCCCAGCTAATTTTTTTTTTTTTTTTTTTTTGAGATGGAGTCTCGCTCTGCCCTCATCCAAGTTGGAGTGCAGTGGCGCAATCTTGGCTCACTGCAACCTCCACCTCCCAGGTTCAAGCGATTCTCCTGCCTCAGCCTCCCGAGTAGCTGGGATTACAGGCATGCACCACCACGGCCAGCTAATTTTTGTATTTTAGTAGAGATGGGGTTTTACCATGTTGGCCAGGCTGGTCTTGAACTCCTGAGCTCAAGTGATCTGCCCGCCTCAACCTCCCAAAGTGCTGGGATTACAGGCGTGAGCCACCGCACCCAGCCTCCTTCCTTTTTTTTATTTTTTGTAGAGATGAGTCTCTCTATGTTGCCCAGGCTCCTTCTACTCGTATAAAGAAAGTGGTTTCCCCTCCCAACAACTATATCTAATCTAAATGTTCCTTGAAATTTAAGCAAACTCGCTATTCATTCATTCATTCATTCATTCAACACTTTTTTTGCTAGCTTTGGGTGAATTTGCTGAAAATCGTCTTGCTAAATGATTGCTTTTCCATCAGAGGGATGGTTAGGTGTAGTGGGCTGCTTCCGTATCTTCAGAGGTCTCCCTTGTGCCAGGATATGGTGCTGAACAAAAGTTGAGATCTCTGCCTTTGTGGACATTCCAGTCCAAGGGGGAATAAGGAGAGACATAGTCACACAAACAAAGATATGAACGCAGGTTGTGACAGGTTCCTGGAAGTAAGGAAGGTTTTATTTGAGAGGTGAGAGAGGTCAGGGAAGCTGAGATCTGAACATGGATAAGAGTTAGTCTGGTGCAGAGTGGAAGAAAAAGTGTCCCAGGGAGCAAGAACAGCATGTGCAAAGGCCTTGTGGTAGGAAATTGCCTGGTTAAGTCAAGGAATGCCAGCAGACTGGAGTGCAGTGAGAATGGTGGGAAGTGGTGCGAAGTGAGGCTGGCAAGGCAGCCAGGAGCCAGGCCAGGCAGGGGCTCACAGGCCATGGGAGGAAGCTTCCTGACAGCAAGGGGGTGCCACCCAAGGATGTGAATCAGGGGAGAGACATGCTCAGGTCCTTATCGTCCGCATGTCTCTCTGGCAGCCACTTGGAGAAGGCAGCTGAGCCTGACTCAAGGAGAGTAGGTAGAGGGCAAGAACAGTGGCCTGGGAGAGAGAGAGTGAGTGACAGCCCAGGTGAGGATGAGGCATTGGGGATGGAGTATTAGGACTTGCAAAGATTAACTCATGCTTGCAATCCCAGCACTTTGGGAGGCTGAGGCGGGAAGATGAATTGAGCCCAGGAGTTTGAGACCAGCCTGGGCAACATAATGAGACCCATCTCTACAAAACATTTAAAAATTAGCCAGGCATGGTGGTGGGTTCCTGTAGTCACAAGGTGGGAGGATCGCTTGAGCACCGGAATTCAAAGCTGCAGTGAGCCGTGATGGCACCACTGCACTCCAGCCTGGGCAACAGAGCAACACCCTGTCTCAAAAAAAAAAAAAAAAAAAGAAAAAAGAAAATCTGAAAAGCAAGTATCTGCAAGTTTCTAGCACAACCCACACTCCCACACTTTTGCCACTACTGAAACTATAACCAAAACCCAAACACGCAAACAAGGATTTTGTTCTTCGTAGATTTGAACTGCTTTTAGGCTCCTTGCTCTGACGCTTCCACCACTACTGCTGCCACTTTTGATGACACCCACACCACCTAACCTTTCCAGGATGCCCTCGGCCCGCCAGGCACTGTTCTGGTCACTTCGTGTACTCAATGCTGTGTTGCTGGCTTTTGCTAGTTGCTTCCATGGTTCTCCCAGGGGAGGGCCGCTGCCACAAGAAGTCAGCTCCGAATGGCCTTCGGCCTTGCATTCTGCCCTCTACTCAAGATCCAAATTCCCAGGAGAGTCAGGGAGGCCTCATGGGGAGCCCACCCCAACCCATGGCTGGCCTGGAGAAGGCACCTGGTTGATCATCTCACCAAGTAGGAAGGGGTTGCCTGCAAAGATAATCAGCTGCTGCCACCAGAAAAGGGGAGAGGCTGGCACAGGCTCGGTCTTCTCCCCTCTCAGGAGGCACCCCACTTTGCACCTACCACCCAGTCCAGCCCCTGCACAGGTGCGAGGTCCTGCAGATGCTTCTTTCTGCTGTTTCTGGAATGTTTCCCATTCTGTTAGTCTTATTTGGGGGTCTCGTCATTTCTTGCCTGCATTGCTGGAAGCTGCAGCCTTTGGGCTAGACCTTTCTCACACTGTGCCCTGTCCAGGGGGTTCTCTAAAACAAAAAATAGCAGACATTTGTCTGTCTGATAATCTCCTCAGCGCCCTGCACCCCCACAGCCAGCCTGGCCCACAGGCCTCCGTGAGCCCCCGCCCCAGGAGAGTCATTCACCTCCACACCTCCTGCTGGCAACAGTGGACACATCGCACTTTTTCGTGACATAACGTTCCCAGCCTCTGTGCCTTTGCTTCTGCTCTTCCAGCCCCCTTGCTGTTCCTTGCCCAAATGCTTCTCACTCAGCTCAGATGATGTTCCCTCCCACGGACTCTCACCCCAGCCCCTCTAGCATCCTCTGCCTACCTGGTTACTACAGTGTTCACATTATTTTGAAATTTCCTGTTTATTTTGTCAGTCAATAAATATTTATTGAGCATCTACTATAAATGCTGTATGGAGGTTACAGCAGTGAACAAATCAAATTCTAGCTGTCAGGAGTTAAGGGACAGGTAGCAAACAAGATATAAACGCTCCAGAGAAAAAATAATGGAGGAAGACGACAGCATTGTGCTATTTTCCACAGCACATTGGAGCGTAGCCGTGTGGGTGGATGTAGGGGAAGGGGGCTCCAGGTGGAGAGAAGCAGGAGGGCCAGAGCACATCCTCAGGACTCGTAGGCCAGGACCGGAACCTTGTGTTTTCCTCGAATGAAATGGGAAGCAGGGACCCCATGCTGGTAAGCAGTCTGCCTGCAGGCGGGTGAGGGTGGCGGGAAGCGCCTGGTGAGAGGGGCCGAGAGTCTGTTCCACACCTGCCTCCTCCCCACAGCGTGGTGCAGAGCAGGAGCCCAGCGAACATTGATCAGACAGCGTGGGAACGGCTTTTCCAGACTCCTTCCTTCCCAAGCATCTCTGGTTTTCGGTGACCACACAGACCCTTGGCCCTCTTCTCAGCTATTCAACGAGAGAGCAGATTTATGGATTGGAGACCCCCATCAAAAGTCCCCAGCCTGTGGCTCCCCAGGGTTAGGATCTCTGACTCAATGGGGCCCTGTGCACACTGGGGGATGTGAAGGGCCCGGGGCAGCGGTGGCTGGGGGTGCGTTTCGGGGGAGCTGCATGCTCTCACTGTGGTTCGTGGCTGAGCCCTGCCGATCTTATGTAACCAGAGAACTCAGAGAACCGCATCTGGCAGCGGCAAGTCTGGAAAGCTGGAAGAGCTCCATGCCAGGCTGAATCAATCAGCAGCCCCCACGCCCAGGGCAAACATAGGCTCTTTTGAAGATTGGAGATGTGCCCTGCCCAAGCCTTCAGAAACATTCTCGCATTTCAGAAGTGAACAAAAGCAAACAGCCCGGGACCTAATCCCCAAAACCTGGGCTGTAGGGAGCAGAGGTCCAGAGGACGCCACACCCCACATTTGAATATTTTTTTTTCTTGTCACGCAAACTTCCTGGGCAGGAACTCCAAGGGCTCAATGGACGGGAAGCAGGGTCCTTAAATACGTCCCCTCTTGGCTCTTGCCGTTCCAGGAGCCCCAGTTACCGGGAGAGGCTGTGTCAAAGGTAATCCTCTTCCCTGCATTCCTTATTTTTTCTCTTGTCTAGGTGGAGTCTGCACTCAGAGCCGGGGCCCTAAGTGTCAAGAGTCCTACATCATCTCTCCAGGGGGTCCCTGCCTCTGGGACCATCATCTCTGGAGCATCCTCCTGGACCTCTGGCAGCTCTGCCATCCCCCAAACCAGGAGGCAGAGGTCCCAGGGATCCGCGGAGCAGGGACACCAAGGTGGCCGTGGAGTGAGAGGCCCTGATGGGCCGTCAGACTCCATGACTGGAAGGAAGGCAGCAGAGCCGAGTGCTAAAGGCATGAGCTGCTGACAGAGATGCATGTGGGTTCAAACCCTGACATGCCACCTGCTAACTGTGAGATCAGATACAGCATTAAACGTTTCTCAGTCTCCCTTTCCTCATCTGTAAAATGCACTCATAACCGTTTCTTCTTCATGGGCATCACTACAGAGCTTTTGTGAGGATGGAAGGCAATGAGGAGGGGAGGAGGTGTCACTGGGGGGCAAAGTCAACACTGGCACAGGTGAGAGGAGCGGGGTGCAGGAATGTGGGGTGTGAGGCGACGGGCTCTGGGGAGGCCCCCAGTGCATGCTGCAGCAGCTCCCATTTGGGTGCAGCTGCGACGTGATGGTGTCCACTCATCTCTGTGAAGTGGCACCTTTGTTAACCTGTCTCTCGGGGAAGTCCTGGGAAGGCCGTCCAGCCCAGAGACCACAGTTCCAAGTGGCGATGCTGGGGTGCAAGGCCAATCCCGTCCCACGCTCACCAGGCTCTTCCCACCTGGGCTGCCTGCCTTGGTTTGACCGTACAAGGCTCGGGAGAGAAGCGGGACCTTCTCTCCTGGGTTGTGGTCAGCAGGAGGGGCCTGGCCCATGGGACTGAGGAGGTCCCAGTGAGGGGGCTTTCCCAGCCTCCTATCAGAACATAGGGAGGGACCATGGAAGGGCCAGGCTTAGAGCACCCTCAATGCCAGCAGGTCCCTCCTCCCTGTGCAGAAAGCCTGGGATTAGGGGTCAGCCTATGGGGAGGGGAGGCAGAGGAAGGATTGGAAGCCACTCGCTGGAATGTAGGCAGGACCATATATCTATATACAATATAATTATATATTACATATGATATATAGGGTTTTTTAAAAAAATGGAAATACCCTATTTCTGCTGATGTTAAAAGTTATGCCGGGTCTGCAAGTGGGCTGAGTATCTCAGGAAGGGGAGTAAGGAACTGGTAACAGTGGCCCCTCTGTGGGGCAGCACCTGACAGCTGATGGAGCAGGGAGGAGGGAGGCAGACTTTTTTCTGTGCCCCTTTGCTATATTTTACATTTTGTTTCATGAGCATGTAGTGCCTATCTTAAAACGCACCAAAATTTAAAAAATACAAGCTCATTGCAAAAAGTCAAACATTGCATAAGAGGAAAACAGATCATCAATAATTCCACCCCCATCAGTTGTCTCATCGTGTCGGGGGCTACCGTTCTAGTCCTTTCTTGCATGTTAGAGCGTGCACGCCCACACACACACGCACACGCGCGCACACACACGCACATGCACACACACGCACGCACACACACACGCACATGCACACACACGCACACACACACATGCACACACACGCACACGCACACACACACACGCACACACACACATGCACACGCCTGGTACATCTGTTGTTCTGTAACTTGTTTTCTGTTTTTCTTTCTTTCTTTCTTTCTTTTTCTTTTTTTAGATGGAGTCTCGCTGAAAGTAATTATATTACTTACCCGAGGCCTTCAAATACCGCTTCCACTGACAGCCTCTTGACTTCTAGCAAATCTCACTAACCTTGCCTTACCTCCTACCACTAATCTAATAGGAGAACTCTGTGATTATGGCTCCATTCTCCCGGTCAAAGTGCTGGAGTGCAATGGCCCAATCTCGGCCCACTGCAACCTCCTCCTCTCAGCTTGGTTCAAGCAATTCTCCTGCCTCAGCCTCCCAAGTAGCTGGGACTACAGGTGCCTGCCACCACTCCCAGATAATTTTTGTATTTTTAGTAGAGACAGGGTTTCACCATGTTGGCCAGGCTGGTTTTGAACTTCTGACCTCAGGTGACCCGCCCACCTCAGCCTCCCAAAGTGTTTGCTAGGATTATAGGCGTGAGCCACCGCGCCCGGCCTGTAACCTGTTTTCTTTCTTATCCCCAGTGCCTGAGACACCCCTGGTGCAGAGAGAGCCCCTACAAACATGCTGAATAGCCTGCTCCACCTAATCCCTAAATACTGCACAGTAAACCCTTACGTGGGTGTGACAGGAGTCATTTAAACTGTCTCCTTTCTTTCGGATCTTTGGGATGTTTACAATACTTCCCTGTTATAGAAAACAGTGATGACTTTCTTATTCGTGAATGTTTAGGAAAGGCTGTAGGACCTTTTCGTCACAGAGAAGTATGTTTGAAAAACTTTTGCCACATATTGCCAAATTGCCCCCAGCAGGGCCATCCCGATTTGCCACTATACTTTCGTGTATTGGTAGCAGGAATCGCCTCCACACCTCTTTGTGGAAATCTGCAGCTCTCTGAATCCTTGGCGGGCATGGGCGTGCGTCTCCCAGGTGTGGCACGCGTGGTTTACACACCAAGCCTGGTTCAGCTCTGCCAAGAAACCAGCGCTTTTTAGAACAATGGCTTAGCCAGGAGGGTGGTGCTGGGTTTTTCTTTATCGGCTTGGGTGTGGAATCGCGGACTGCGCCCCTCCAATCTGATCTGGAGAGTGGCTGACTGCGTGTGCAGAGCTCTGGGGGTGTTGGTCTGGGATTGTGCCATCAGCTTTGCAAGCAAGTAAGGGAGCGGAAAAGGCCGGGAAAGGCCCTGCCGCGAGCACGCTGCCAAGAGCCCCCAGCAGCAGTTCGGCTTAGGACTCGGGTTGCGGCGGGTGTCACCTTCTCAGGGGCTAGCAAGGCAGCCAGGGCCCAGGCGTCTGAGTGAGGGGCGGGAGAGGAGGCGAGGCAGAAAGTGGACCTTCCAGCGGAAAGGCCATTTTCCCCAAGGCCGAGCCCAGGGAAGTCCCTTCCTATAGAATTCAGGCAGGGTGGGAGGCAGGGCGCGCTCGTGCCCCTCAGCCAGCTGCAGGTGCTCTCTGTCCCCAGGCGCCATGAGCAAGATCAGCGAGGCCGTGAAGCGCGCCCGCGCCGCCTTCAGCTCGGGCAGGACCCGTCCGCTGCAGTTCCGGATCCAGCAGCTGGAGGCGCTGCAGCGCCTGATCCAGGAGCAGGAGCAGGAGCTGGTGGGCGCGCTGGCCGCAGACCTGCACAAGGTGCTCAGGCTGGGCGGCCGCCTTCTGCCAGTGTCGGGGCCATGCGATGGGGCGTGGGGGGAGGGGCTGGGGAGAGTGCGACCCAGAGAGGTTCAGGAAGGACTTGGGGCCACCTGGCCCCTCGGTCGCGGAGACTGGGCGCACCGCCCTCCCCTCCGCCGCGCCCCGCGCGCCCCCGCCGCCTCTTCCGCCCTCTGGCCTTTTCCTCCTGGCCCGGCCTCCGCGTCCCGCCCGCAGCGTCCCCCATTTCAACTTCCTGCTGCCCCGACACCCTGAACTTCTGGTCCTCCCCATTCCTCAGCCCCACGCAGGACCACTTGGTTCTCCACACCAGGAACCAGAGCAGCTTGGCACCCCGGAGGGCATGGGGGGCTCTCCCCTCCCTCCCAGTTCTCACAGGGGCTGTTCCGTCCCTCACCCTGAGCAAGACCAGACACCTCTGCATTCGCAGCCCCCTGCTGTCCCCACATGCTGCCTGGGGTCCAGCGCTCCGGAGCCCATCCTCCCACCGACTACCCTCTTTGCTCCTGCACTTTTATTTTTATTTTATTTTATTTATTTATTTGAGACAGAGTCTCGCTCTGTCGCCCAGGCTGGAGTGTAATGGCGCGATCTCGGCTCACTGCAACCTCCGCCTCCCGGGTTCAGGCAATTCTCCTGCCTCAGCCTCCCCAGTAGCTGGGACAACAGGCGTGTACCACCATGCCCGGCTAATTTTGTATTTTTAGTAGAGACAGGGTTTCGCCATGTTGGACAGGCTGGTCTTGAACTCCTGCCCTCAGGAGTTCCTCAGGAGGAGTTCTCGGCCTCTCAGAGTGCTGGGATTACAGGCATGAGCCACAGCGCCGGGCCTGCTACTGCACTTTTCAAGAAATGGCTCAGGACTTCTCATCTTAAACCAGAAACAACAAGGAAACCCATTCTGTTGACTTTACAGCTTCTGTGTTGCTCTTCACAGCCCAAGTTTATAAAAGAGACGCGTTTTCCGCCGTCTGCATCTCCTCTTCTCACCCCTGCTCCCCACAGGAGGCCCTGAGCGCCCAGCAGCCCTTGGTCCTGCATCCCCCTCCAGACAACTAAAGGGCCTGGCTCCCTCCACCCTGCCCGGATCCAGCTCCCAGTGCCCGAATCTATCCCCCCTCCCCGGATCCATCCCCCCCTCCCCGGATCCATTCCCACTGCCTGAATCTACTCTCCCCTGCCCGGCTCTATTCCCCCTACCTGGATCCATTCCGTTGCCCATGCCTGGTCCCTTCACCGGCTCTCTCCCCTGGGGCCGCAAACCTACCTGGGCCCCCCTCTGGCAGAAAGGGGTCCTCTCAGACCCACAGGTCCAACGGCTAATCCTGGCTCTGCTTCCCCTGGGAGCCTTCTGCGGCTGCCCCCACCCTGGGCTGGGTGAGTGACCCCCATCACCCTGGCAGCTGAGCAGTGGGGCTCCCCACTCGCCCCAGCTGCAGGCGGGCCCTGGCCCTGGAAGCTCACTCCGGCTCTGTCGCTGCAGAATGAATGGAACGCCTACTATGAGGAGGTGGTGTACGTCCTAGAGGAGATCGAGTACATGATCCAGAAGCTCCCTGAGTGGGCCGCGGATGAGCCCGTGGAGAAGACGCCCCAGACTCAGCAGGACGAGCTCTACATCCACTCGGAGCCACTGGGCGTGGTCCTCGTCATTGGCACCTGGAACTACCCCTTCAACCTCACCATCCAGCCCATGGTGGGCGCCATCGCTGCAGGTGCATGGCCCTGTGGGAAGGGAAGCTGGGGGAGCACCGTCCCCCAGCGTGGAGCCAAGCCAGGATGGGCTCAGGCCTGTGTTAAGAGTCCTGGGGTCAGATAAGGGTTTGCTGGGTCTGTCACAGGAGGCTGTGGGGACCAAGCTGTTTAGCCAGGCCTCTTGGTGCCTGAGGTCCAGTCAGGCTCAGGTGTCCACACCTGGTGATACAGAGAGGGCCTGCCTTCCCCCACCCCTGTTGGGGGGCTGGAGCTTCTGTCACCTAATATGCATCAGGGCTTCCTTCCTAGAATGGGCCAGCGCTGTTCTACCAACCGGGCCCCCAGAGCCTCTCTCCCCTTTCTGCTTTTCCTCCAACATCTCAGCAACTCAGAGGGCCAGGTGGTGCAGCTCTGGCCAGCGTGTGCCCGTGTGTGTCCCTCTGTCATGTGCCCGTGCGTGCTCCTGGGTGTGCCCCGTGACATGTGCTTGTTTGCTAACAACTCTTCCATCCACTGTCCCGAGGACACACAATGGAGGGGAGGCTTCAGGTGTGGTCCTTGGGAGGGCAGAGCCTCTGGTGAAGTACCCTGGGCATAGGCCTGGCTCGGTGTGCTCTGCAGGGAACTCAGTGGTCCTCAAGCCCTCGGAGCTGAGTGAGAACATGGCGAGCCTGCTGGCTACCATCATCCCCCAGTACCTGGACAAGGTGAGTTGCCCTCCAGGGCCTCGTAACTCCATGGCCTCATAACTGAGCTAGGGCCAGGTCTTTGGGGGGTGAGAAATAGTGAATTCTTGCAGCAAGGGGCCAAGCTACTGGTGGGGCTGAGGATTGTTCTTAGCAGCTGCCCTCTCTCATTGGGGTGAACAGAGCCCCTGGGCCAGGAAAGGCGGTCTACTGCCAGTTACTGCTACCCCCCGCCCAAGGTGGGGTGCTGAGCTTCGGGGCTGCTGGTCTTGGCCACTGCAACTCACCCACACTTGCAAGAGCGAGGAGGGGCTTGGTCTTTGCTGAGCCTCCCCTCTCTCCTTGCATGGAAGGATCTGTACCCAGTAATCAATGGGGGTGTCCCTGAGACCACGGAGCTGCTCAAGGAGAGGTTCGACCATATCCTGTACACGGGCAGCACGGGGGTGGGGAAGATCATCATGACGGCTGCTGCCAAGCACCTGACCCCTGTCACGCTGGAGCTGGGAGGGAAGAGTCCCTGCTACGTGGACAAGAACTGTGACCTGGACGTGGCCTGCCGGTGAGAGGCACGGGCCTGCTGGCTGCAGCAGTCCTTACTCTGCTTTCCAAGCACACATGACTGCACCTCATGCTGTGGGTCCACTCTGAGTAACACAGACACCCCCTGCCTCATGGAGCAGTGGTCCTTGCAGAAACTTACATGGGGGTAGGGGTGGGGACCACATGCACAGAAGACGTGTGGGGAGTCCCAGAAGGCTTCCTGGAGGGGGAGAGGTCTAGGCTGAGCTCTGTTTGCTGAGTGCGCATCACTGGGGAAGTGGTACTCCAAGCAGAGGCTGCAGAAAAAGCAGCTGTGGGACGTTCAGGACACAAGGAACTGTACTGGGTTCAGCCCTCTGATGGGGCAGGGCAATCTGAGTTCTGGAGAGCAGGCCCAGAGGGGAGAAGGGCCACCGCTGCTCGGGGTCTGGGGCAGAACCCGTATCTGCACCTCCTGACCCTAGCCAGGGCTCTGACCACCTCCATATCCCACATCTGTGGCCCCAGAGATGTAGGGGGGCCCGAGTAGCAGTGACACCTGGCTGTGCAGGACAAGGGCGTGATCAGGGAGCACGGAGGTTGCCCTCAACAGACGTCCTCTAGAAATTCCCCACCAGTCGCCGGTGAACATGATCAGGGCCATTGGGTCTGCTCGGTCCAGTGTCTAGAAGTGAGCAGACCGCTTGGGAGGACTCACTGGTGGCAAGGTCACAGCCGATGGCTTCTGCTGACCAGAGAGCTCAGGGGTCTGCAAAACGAGATGCAACTCCTGGGGAACCTTTTGGATTTAGTCCAGTCTGGGATTCTCACAGACGCATCGCCTGGGGGAAATTCATGAACAGTGGCCAGACCTGCGTGGCCCCTGACTACATCCTCTGTGACCCCTCGATCCAGAACCAAATTGTGGAGAAGCTCAAGAAGTCACTGAAAGTGAGTGTTGACCCCTTGGCAGGGTGGGATGAGAGGCTGTAAGGCACAAGGGGGGCCTGGCCCCTTAACCAACTTCTACAGATTTGGAAACACTGGATTTATTTTCTTCTAATATAAACATAATGCAAGCTAGGCATGGTGGCTCACACCGGTAATCCCAGCACTTTGGGAGGTAGAGAGTGGAGGATCACTTGAGGCCAGAAGTTTGAGACCAGCCTGGGTAACATAGCAAGATCCCATCTTTACAAAATATGTTTTTAAATTAGCCAAGCATGGTGGCATGGTGGTGCATGCCTGTTGTCTCAGCTACTTAGAAGGCTACGGCGAGGCTGGAGCATTGCTTGGGCCCAGGAGTTTGAGGCTGCAGTGAGCTATGATTGCACCACTGCACTCCAGCCTGGGCAACAGAACAAGACCCTGTCTCTAAGAGAAAAAAAAAAGATAATGCACACTCACTATAGATTATTTAGAAAAGATTAAAAAGCATAAAGAAGAAAAAAGCTCCACCCAGAATCCCACCACCCAAAGACAGACACTGCTGGCCTGTGTCTGTGCAGCCTTTGGGCAGGACGAGGCTCTGCGTCCTTACCCGAAGCCCCCACCTCTTCTCCACAGGAGTTCTACGGGGAAGATGCTAAGAAATCCCGGGACTATGGAAGAATCATTAGTGCCCGGCACTTCCAGAGGGTGATGGGCCTGATTGAGGGCCAGAAGGTGGCTTATGGGGGCACCGGGGATGCCGCCACTCGCTACATAGGTGCGTGACCCCTGAAGAGCACAGCCCACCTGCCCAGGCTGCAGGGGTCCCCAGCAAGTTCACAGCAAGTGGGCACAGATGCTTGATAAGCGGACACGACCTCGGGATGGGTATAAATTGCTTTCACCAGGGAGCCTGCGGTAGACTCCAGCAGGCAGGGGCTGAGGACAGCCCCTGCTTCAACCTCAGAATCCCCTCTCCCAGCAAAGGCCCAGAAAGAGGGGCCTCATCTCCCTGCCCCTCTGAAGCAGCAGGAGCAGGGACAGCAGAAGCCACAGGAGCCCCAGGTGTGCCCAGCCGTGAGGGGCCCCCAGTGCCCAGGCTGTGGGTCACCAGATGGGACCCTCTTGGCCCCGAGTTTGTCAAGGAGACAAGAGAATTCTGGCAGGGCATCAGGTGGCCGGCAGGTGCAGTGCCTGCTCCTGGAGACAGATCTCGGGTCCTTCCGTACAGGTTAACCTATAGTTGTCCCCAGTGGTCTGCTCAGATGGCATCCAGGACGCAGGTGCCTAGGGTACCTCTCTGAGGCCTCGTCCCTGCCCTTTTCCAAGCCTGGGCAGGTTTGCCTGGAAAAGGGTTGGAGCAGGGGTCTAGGTGCTTGCACTTTCCATCCGCGTGGGGGTCTCTGCGCCGTCCAACTCTGGCTTGTTTCCTGCCTCAGCCCCCACCATCCTCACGGACGTGGACCCCCAGTCCCCGGTGATGCAAGAGGAGATCTTCGGGCCTGTGCTGCCCATCGTGTGCGTGCGCAGCCTGGAGGAGGCCATCCAGTTCATCAACCAGCGTGAGAAGCCCCTGGCCCTCTACATGTTCTCCAGCAACGACAAGGTGGGTGGTGGGCCTGGGGTGCCCTCTGCCAGGGTCCTGGGGCCCACAGACCTGGGTTCAAACTGCAGCTTCACTGTTCTCTGGCTGTGTGACCTTGGGCAAGTCACTGGATCTTTCTGAGCTCCTTTCACCTCGTCTGTAAGATCAGGACAGCAGCATCACCTGAGGGCACTGAATGAGCGATCCTTGCCCAGGGCCCTGCACACAGGCATGGGGGCGGCTGCTGTCACTCTTTGCTCATGTGGTGCTGACAGCCACGCGGTCTGCAGGAAGAGCAGGAGATGGAGGCTAAGGCTCTGCCTCCACCTGCTCCTGTCCTTGTGGCTCCAGGCTATACCCAGGCAGGGTCGGGTTGGGGGCTGGGGCATCCTGTGGGCAGGAGACTGAGGCCAGTGGCTGGGTCCTGGTGCAGGTGATTAAGAAGATGATTGCAGAGACATCCAGTGGTGGGGTGGCGGCCAACGATGTCATCGTCCACATCACCTTGCACTCTCTGCCCTTCGGGGGCGTGGGTGAGTCTGGGGCTGAGCTTGCTGCCTCCCTCTGGGCCCCAGGGCTGGGCACACTCACCCAGCAAATTCAGGAGGGACCACCTCCTGCAGCCCGGGCGGCAGCCTCCCATTAGCCTCTTCCATTTGGACCTTGGCCTCTGCGTGCCATCCATCAGACACACTTAACCTGGGAGCCTAGAGGTTCCTAGAGGTCACCTGGTGCACCGGCCTATTTCATGGAGGCCTGAGAAAGGTGACCCAGGCCAGAGGTCACACAGCCATTTAGTGGCAGAGCTGGGATTAGACCCTTGCTGGGCACTCCCACAGTGTGGATGCCCTGGGGACACCCTAGACATTGGCCACCCTCAGGAGGCCCAGAAAAGGGCCACAACCTGGGGCTGGGTGCTGAGGGCCATAGGATTTGAGGGAAGGATGGGTGATGGTGGCTGGGGCTCTGCCTCCCTGTCCCTGTGGTTCTGGGATACACCCAACAAGGTGGAGAGGGAAACCTGGGGCGTCCTGGGGGCAGGATGCTGAGCCCTGTGCTTACTTCTCCTCCGCAGGGAACAGCGGCATGGGATCCTACCATGGCAAGAAGAGCTTCGAGACTTTCTCTCACCGCCGCTCTTGCCTGGTGAGGCCTCTGATGAATGATGAAGGCCTGAAGGTCAGATACCCCCCGAGCCCGGCCAAGGTGAGAGGGGGAAGGCGCTGTGGGGGAGACCGGGCTGTGCGGGACCAGGGCCTGGGGATCACTGCCCACTCCGTGTCCCTTTCACAGATGACCCAGCACTGAGGAGGGGTTGCTCCGCCTGGCCTGGCCATACTGTGTCCCATCGGAGTGCGGACCACCCTCACTGGCTCTCCTGGCCCTGGGAGAATCGCTCCTGCAGCCCCAGCCCAGCCCCACTCCTCTGCTGACCTGCTGACCTGTGCACACCCCACTCCCACATGGGCCCAGGCCTCACCATTCCAAGTCTCCACCCCTTTCTAGACCAATAAAGAGACGAATACAATTTTCTAACTCAGCAAATGCAGGCATATGGCACTTCTTTTGTAGCCCTGCACCCACCGACCTGTCCTGCCTGATCCCACTGCCCCACGCAGTGTGGTCACTGATGTACCAGCAAAGGCCTCTCATCAGCTGGTGGGGCCTTGTGCCAGGAGGCCATGCACGGTGTCAGGGTGACACTTGTCTTCCTTTTAGACTTGGGGAGGTCAGCTCCATCTCTGGTGTGTCCAGCCAAGGAGAGCCTGAGGAGGCTGGGCCTTGTCGGCACAGTGGCTCAGATATGGGGAGCTGATGCCGTCTCTTCCCAGACTAGCTTCACTATCTCGGGCAGGGGCCACTTTGTGAGACGATGCAGTAGTCAACACAAAACGCCCTGGTGATGTCATAGTGCTGCTCGTGGGGGCAAAGGACCCGAGGCCAGGCAGCACCAGCACCCACGGTGCCTCAACTGCATGGCGTTGGGCTGCAGCTGGCCCAGAGTCCCGCCCCAGAGGCCTGAGGAGCCAGGACAGGGTCTGGCAAGGGGAGTCTGAAGCTGGGTGTTCTGGGGGCTGGTTAGACTCAGAGCCAGGAAGCCTCCCAGCCTGGGCCTGGCAGGTAAGGGGAGGCTGCTGGGGGAGACCTGCTGAGGCTGGGCCTGTCCCTCAGGGTCCTCTACACAGACTCTCCTGGTATCATGCAGGAAAGCCCTCCCGGCTTTTGCTGAGATTTCCTTGTGAAAACATAGAGTTTTGTGCCACCACCAACAGGTGTGCCTGGCCCCACCTGTGCCTGCTCCCAGCAAAAGCCCACCCTCCACCTGGCCCGTGCCCCGCCACCACCACCCCCTTCCCACTCCTGACCTTACTCTCTCTCCTGCATCTTCAGTTTCCCCTTCTGTCCTGGACCATTCCTATTCTCTAGTGTCTTGAACCTTATTCCAAGTCCCCCAGACCCCAAATGCAACCAGAAAAACCGTTAAGTGTTACCTGTGCTTCCTTCCCTCCAGTGAGGGGGTGGGAGCAGGAGCAGAGAGGAAACTGTTTTCTTATGTTTTGTTTTGTTTGGATGTTTCCCGCGTGCACCTGTGACTTATTGTATACCCAGAGAATTGAGCCAAACTAAATCTTGGCTGGGAGTGGTGGCTCATGCCTATAATCCCAGTACTTTGGGAGGTCAAGGTGGGAGGATCCCTTAAGCCCAGGAGTTCAATACCAGCCTAGGCAATAGAGACCCTGTCTCTACTAAAAATAAAAAATTAGCTGGGTGCGATGGTGTGTGCCTGTAGTCTCAGCTACTAGAGAGGCTGAGGCAGGAGGATCACTTGAGCACAGGAGTTCGAGGCTGTAGTGAGCTGTGATGGTGCCACTGCACTCCAGCCTGGGAGCCACAGTGAGACCCTGTTTCTAAAAAAATTTTGAAAACCAAAACCAAGAACAAAACAAAATAATATTTTCTCCTAACTGGCTCCCCCTGCGGCAACTGCCTCATGTCTCTACGCTCCTTCCCGGCAAGACTCATCTGAATGGTTGTTCTCAAACAGCGCTTCCTGTCCCCACTAACTTCCGCTTGCCCAGGTGACCCTCCCTCACCTCTGTCCTACAGGGAAGCCCTGGCTCTTGACCAGGCAGGCACAGTCTCGTGCGGGCAGATCCCCAGGGTCTCGCAGCCACCTTGGGCATCTCCACTGCCCTGCCACCTCCTTCCGTCTGACCCCAACCTCCCTCGAACACTCTGTTCTCCGGGTTCCTGGACCCCACGTGCTCCAGTTCTCCTCCCTCACCAGCTTGTGTTCCCAAGTTAGTCTCCAGCCCTCCTGACCTTGAGCTCCTGACTCATATACCCGACAACTGACTTGAACTGTGAACTGGAGTCTCAATAGGAAATTAACACTTACGTGCCCAAAGGAGAACTCTTGATTTTCCCCTCTAAGCCACTCGTTTTTTGTTTTTTGTTTTTGAGGCAGAGTCTCTCTCTGTTGCCCAGGCTGGAGTGCAGTGGCATGATCTTGGCTCACTGCAACGTCTGCCTCCCGGATTCAAGCGATTCTTCTGCCTCAGCCTCCCGAGTAGCTGGGACTACAGGAGCGTGCCACCATGCCCAGCTAATTTTTATATTTTTAGTAGAGACAGGGTTTCACCATATTGGCCGGGCTGGACTCAAACTCCTGACCTCGTAATCTGCCCGCCTCGGCCTCTCAAAATGTTGGGATTACAGGTGTGAGCCACCGGGCCTGGCCTAAGCCATTCTTTCCCAGTGAATGTCACCCTGCAGAGTGGCTGAGGCCAAAACCTAGGAGTCAGCCTTTACTCCCAGCTTTCCTTCAAGTTCAAGACTTCCGCAAGCCCCCAGGGGAGCACCTTCAACTATCACAAAAACGTGTCCAACTCTGCATTTTCACCCTCACGTCCCTGGCCTGAGCACCAGCAAATGCTTTCTAAGTGGCCTTCTTTCCTCCACTCTTGCTTCCCTGTGGTTCATTCTTCACTGTGCACCCAGATGATATTCCCAATACAAAAATCTCCATTAGGGCAAAGTTAAAATGCAAAAATAAGAGGCATGCCGGGCACAGTGGCGCATGCCTCTAATCTCAGTGCTTTGGGAGGCCAAGGCAGGAGGATCACTTGAATCTAGGAGTTCAAGACCAGCCTGGGCAACAGAGCGAGATGCCATCTTATATTTTATAAATGTAAGAAAATTAGCTGGTCATGGTGGTACATGCCTGTGGTCCCAGCTACTTTGGAGGCTGAGGTGGGAGGATCACTTAAGCCCAGGAGTTTGAGGCTGCAGTGAGCTGTTTTGACACCACTGCACTCCAGCCTGGGCAACAGAACAAGACTCTGTCTCAAAAAATAGAAAAAAGAGACTTAATTATCTCTGTTGAAAAAGAGATTTCTCTCCCTTCCCTTGTCTTAGAGCACCTGCTTTGGAAAACATGTCATTGTAAGTTCTGTCTCTTTGAAATGTGTGTAAGTCTTTTCAGAAGCTGTAATAAATAAGACTCTTGTCAGCTTTACGAGCCGGACATCTTTCTCAAGGGCTGGGGTGTCATCTCTTTGAAATGCACCCCCATCTTCTAGTTCCTGTGAGAGGGAAGAAGCCTAATTTCCAGTGGGCATATCTGTCCAAGTTGCAAAATTACCTCCTGTCATAAAGATATAAGAGGTTTGTTTTCTGGATAGAGCTAATTAGCAGGTCAGGCACAGTGGCTGACACCTGCAATCCTAGCACCTTAGGAAGCCAAGGTGGTAGGATCATTTGAAGCCAGGAGTTCAAGATCAGCCCAGGCAACATGGTGAAACCCCATCTCTACAAAATATGAGAAAATTAGCCAGGCATGCTGGTGCACACCTGTAGTCCCAACTTAGGAGGCTGAGGCAAGAGGATCACTTAAGCCCAGGAGGTCAAGGCTGCAGTGAGCTATGATCATGCCACTGCACTGCAGCATGGGTCACAGAGTGAGACTCCAGCTCTAAAAACAAATAAGTAAATAAATAAAATGTTATGATGGCTTCCTGTTGCACTTGAGGATCCGTAAATTGCCTTGCAAAGCGCTATGTGCTCTGGGCCCTGCCTTACTCTCTGACCTCTGCCACGAATTTCCTGGTCAACACCCATGGCCTCCTGCAAGCCTTTCCCTTCCTCAGGACTGTTCCTTCTTCTCCTGGATCCTTCTCATCAAGCCTCCTCCGGCTCAAATCTCACCTCTTTTCCCTATTCACTCTCACTCGCCTGCCTTAGTCTTTGTCTTGTCTGTGTATCTGTTTATTGCCTGTCTGTCCCCACTCGAAGGCAAGCGCTGACCTTTGTCCATTGCATTCCCTCTAGATCTCTAGAGGCTAGAACAGTGGCCTATACATAGAAGGTGCTATGTAAATATTTGTTGAGTAAATGAAAAAATGAGTGAGTTTCAAAGACATCATTGGCGTTTTGTTGCTCTAAACGCCCCCCAACCCCGCACCATCATCTCATCTGAAATTACCTGATTTTATCATTTATTTATTTATTTTGAGACAGAGTCTCGCTTGCTCTGTCACCCAGGCTGGAGTGCAGTGGTGTGATCTTGGCTCACTGCAACCTCCACCTCCTGAGTTCCAGCAATTCTCCTACCTCAGCCTCACGAGTAGCTGGGTCTACAAGTGCCCACCACCATGTCAGGCTAATTTTTATATTTTTAGTAGAGGCAGGGTTTCACCATGTTGGCCAGGCTGGTCTCGAACTCCTGACCTCAAATGATCCATTCACCTCGGCCTCCTAAAATGCTGGGTTTATAGGCATGAGCCACTGTGCCCAGCCTGAAATTACCTGATTTTAGATGACAACAAGCTTCATAGGATCCCGCTGTGGGATAAAACAGCCCAGAGGTTTTAAACCATATTAACCACAAAGACAACATCCTAATCAAAGACAGTGTGTCCTGTTGTCCTCATGCATCCCAGGTAAGGGCCCCACAGGTAATGCTCTGATAAATGACAGTTGCCCCCAGCCGAAGGTGGGAGGAAGAGGAGCCTTGGCTGGCACATGCTGGCTTCTCACCTTCACCTTCACCCAATGCACAATGCACCCACTACACCCACTGCACAATGGCCCTGTGCAGTGAGGGTGTGAGCTCATTTGTTGAAATTTATTTATTTTTATTTTTTATTTTACAGACAGGATCTCTCTCTGTTGCTGGAGTGCAGCGGCACAAACACGGCTCACTGTAGCCTCGAACTCCTGGGCTTAAGCGATTCTCCCCCCTCAACCTCCCCAGTAGCTGGGACTACAGGTGTGCACCACCATGCTTAATTTTTAATTTTTTGTAGAGACAGGGTTTCACTGTGTTGCCCAGGCTGGTCTTGAACTCCTGGCCTCAACTGATCCTCCTGCTTGAGCCTCCCAAAGTACTGGGATTGCAGGCGTAAGCCACCACACTGACTCTATTTATAGATTAGGAACCTGAGGTTTAAGAAGCAGTGTCACTAGCCAAGGTCTCCGGGTGCCAGCCACAGGTGCCACAGCTCTGGGGCATCTGGTCTTCTCTGACATCACAGAGCCTCCTCAAAACCTTTGCATCAGGAGCTATTGACGCAGTTGGAAACATTCAGAATGGAGGAGAGAAAGCTAAGGGTTCCCAAGGACATTATCTGCACTTTCCAAACTGAAGAATTAGAGCAGGTGGGTGAGAATCATAATCACCTCTTTCTCCTCTTCCTCTTCTTTTCATCCTCGTCCATCTCCTTTTTCTATGTGTTGTTAGTATGACACAATTTACAATATTACCTACTTTATTCATAATGCCCCAAGTCTGACCTTTTCTGAACTAATTCTATTTCCAAATTAGATCTCAATTTAAAATAAAACAGCAATTTAAAAAAATTGGTCTAGTCCCAACACCATGATTTAATCTACTGTTTTTTCTTTCTATGACATGGATTAAGGAATGGGCTGGAAAAAAATATTTGCCCAATTATGATTCAACCTTTCCACATAATTGCTATTGTCCAAAACATAAAGACCAAGGATAATCGCAACTCTCGTGTCACCAAGGAGAGCAGGTGACATTTCCGGATTGCACATTGCAATCCATGCCATGCTATGCATGGTGCACAGAAGGGGGCCTACTTCTGCCCAGGAGCCACAGCCATAGCATGCCATTGTTGAGTCCATTGATTGCTCCTGGTGTTTAGATTCTCAGATTAAAAAAAAAATGTATGTAATCCCAGCACTTTGGGAGGCTGAGGCGGGCAGATCATTTGAGGTCAGGAGTTTGAGACCAGCCTAACCAACATGGTGAAACCCCTTCTCTACTAAAATACAAAAATTAGCTGGGTGTGGTGGCAGGTGCCTGTAATCCAGCTACTCTGGAGGCTGAGGCAGGAGAATCGCTTGAACCTAGGAGGTAGATGTTGCAGTGAGCCAAGGTAGCATCTCTACACTCCAGCCTGGGTGACAGAGTGAGACTCTGTCTCAAAACAAACAAACAAAAAAACAAAGCAAAACAAAAGAAAATGTAGAGTCTCTCCCAAACAGGAAACTAAAAGGCAAAGTCTCAAGCCATAAAAGGCTTCCGTCTCTGTTGCATTGCTGATGCCCTCTGTCTCCTGATGTTCTAGAGCAGAAGGGAAGATTGCGCCCACCTATGGGTTCCTCCAGCAGGCAGTCGTGGCGGGGACTGCGCTCGAGGAGCTCACCTTGATGGGAGCGTCTTCGGCAGGACCTGCAGGGTTATGCGGCAGGAACAAGTTAACCTCAGAATGGCGGCGGCTACAGAGGAGGTTGGGGGAGCTCTGCTCCACAAGGTCAACCAGAGAGGAGCTGACAGAGCCTTCACCATCTCAGTGCAGGGCTAGGGGTTCACCAAAGCAGGGAAGGGAGAACTGGAGAGGCCACCCCAGATCACCTCCACTCATAGCCCACTGGCCAGGACCACAGCCCAGAGCTGAAAGGGTTCTGGGAACTGTGGAGGAGCAGTCGTTATTTGTTGAGCAGCAAATGTCCCTGCTGCATGGACAGAGAAAGACAATAAACACAGGAATAAAGTGACATGAGAACTACCCTACAAAGCCAGGCCACGCCATGCAGGTCATGAGGGGTGTGCTGGTGTTTAGAGACCATTGGTTGAGGACTTGCCTGAGGGAAAGGTAGGGCACGGGCCCCTGAGCTCCAACCCTGACCTGCAATGACTCTTGTCCCCTCTCCCCCAACTGCTGCCATCCAGGCAGTTCCCACACCATCTGCCTTGAATGTGGGGCCCCCGGCTCCAGAGCCCTCACTGCTCTGCCGGGACTCCCCTCTACTCCTTGGCCACCTCTCTGCTCATCCCACTTTGGGGTACTCAAGGCTGAGCGGGTGACATTTCCCGGATCCCAATCTGTCAGGATGATGTTGAAATAGCAGCAAACTAAGATTCAAAAAGTTTAAAAAAGGAACTTCACCAGCTCACACTCCAGAAGGCTGCAGGGAGGACTGGTGCCAGGCTTGGACTCAGCTCCGCCTCTGCTGTGGGCCAGCCCTGCCCAGGGGACAGCAGGGTGGCTCCTTCTCTGAGTCCCCTTCTTTCCCAAAATTTCTCTGGAGTCACCTTGAGTGGCTGGACTGACTGCCTGGACTGAGCAAGCGTGGCAAACACTGCTGTTGCCTGTGCAAATCTGTTCCTCCTCCCTCATTGTTAACAGAATTCAATTTTGAAAATTTCTTTAAAAATGATGATGCTTAGGATCCTGAGATTTTCATCCTATGTTCTAGGCTAGAGCCAGGGCATCACTATATCTGGGTTATATGTTATTTGTTTGTTTTTTGTTTTTTGTTTTAGACAGAGTCTCACTCTGTCACCCAGGCTGGAGTGCAGTGGCACAATCTTGGCTCACTGCAAACTTCACCTCCCGGGTTCAAGTGATTCTCCTGCCTCAGCCTCCCGAGTAGCTGGAATTACAGGTGTGTACCACCACGCCCAGCTAATTTTTGTATTTTTAGTAGAGATGGGGTTTCACCATGTTGGTCAGGCTGGTCTCGAACTCTTGGCCTCAAGTGATCCACTCACCTTGGCCTCCCAAAGTGCTGGGATTACAGGCGTGCACCACCACGCCCAGCTAATTTTTAGTAGAGTATTTTTAGTAGAGATGGTGTTTCACCATGTTGGCCAGGCTGGTCTCAAACTCCCGACATCAAGTGATCTGCCCGCCTCAGCCTCTCAGAGTGCTGTGATTACAGGCACCTGCCCGGCCCCTCAGGCCTTTTTTGTAAGGGCACTAATCACCTCCCAAAGGCCCCAAACTCCTAATACCATCACACTGGGGACAAGGATTTCAACACCTGAATGCTTAGGGGGACACAAACATTCAGATCATAGCACCAATAAAAACAGATGCACAAGAAAGGGCGACCCCTCTCCCGCCAGAGAGTGGCATGTCTGGTTGTGAACTTGGAATGCACAGCCATCTTGTGGCCATGAGGACAGCCCTGAGGCGAGGCCGGCGGGCTGAGACCGGCTTAGTAGGGAGATGATGCCCCTGGGCTGCTCTGGGATGTGAATGAGCTGCTGGAGCTGCCTTCCCTTTAACAAATTTTCTTTTCCTCAAGCCATTTTGCCATTTTGAAGCATTTCCCATTACTTACATCTGAGAGCCTCTTATCTCTCCTCCTCTTACCGCTTGGTGTACTCCTTGTTCCAGTGTCTCCTGAACAGGGCGGGCTTGTTCTCCTGAGACTTCTGCTTAGACCTCCCAGCACCTCCTCCCTCCAAGTCTCTTCCTCCCCAGGACTGCAGGGCGTCAGCAGGGCCTCCAGACTGTAGACACCCGCGCAACGCCAGTCTTTGTGCAGATCCCTGCGCACACACACCACCCACCTGAGGCCACCCTGCAACTGTGAAAGTCAAGAACTCCCTGTCGGCCGGGAGCGGTGGCTCACGCCTGTAATGCCAGCACTTTGGGAGGCTGAGGCGGGCGGATCACTTGAGGTCAGGAGTTTGAGTCCAGCCTGGCCAACATGGTGAAACCCCGTCTCTACTAAAAATACAAAATTAGCTGGGCGTGGTGCTGCACACCTGTAGTTCCAGTTATTTGGGAGGCTGAGGCAGGAGTATCGCTTGAACCTGGGAGCTGGAGGTTGCAATGAGCCGAGATCTTGCCATTGCACTCCAGCCTGGGCAACAAGAGCAAAACTCCATCTCAAACAAACAAAACCTTCCTGTCATGGGCTCAATCCAAGGGAAGCTGGGACTGGGAAGCTGGCACTGCCATCACCACTGTAACTGCTTCTTGACACTCACAGAAGCGGCTGCTGGATAAGAGATCACTAGTGCAGGAAACCCAGCAACCAAAGCAGCCAACTCTTTTTTTTTTTTTCTTTTTTTTGAGACAGAGTCTCCCTCTGTCACCCAGGCTGGAGTGCAGTGGCTTGATCTCAGCTCACCACAACCTCCGCCTCCTGGGTTCGAGTGATTCTCCTGCCTCAGCCTCCCCAGTAGCTGGGATTACAGGCGCCTGCCACCACGCCCGGCTAATTAATTTTTTTTTTTTTTTAGTAGAGACAGGGTTTCAGCATGTTGGTCAGGTTGGTCTCAAACTCCTGACCTTGTGATCTACCCTTCTCGGCCTCCCAAAGTGCTGGGATTACAGGCGTGAGCCACCGCGCCTGGCCCGAAGCAGCCAACTCTCACACAAGTGCATCTGAAGTGCAGAACTTCATTCTTCCCTGGAACCCTGCCCCAGGGGAGTCTGGGAAATGTGGGTTTTAGCTGCTGCTGCATAGAGAGCTGTGAGCAGGAGGTGGAAGGGAAGCTGAGGGCCAAGTGATCGATCATACCCAACCATGTGAACGTGGGTGGCTGGCCCACCCCCGGGCCTATCTTTCAGCTACTAATTGGTTACCTCAGTGTTTGCCTCCTAGGGTTGGTGTGGATTAAATGAGATTGTGCAGGTAAAGCACTTGCGCCTAATCGGGGGCTAATGAATATTAGTTCTTATTATTTCCAATACTTTTTCCTTCTAGCTCTGTGGTTCTCCAAGCCTGAGCTGCTCAGACCTCTGAAATGGGCCCCAGAGGTCACTGGAGAGTTTGCAGAAGGTTCAGAAAGAATAGTCCTGAGAGGGATGACCCAGGCCCCTGCCTGCCTGGACACACCACTGTCTGCGCCCAGGCCTCTCTCTCAGCTATGCCAAGCAGCCGCTGATTCTCCAGCCAAGGGTGTTATATAAGCTTCATCTTTTCCTTTGTTTACAGGAAATTTTGAAAACACCAACTGGGCTTGGCCTGAGCTCCTTCATTCCTAAAGGCAACAGAAATTGTTTGGGCAGGAGAGGCAGCCACACGCAAAGCAGCTGCCCTGGCACAGGGCCAGGCCTTGCAGGACAGGCAGCTGCTGGCAATCGTGAGGTCAGGCACTCTTGTCGTTCAGGGCCAGGATCTGCGGTGCCTGGGGGAAGCCGTGTACTTCTGGATGTGCAGCTTTCACCCACACCCATTGGGCCCTGCCTTGGTTTCCCTGCCTGATGCTGCAGTTCTCTGCCATGATGGCAGCTCTCCACCCTGCCAGACCCTGCCTCTGGGAGGCCTGGGATGACCTGGGAGCACTTTCTAGGGTTCTGCCAACAGCTCAGACAGATCTCAGCCTCTTAGCAGAGCAGGAGGAGTAGGAGGCACCTCAGCCTGGGTGGGGTGGGAGGACAAGGGCAGATGGGAAGGAGATATCCCCTCTTCTCTGCTTTGACCCACGCTTCTAAGTGGACAGGTGGGGGAAAGCTCACACCCTTCGTTTCCTCACATGACAATGGGGCTGTGCAGGTGCCAAGCTTCCCGAACAACTGCCTTGCCCATCCTAGGAAAGTTGCCTAGGCCTGGTCCCCGGGAACTGCTTTAATGGAACATCTTCTATTTGAGCCAGGGCCAGACATGATCTCACAAGTCCTCATGTGATCTGCTGGGAAACAAATGTTTGTTGCTGGTAACTTGTGCTTGAGCAAGACAACAGCTCTCTGTTTCCCAAGGCTTGTATGCCTGATAGAAGTTTACAGGGTAGCTGACTGGTAGAAATTGGCACCAGGAGTAGAAGTTTCTACCAGAAATTCCCAACTGGATTTTCTACACCTTCCCTACCTTGGGAAGGCAAAGGGGTGAGGACAGAGAGACCTAGCCCCGGCTAGACACCCTGACAGTAGGAAGGCTGGGCCTTCCTGACCATTCTGACACTGAGTTCTTTTTCAGGCCAACAGTTGCTAGACAGACAGAAAAAAATATTTTCTTTCTAGTTCTGCTCCTAAACCTGTGCTCACTATGATGTAAGTTGGAGAGGTTTTTCCATAAGCACACATACTGTTACTCCTCTATCCAGTGTCCATGGCAGACATTACAAGTTGATCACCGCACTCTTGTTTGCTTTGCTGAATCCGCTGAATTCACAATATAGCAATGCAGTACAACAGAGTAGAACTGGCAGGCTGGAGAAAAGCTATCTGTCATCCCAGATGAAGTAGAAAGGATGTGCACTTGGATAGGAGACAGACTCAGCCTCATATTCTGAGTCTGCCACTTTCTAGCAGTGTGACCTTGGGCAAGTACTTTCTTTCTCTGAGCTTCAATCCTGTCATTTGTAAAATGGGAATAAGTATATCTGCCTGAAAAGGTTGGCATTAAATGAGATTAAATGAGATGTGTCTCGTGCTGCACAATTAGCACATAATGGAGGCTCCGATTCCTACATATATCATTACATCATCACATACACTCCTACACACCATTCAGACGTATTCTGTGGGGAATTTGTAGAAATGAAAATGCTAAACGCCAAGCCAAAGTTTTCTTTCCAAGCCAAAGGAGTCATCTTCTCCTTCTCCCCCCCCTCCTCCTCGTTCTCCTCCTCTTACTCCTTCTTCAAAAATATTTGTTATGTAACAAAATGTGTTATGCAGATTATTTAACCTACTTAAGAAAAGAAACCTGAGAACTTTTACAGTGTTCATTGATATATAAGTAATGTCTGGGCTACTTACAAATGAGTTTCATCTAGTCTATGTCTTTAAGACATCAGGAGCCAAGGACCCAGAATTTTAGCATGAAAGAAAAAAGGACCATAACATTGGATAAATGTCTACTAGGTTCCAGACACTTACATCTATGTTAGCCTATCTCCTTCTTGTACCAATACTGTATGTCAGGTTTGTTTTTATTTGTATTTTAATCGTGATAAAATACACACAACATAAAATTTACCATCTTGGCTGGGTGAGGTAGCTCACACCTATTATCCCAGCACTTTGGGAGGCCCGGGGCGGGTGGATGGATCATTTGAGGTCAGGAGTTCGAGACCAGCCTGGCCAACATGGTGAAACCCTGTCTCTATTAAAAATACCAAAATTAGCTGGGTGTGGTGGTGCACGCCTGTAATCCCAGCTACTTGGGAGGCTGAGGCAGGAGGATCGATTGAATCCAGGAGGTGGAGGTTGTAGTGAGCAGAGATCACGCCATTG
Organism: Homo sapiens; assembly: GCF_000001405.40. NCBI lineage: Eukaryota > Metazoa > Chordata > Mammalia > Primates > Hominidae > Homo > Homo sapiens. The sequence continues at coordinate 19,726,077 of NC_000017.11, read as the reverse complement.
CACTCCAGCCTGGGCGACAGAGACAGACTCCATCTCAAAAAAAAAAAAAAATTACCATCTTACCCGATTTAAGTGTACAGTTCAATAGTTAAATACCTTCACATTGCTGTGCAAGCAGTCTGCAGAACTCTTTTCATCTTGCAAAACTGAAACAATTTACACTTTAAACAACTCCCACCTTCTCTCCAGCCCCTGACAACCACCATTCTACTTTCTGTCTCTTGGAATTTGACGACTCTAAGTCCCTCAGGTAAGTGGAATCACACAGTGTTTGTCCCTTTGTGTCTGGCTTATTTCATTCAGCAAAATGTCCTCAAAGTTCATCCATGTTATATGTGGCATCTGTCAGAATTTCCTTCCTTTTTATGGTTGAGTAGTATTCCGTCATATGCATGTACCGCATTTTGGTGACTCACGCATCTGCTGATGGACACTAGGGCTGTTTCCACCACTGGCTGTAGCGAATAATGCTGCTGTGAACATGGGTGCACAAATATCTTTTTGAGTCCCTGCTTTCAGTTCTTTTGGGTATTTATGGAAATGGAGTTGCTGGATCATATGTAATTTTATTACAAGGAAGGAACAAACTAAAGAGAGTAAATGACTCGCCCAAGGTCAACACAACGAAAAAGTGGCAGAATCAGAATGTAATCCAAGTCTATCTGAAGTGAGCTTAAATTATGTATTTCCTTTCTCTCATTCCAGTTGGGTTAAACAAACAACCTCACGAAGGGCGTGCAGGTATGAGGAGCAGGTGGGGATGTCCTCTTTCCCCGCAGGCTAACATAGGTCTGATGGGTCAAGAAATGGCCTGCTGGGTGGTCTGGAAGCCCCCCTGGCCCTCAGGCTAGGGGTCTGCCTCCTAGCAAGGCCCACGAGGAAGGATGGTAAAGCCAGGCTTTGTTCAGTGGGGTCAGTATGAAGACAGTGAGGTTGTGGATGGGGAGATAGCTGAAGTGGAGACCTCCCGACAGGCCTCACACAGTCAGTCAGGGGTCACGGGTTAGGAGGAACAGATGCCATTCAAACCGTCTCAACTTGAAAAAAAAAAAAAAAGATTGGTCCATCCTGGGAGAGGTGTCCAACCCCCTGCGGCCCGCGCGGAGGCTGTCACGTGGCACACAGGACCACGCCTTCCAGGCCGTGGGCAGGGCCTGTCCGGGGGTCCAGTGTGGGGGCCACGCGTCCTGGGGAGACCTGTGCAGCCCCCGAGGGCAGGGTCCACGGGGAGCGGGTGGGCGCGCTCGCCGCCCCTGAGGGGCTGGCTGACCGGGCGGGGCGTTCCAGGCGGCGGATGTCCCCCGCAGGCCTCGGTATCCGCGCCACCCGCGCCGGAGGCTGCTCTGAGTTAGGACCTGCGGTTAGAGAGAGGCCAGTCGAGTGCTGCGGTGCCAACGCCTGCAGCCCGGGCTCGGGCTTCCTGTTTGCGCGCCCTGGCGGTGTCACGTGCGTGGGCGAAGCCTCGCTTTGACCTCAAAAAGCCCGGTGTTTCATGCCAGCCGGTCTCCGCCCGATGAGGACAGTGGAGTTAAGAGGGATCCCTGCGGCTGGGCACCCAAGTCCCCAGCGCCTGCTCCCTGGACCGCACCTGGGCTGGCTTCACAGACCCCGAATCCTCCCCTTGGCGAGGGCTGACCAAGTTGGGAGGGGATGGCGGGGATAAGCAGTATCAAGTCACTGAGACCTGACAGCCCTGCCAGTGCCTGGAAGGGTAACCTCAGGGACAAATAGGTGTAGAGCCAACAGTAGCCAGGCTCAGTAGCCCACCCATATCAGGCAGTCCTAGGAGAGTCAGGACATGCACCTTTTAATTTGAGAAGTAACCATTGAGCACAATGGCACTGCACCCCTCCATCTTTGCCAAGGACACTAATTGGGATCAAGTCTGGCAGCAACATGCTGAGAAGCTGGGCCCTGCCCTAGCCCCAGGGTGAATGTGTCCAGACCTGTGGCTCTCAGCGCCAGCTGCACATCAGAGAGGGAGGTTTAGAAGAATGCCTGGCAAATGATTCTCTGGTGCCCAAAGTCAAAGCAGTGGCTACCCTTGGTAAGGGACAGTGACTGGAAGGGGAAACCAGGGGGCTTGGAAGCCACCAAAGTTCTGTTTCTTGATCTGTCTGCTGGTTACTCAAGTGCATTTATTTTATGAAAATCCAAGGAGGTGTACACGTGCACAGTTTTCTGTATAAATGATATACTTCAATAAGAAGTTAAAGAAATCAGGCGGCCGGGCGCGGTGGCTCACGCCTGTAATCCCAGCACTTTGGGAGGCCGAGGCGGGTGGATCATGAGGTCAGGAGATCGAGACCATCCTGGCTAACAAGGTGAAACCCCGTCTCTACTAAAAATACAAAAAATTAGCCGGGCGCGGTGGCGGGCGCCTGTAGTCCCAGCTACTCGGGAGGCTGAGGCAGGAGAATGGCGTGAACCCGGGAAGCGGAGCTTGCAGTGAGCCGAGATTGCGCCACTGCAGTCCGCAGTCCGGCCTGGGCGACAGAGCGAGACTCCGTCTCAAAAAAAAAAAAAAAAAAAAAAGAAATCAGGCAAAAAAACCCCAGCTGTCTGGGCCAATTTCCGATCAGAATGTCTGGGGCGGGCCCTGGATAGCGGTTTTTTCTTTTTTCTTTTTTCTTTCTTTTTTTTTTTTTTTTTTGAGGAGGGGCGAAAGCTTCCTAAGTGATGATAAAGTGCAACTGGTTTAAACCCAAATTTGCCACCCAGGGTTGCTGCCAGAGCTCTCAGGCCCTCATTTGGATGAGGCAATGGAGTTTCTTTCAGCGCAATGTTCAGGCTCTGGGACTCCTGCTGGAAATTTGCCAGGGCCCAGGGCTTGGGGTGGCAGCTCCCCACAAATATGACAAGGCTGAACGGACAACCTCTCTTGCCACTATCCTGGCCGCCTTGCAGGTGAGCCTCCAGCCTCTTTTATACATTTTCCCAAAATGTAAAAATCTATCTTTGCACATGCAATTCTTCACCGTCCCAACATATATATAACCTTGGTGTGTAAAGAGCTTACAGCATCCCTCCCCCCACACCTATAAATAGCTTCATTCAGATAAAAGTCACATGCCATATGCACCTTTTTTTTTTTTTGAGACAGAGTCTCACTCTGTCGCCCAGGCTGGAGTGCAGTAGCACGATCTCGGCTCGCTGCAAGCTCTCTGCCTCCCAGGTTCATGCCATTCTCCTGCCTCAGCCTCCCGAGTAGCTGGGACTACAGGCGCCCACCACCACACCCGGCTAATTTTTTTTTTTTTTTTTTGTATTTTTAGTAGAGACGGGGTTTCACGGTGTTAGCCAGGATGGTCTGGATCTCCTGACCTCGTGATCCGCCCGCCTCGGCCTCCCAAAATGCTGGGATTACAGGTGTGAGCCACTGTGCCCGGCCGCCATATGCACCTTTTTAAAGTATACAATTCAATGGCTTTTAGTAGATTCACAGAGATGTGCAACCAGCATCACAATCAATTTTAGAACATTTTCATGACCCCCCAGAGAAACCCCATATCCGCTTAGCTGTCACCCTATGTGCCCCGCACCCCCCGCTGCCCGCTCTCTGCCAGCCTCTGGAAATCACTCGTCTACTCTCTGTCTCTATGGATTTGCCTATTCTGGACATTTCATAGAAATGGAATCACACACTTTCTGACCTTTTGTGATTGGCTGCTTTCACATAGCATCATGTTTTCAAAGTTCATCCATGTTTTTAGTGGATCAATACTGCATTTCTTTTTATGGCTGAATAATATTCCATTATTGGATATTCCACATCTTGCGATTCCTTTCATCAGTGCATGGACATTTGAGCTTGCCACAGTTTTTGGCAACTGTGAAAAGTGCTGCTGCTGCATTCTGGATCCAACATGAAATGCATGGGCAAGAGGGGGACATGTTCCCTAGAGATCTCAAGAAATGCCCCGTTGTTATTATTTTGTGTACCATTTTAAAAAATAGACTTTCTGTTTTAGAGGTTTACATTTACAGAATTGCACAGAAAGAACAGAGTTTGCAGTGACCTCGTGACCTCCACCCCCACCTCCCCACCAGTTTCCCCATTGACATCTTGCATGAGGATAGTAGTACGTTTGTTACCACTGATTAACAAGTATTGACACACTATTATGAACTAAAGTCCATAATTTACATTAGAGTTCACTAGTGGTGTTGTACATCCTATGGGTTTGCAGAAATAATGCGAGGTATCCACCATTACAGGATCCTACAGAATAGTGTCTCTGCCCTAAAACTCCTCTGTGCTCCACCTGTTCATCCCGAACCCCCACAGCAACCACTGATCTTACTGTTTCTATAGTTTTGCCTTTTGCAGAATATCATAGAGTTGGAATTGTACAGTATGCAGCCTTTTCAGACTGGCTTCTTCCAATTAGATTAGCAATATGCATTTGAGGTTGCTCCATATCTTTTTGTGGCTTGATAGCTCATTTCTTTTTATTGATGAGTAATATTTATTTTTATTTATCGTAGCTTTTCTCCAGATGGAAAGGCCCACCATCTTCCAGCACTTGGCAGTGTCTTCTGGGGGTCTTGCCGCCACTTGCTGAGGGCTTTGCCAGCTGGCTCTGTCTCTCCCCTGGCCTGCAGGATTGGGAGGGGTGATGTCAGCTCAGGGACTGAGCCCTGGTCATTTCTAGGGGTGCAGCACCTGGGCCTGGAAGGTGCCCAGGGAGACCTTGCGGGAGGAGGGAGAGAGGAAGATAGGAAGGGGTGAGGGATGGAGGGAGAGGGTACTAGGTGGAGGCAGAGAGAGAGAGGCAGCTGCCAAAATCTATGAGACAGTTGAGGAGGAGTGGAGGAGGGGCGCCTCAGGGATTTAGCAGTTGTTGGTCACTGTCTGGTGGGAGACCTGGGGGACGAGGCAGGGGGCGGACAGCTCAATCCTCCCCAACTGTCCTTTGCCCTGAATGTGGGGCTGAGCCATCAGCCAGAGTCCCCACCCTCCCAAGGGAGAAATGGGTGTTTTGCAGTCAGGAGGCAGCGGAGAGGGGTTAGAGGAAAGGACATTGGTCCACAGCCCTTGTGGTGCATGTCTCTGGGAGCCAAAGGGCAAATGCAACACCTTTGGGCCCAGTGAGGTGTAACCAAGTGAGAAAAGGTTAACAGAGGCCCTGGACCCAGACTGTACTTGGCAGGACTCCAGGAAATTAGTCACGTGAAGGCAGGGCCCAAGGACCTGGCCCTTGCCCCCAGCAGGCTCCGAGCCTGCAGGAGCTGAGCCCTCAAGTGAGGGGGACTTCCTGGCATGCCCACATGCCTCTTGGCTCTGCCTCAGCGAGGCTGCTGGGGCTGGGGGAGCAGCTCCCCCTGGGTCAAGCTTCCTCTTGCTGGCTGGGAGCCTCCCTAATCCCAGGGTGTGTGCTGGGGGCTTGCCAGGACTCTCCACTCCCTTGCCTCTCCCCGTGCCTCCTGCCATTCCTAGGATTTTGTAGCTTTGGGTCCTCCTTCCCCAAAGAGGTCCTCGATATGCGTGAGTCCTCTCATCACTGACCTCAGGGGTCTTTATCTGCTTGCCCTTGCTCGGGGCCAAGTGTGGACAGCGGGTGGCACAAGAGAGAGCAGAAGAGAGAATGGAGAGGGAGGAATAGAAAGGAGGAAGAGGAGAGTGCTGGTTAAAGGCATGGCCTCTCGGCCACTCCCACCTAGAAGTGGAGGCTGTTCCCTCTCCTGTGAAATTTGGGCGAGTCCATGATTAGCTGTGGTCAACAGGATGAGGCAGAGGGGCATGGGGACCTCCCAGGCTGGCTCTTGACCTGTATGCAGCTTCCACTTGCACCATCGAATGTCCTGTCTTCTGTTCCAGCTCCATGCTGAGATGCCCGTGGTGCACGGGGAGGTCACTCCATGCTGAGATGCCCGTGGTGCGTGGGGAGGTCACTCCATGCTGAGATGCCCGTGGTGCACGGGGAGGTCGCTCCATGCTGAGATACCCGTGGTGCATGGGGAGGTCACTCTATGCTGAGATGCCCGTGGTGCGTGGGGAGGTCACTCTATACTGAGATGCCTGTGGTGCGCGGGGAGATCGCTCCATGCTGAGATGCCCATGGTGCGTGGGGAGGTCACTCTATGCTGAGATGTCCATGGTGCGTTGGGAGGTCGCTCCATGCTGAGATGCCTGTGGTGCACGGGGAGGTCACTTTATGCTGAGATGCCCGTGGTGCATGAGGAGGTCCTATGAGGGGAGGTGGAGATGCTCCGACTGACAGTCTCAGCTGATAGCAGGCACCCACCGCGGCCTGGACATGAGCCTGGAAGACTGGCCAGCCTGGGCCAGTCCCCGGTGACTGCAGACACAGCTAGACTAGGGGAGGCAGAAGGACCACCCAACTCGCCGCACAGACTCATGACACAGATGATAATGGTTTTAAGACACCAATTTTGGGGGGGCTGGTAATAGATAAATGAGGCAGGGTGTGTAGCCATGTTTTCACTTTCATAGCATCCCATCCTCTGGGGGGCCCCCTGCCCCACTTCAGGTAGCTCACAGCTTCCCTCCTTCCCACCCTTTCCACCTCCATTCTTGTTCAGGTTGGCTCTTGCCCCAGTCTTCCAGGAATTTGCCTCTGGGACTGAAGGTGTTTGGGCTGAGTCACCTTTCCCTGAATCACCCTGAGAGTCCAGAGTCTCCCTTCTCAAGGCTGGCGGCTCAGCCCTCTTCTGTATCACCTGGCAATAATGATCTCCTCTCCCCCTTCCTCCCTTCTTCCATCTGCTGACATGATCCCAGTTCGTTTCTACTGTTTCCATCAGAGAACGTGGCTGACACGGCAACTGGCATCGGGAGAATGTCATAGGCCATGTGCCCCAGGAAATAAGGGCCTTGGAAACAAGTGATCAGCTGAGAAGGGAAAGGGTCCAGCATCGCCCGGACTTGCTTGTATATTCTAGGGGATTGGCAGCCCTGTTCCTGAGAGTGAGCTGCTGATCCGTCTGTTGTGTGCAGTATCTGAGACCACAGAAGATGCAGGACTGAAGGGTGGCATGTTGCTCCTGACAGCATTGGAAGCTCTGGAGAGAGGGCAGAGGCTGAAGTCTCGGAGGCTCCCCCCGCCCCAGCCACAGGATGGCGCACAGGGGCCATGTGCAGCTCCGCTCAAAGTATCTCAGGTTCCGGGGCAGAATCCTGGAAAACCCAACTCGGAGCTGAGTCTGCAGGTGGCTGCAGGGCGGTGCTGCTGAGTCTGCAGTTACCACCACAAAAGGAGGGCCTGAAGGCATTGCCAGGAGACTATGGAGGACTCACGGAGCTCTGACACCCCTCACCTGGAGGAGGTGGCTTCCCCCCACCCCCCACTCTGCCTGCACCACCTTTGCCTGGGGCGGCCAATGCATGGCAGTGGAGTCAGTAATCGCCCTTGCTCCTCCCCAGGGTCAAACCCACTGGGGTCTGGGGATTGAAATTCTGAGAGGAGTGTAGGAGGAGAGTGTCTTCCCGAAGAAAATGTAGGAATGCATTGGCTTCTATCACAAAAATCCTGGGAATGTTCCTGAGAAGGGATTTTGGAGATGCTCGGCCTAGGACTGGCCCTCGGGAAGATGACCCGACCTTTGTCCTGTGCAGCTGAGTGCTGAACACTGGTCAGCTCTGGATAAAGCCTGATGTCACCGAGCTGATGGCGGGGCGTCTGCACTGAACACCTTCCAGCTTGGTGGGGGCACGGGAACCAGCTGTCCTCATTAAAAGTGACCTGGAGTGAGATGGATTCTTCTGCCTATACCTCCACGTGTGGGCTCCCTGAACACCCCCATCGCCATGGGCTCCCAAGAAGTATTGCTTCTGGCTGCAGGGCTCACTGCAATGCTGCGACAGGAGGTGACAGGCCAAGGCCAGCAGGTGACTGCTCTCCCCAGAGGCCCTGTCAGCTGGAAGCAGCTGGTTTCACATAACAGAGACCCCAGGCCCAGGTCCCCTGGATGCAGGAGGATTTGCGGCTGCCCTTTTGGAAGAGGTAGGCTGACCATGAGAACTGGCCAAAGGTGAGAAGGACGTGGAGAAGGTGTTGGAGGAGGGAAGTCAGACATACTAGCAATAGCCTGGCCTGCAGGGCTGTAGCTTTCACCTGTACTTCCTCCTGTTTGGTGTCATCATCACAATCACGATGGTGATAAAATGTCTTCTTTCCTCTAGGCAGGTGGTAAAGGTACTATTTGGTGCACAGGTTGGAGAGTGCTGTGATAAGAACCATCAGAACAAGGGCAGGAATGTGACCTCCCAGGTGATCCTGGGAGGATCCAGTGGAGCGTTTCAGAATTCTGTGTCAAAAAAGAAGGCTGCGTGTTGACTGGGGTGGGGCTGTGCCTGTGTTTGGGGCCGCCCATGGGTGTAGCAAACCCTTTTTTTTTTTTTGTATTTGTCCTGCCTCCTCTCCTTCAGGGTCTGCTCCTTCCTCCTCGCGGCTCTGGGGGCTGCATCTCGGAATCCTGCCGGCCACTCCTCCGCTGCAGGGGTGGACATGGGAACCAAGTGGGGCCTTTGGGATGTCTTCAGCCCTCCCACAGCCACTGGCCAGCCTGCCTGCTGTCTTCCTGCCCCCCTCGCTCACTCCTCCTTCTCCTGGGCTGAACCACACCCAAAAGCTTGATCCAGGACTGGGCTAGGTGACCGGTGCAATCCTTAGATGCCTCTCTTGGTTCCCACTGCCCTGCTGGTCTTGAGGCAGGTTGAGGGGGGAGTCACAGGCCATCCCTGCAAGGAAAAGCAGAGAGGGCAATTTGGGAAGGTGACAGAGGACCCTGTGGGACGTCGAGTCACAGCCTTGCTGGGCACAGTGACTGGCGTGCATAGTGAGCTGCTTTCCCAAGCACTGCCACCCCTGGCTCTCAGATATGCTGCTGAAAGGGGTGACGGGCAGTGGGGGGCTTGGGACTCCGCCGAGGTGTCCTAGCTCCCATCCCTATCCCCAGGCCCAGGCCCAGGCCCCTCCAGCATGAAAGGCTAGGGACCGCACTGCCATGGGGTTTGCCAGGCCCCTGTCTCTTGGGAAGCCACCCCTCCCAGGGAAAAGCAGGGCTGAGGGCTGTTCAGGCTCTGCCACCACCTGCTCTGTGACTTCGGGCAGGCCACCAATTCTTCTGAAAAACGGGAGTCACTGTGGGCACCATCACGCCCGGGTACAGGACGCCCAGTGGCTCAGCTGCCCCAGCCAGGCTGCCCTGTCCTGGCCTCAGCACACCTCCCACAGCCACTGCAGGCAGCCCTGGACCTTCTCCTGCTGAGGCCTTACTGCCAATCCCTCTGGGAGACCAGACACAACAGGCAGCGGTCTGGGTGACTCCCAGGAACCTGTCCTCCCTAGTGGCTGAGGCAGTAGGCTTGGCAGCAGGGACTCAGTGCCCTAGGAGGCAGGGCTCATCCCACAAGTTGCCATGGTAGCCCCTCCTCCTGCCCCTTACTCATCAGCCAGGCTGTACCGACACGGGCTGCCCAGGCAGGGGGTGGCTCGCTGGACAAAGCTGGCCGTGCAGGCGCTCAGGCGTGCAGGGTAGCCAGTGCCCCGGCCAGGAATGGACAGCCTCCAGGACACAGTGGCCCTGGACCATGGGGGCTGCTGCCCTGCCCTCAGCAGGCTGGTTCCCAGAGGCTTTGGGACTGAGATGTGGACTCTCTTTGCCCTTTCTGGACCCCTGGTAAGGAGGAGGAGCTGGGGGGCAGGTAGGGAGTGGAGGAAGCTGAGAGGCTGAGGGTGTCTGCCTTGCAGGCAGGATCCAGAAATGTGCTCACATTTTCCCCAGAAACTGCCCATGTTGACTGCCAGGTCCAGAGTCTGGGGACAGCAGGATGGCTCCTGAAAGCTGTCTCTGGACAATCCCCAGTGGCAGTGGGGCCTGACTTTGCTCAGCAGCAGGCAGCCCCCACACAGAAGGGGTGGGTGTGCCTCAGCTGGAAACCCACAAAAGCCTGAGTTGGAAGATGGCTCCAGGACAAATGGGACCCAGAGATGCATGAAGCCTGCAGCACCTTCGCAGGGGGAAGAAGGGGCCGGCTACCCATTTCATTTCCAAAGGGGAAATTGTTTTAAATACATTTATTTTTTCTGATCATGAAGAGGAATAGGCTGGGCGTGCTGCCTCACGCCTGTTATCTCAGCACTTTGGGAGGCCGAGCAGGGAGGATCACCTGAGGTCAGGAGTTGGAGACCAGCCCGGCCAACATGGAGAACCCCCCGACTCTACTAAAAATACAAAAATTAACCAGGCATGGTGGCGGGCGCCTGTAATTCCAGCTACTTGGGAGAGAGAGGCAGAGAATCGCTTGAACCCGGGACGGGTAGGTTGCAGTGAGCCGAGATCGCGCCACTGCACTCCAGCCTGGGCAACAAGGGCGAAACTCCGTCTCAAAAAAAAAAAAAAAAACAAAAAAAACAAAACCAAAAAGGAGTAATGGAATTGCACTTCCTGTAAAACTTTTAGAAAAAAATGAAAGATATAAAGAAGAAAGAAATTTAACTCAAATCCTAGTACTTGGAAATAGCCATTACTAAGATTTTGGTGTATTTAATTCCCCTCCTTTTTTGGGGGTGTGCGGCCTGACCAAATTATTGTTATAATAGGAACTGCAATAGCAGTATCAGACACTTGGGTCAAGCTCAGGGCGCCAGGCACTGCGCTGCGCCAGGCACTGACCCTTCTGGGTAGGGACGTGGAGGCCAGGCGTGACTGCAGCTGCAGAACGCAGAATGGGAGCTGGGCTAGGTCATCCGACCTCCAGCCCTGGCTTCCCCAGGCGTAGGTGACCTCTCGGGGCACTGGTGCGGGGCCCTCAAAGCTGGAGAGGCCTGTCTTGCAGGGCTCGGCTGTGTGGGCACCTGTGGCCCCGAGTCTGACCTGGCCGCTGTCCTCCAGTTCCTGTTCCAGGTGCTGACTTTTATGATCTACATCGTGAGCACTGTGTTCTGCGGGCACCTGGGCAAGGTGGAGCTGGCATCGGTGACCCTCGCGGTGGCCGTGAGTACCCAGCTTGGCCCAGAGCAGGGACGTTCTCTCCCCAGGCTTCTCCACCGGGTTCCCGGGTGGGCCCGTCTTGGGTGGCTGGTCAGGGATGGGAAGACACAGCCCACGTGGCTGGACAGCTGCCTTCACAGGTGGAACCTGAGGGCCGGAGATGGAGGCGGTCTGGCCCTGGGGCACACAGCACATGAGGCTGCTGAGCAGAGCCTCTGCCACCGCTGCCTGCTGGGCAGCATTTCCTGACCCTGGCTCAGCCCAGATGCAGGGGCCTCTCTTCAGGCCTCACCTGACAAGCTCTTGTTTCCTCCTGTGTGTGGCGCCAGTTTGTCAATGTCTGCGGAGTTTCTGTAGGAGTTGGTTTGTCTTCGGCATGTGACACCTTGATGTCTCAGGTGGGTGGCCTCCTGGAGCTGGGCAGGAAGCCAGGCAAGGGCAGAGCCAATTCCACAGGTGCCATGGAGATGGCAGGTGGGAGGGGCGCAGCCAGGTGATCTGGGAGCAATGGGCCCTGGGGTCAGCTGCCCCTGCCCTACCTCCAAGGACCACAGGCTGTCAGGGAAACAGACCCTCCCCTTTGAAAGAGTCTGGGCCAGGAGAAAGGGGTGGAGATGGTGGAGACAGTTCTCTGATCTCTTGCCCCCAGAGGAGGTCACCAAGTAGAGAAAGACAACCGGTTCCCCAGCCTCAATCCTAAGTTCGGCTGCCTACATGCAGGCATGTGTCGAAGGCCAAGGGGACACAGAAGGAACCTCCCTGCTTGCAGGGGCCTGCAGTCCAGCAGGGGCTGCCCAGGTGGCCATGGGGTCACAAAGCGGCAAGGCCTCACCTCTCCCTGGGGGTTTTAGCTTCACGGTGGACCTGGGCTTTGTCCTGGCTCCACTTAACCTGCCGCTGACATGTGATGAAGCCCCATGTGCCTTCGTCCTCCTTGGAGCTTTGGAAGAACAGTGGAGACAGTGGTAGGCCCAGGCTCAGGAAGGCCGCTGTGCCATTACAGGCTGCGGGCGCCAGGCTGTGGTCACCAGAGGCCGCCGGGTCCGCCACACACCGCTGGCGCCGCTGACAGCCCGCTCCCCGCGCGGGATTTAGGAATGTCCCGGGCAGTGGAAACGGCTGACGCGGGGCGGGCTGTTTTGCAGAGCTTCGGCAGCCCCAACAAGAAGCACGTGGGCGTGATCCTGCAGCGGGGCGCGCTGGTCCTGCTCCTCTGCTGCCTCCCTTGCTGGGCGCTCTTCCTCAACACCCAGCACATCCTGCTGCTCTTCCGGCAGGACCCGGACGTGTCCAGGTGCGCTGGGCTCCGGCTGGGGAGGTGGGGCTTGCTGGGAAACCCGGGCCGCCGAGGGAAACCCTGAAGATGCCCAGCCCTCACACCCCATGCTTCTCTAGGCCACGAGTGCTCACAGTGCACGGTGCCTGTGGGTACCTTCCAGGCTTTGGTTTGGGGATTCTCCCCATGGCTGCGGCTCCAGCAGTGACCAGCAGGGACAGAGGCGGACAAACGCCCAGTTTTAATTTAGAAGGCAAGGCAAGAAACAATTTGGGATTTGCATTTTATTTGCATTTGTGTGCCCGGACACAGTTGGAGCTTTACAGATGCTTTCGAAGAAATGAAGTGTGTGCATTTTCCCATATTCCGAAAAGGAGAAAGATGACAACCACTTTTTGATGAATTATAGATGATGATGATGATGATGATTATTATTATTATTATTATTATTACTTGAGACAGAGTCTCGCTCTGTCGCCCAGGCTGGAGTGCAGTGGTGCAATCTTGGCTCACTGCAACCTCTGCCTCCCAGGTTCAAGTGATTCTCCTGCTTCAGCCTCCTGAGTAGCTGGGACTACAGGCACGTGCCACCACACCAGGCTAATTTTTGTATTTTTAGTAGAAACGGGGTTTCACCATGTTAGCCAGGATGGTCTTGATCTCCTGACCTCGTGATCCACCTGCCTCAGCCTCCCAAAGTGCTGGGATTACAGGCATGAGCCATCGCACCCGGCCTATAGTTTATTATTAAATTTATTTTATAATAAATCCCTCTCATAGGGATGCCTTGTTCATTTATATTATGTACATTTCATTTGGTTATTCCTTTTTAAGATATAACCTTTTTTTCTTACGAACCACGTTACTCTGAATTTAAGTTCCCTCATCCTGAGGCCTGGGTGTTTGGGTGTTTCGGCTGCCCCTCCTGGCACCTGCTTACCATCTGGAAGCAGCAGCCCCTGATGCTGAGGTTTCACAGTCCTGGCTGAGACCCTGGGACAGCGGCCGAGCACCCAGTCCTGGAGGACACAGGGGAGAGGGCCCTGCCTCCCCGGGCCACAGCCTGGTCAGCTCCGGAGCTTCTCCCTCTCTTGCAGGTTGACCCAGGACTATGTAATGATTTTCATTCCAGGACTTCCGGTAGGTGCCCCTGTTTGCTGAGCGTGGAATCACATTCCCCTAAATTCTGGCTTTTTGCTTTCCCACTCTATCTGCTGCGGAAGATCCCTATCCTGCTGTGACTTCCTGCTGGGCCATGAGGGTGACTGACAAAAGTTCCCGTTGCAGTTGGTGCAAATTGAATTTAAAAAAAATAGTATAACATGTTTTTCTGATTTGAAAATGTTTATTGGAGAAAATACGAAAAGCATGAGGCAGAGAAAATTCAAATCACCTATAATTCTACCACCCAGAGAGAACATATGTTACTATCTCTCTCCAGGATTTGATTTTTTTTGAGATGGAGTCTTGCTCTGTCACCCAGGCTGGAGTGCAGTGGCACAATCTTGGCTCACTGCAACCTCCGCCTCCTGGGTTCAAGCCATTCTCCTGCCTCAGCCTCTGGAGTAGCTGGGATTACAGGCATGCACCACCACGCCTGGCTAATTTTTGTATTTTTTAGTAGAGATGGAGTTTCACCATGTTGGCCAGGCTAGTCTTGAACTCCTGACCTCAAGTGATCTGCCACCTCGGCCTCCCAAAGTGCTGAGATTACAGATGTGAGCCACCGTGCCCGGCCCTCCAGGATTATTTCTATTCACGGGTGTGTGTATTCAAACACACACATAAACACAAATTGGAATGGGATCAGTATGTGTATATTGGGTTATAATACGCTTTTTCCCTTTAAAATATGTCATTAGTCTCTTTATAGGACTAAATAACCTTCCACAATATTAATTCCAAAGGTTATCTGGTACCCATAGTTAGGCCATAACTTATTAACCAATCTCTATTTATAATACGAACTATTATAAATAAGATTTGTGGTAAATATTCTTAAAAAAAAATCTTTGTGAATCATCTTACAGATGGTTTTCAAGGAAACTATCAATTACAGAAATGCATTACTGGAAGTGGACGGCTCAGTGAATGGCTCTTGAGACATATTGCCAAACTACCAATTTCTACTCCCACCAGCAAAAACTTCCACTAGCATAGACTATTATTATTAAAAGATTTCTTCCAATTAGAAATAGTATTAACATGCATTTCTTTTTTCTTTTCTTTTTTTTTTTTTTTTTTTTTTTTTTTTGAGACGGAGTTTTGCTCTGTCATCCAGGCTGGAGTGCAGTGGTACGATCTCCGCTCACTGCAACCTCTGCCTCCCAGATTCAAGCAATTCTGCCTCAGCCTCCCGAGTAGCTGGGATTACAGGCACCCACCATCATGCCCAGCTAATTTTTGTATTTTTAGTAGTGACAGGGTTTCACCATATTGGTCAGGCTGGTCTCGAACTCCTGACCTCAGGTGATCCACTCGCTTCCACCTCCCAAAGTGCTGGGATTACAGGCGTGAGCCACCACGCCTGGCCTGCATTTCTTTTACTGATAATGAAGTTGAACATTTTCTCATGTACTTATTATGTGAATAGCTCTTCGCTTATTTTAGTGGGTTAATCTTTTTCTAAGTATTGTACTTCTTATTAAATAATATCTTAATCCTTTGTCTCAAATATTTTCCAATTTGTCGTTTGCCTTTTATTCTGCTTATGTTTCTGACTTAAAGAATTTTGAGCTGGGCGCAGTGGCTCACGCCTGTAATCCCAGCACTTTGGGAGGCTGAGGCAGGCAGATCACCTGAGGTTGGGAGTTTGAGACCAGCCTGACTAATATGGAGAAACCCTTTCTCTACTAAAAATACAAAATTAGCCGGGTGTGGTGGCGCATGCCTGAAATCCCAGTTACTCGGAGGCTGAGGCAGGAGGATTGCTTGAACCCAGGACGCTGAGGTTGCAGTGAGCTGAGATCCCACCATTGCACTCCAGCCTCACAAGAGTGAAACTCCATCTCAAAAAAAAAAAAAAAGATTTGTGAATGTGTATGTAAGTCCTATTCCTTATGTCTTTAACGAGCTTAAAAGACTTAACCCAGCCGGGCACGGTGGCTCACACCTGTAATCCTAGCACTTTGGGAGGCTGAGGCGGGCAGATCACCTGAGGTCAGGAGTTCGAGACCAGCCCGGCCAACATGGTGAAACCCCGTCTCTACTAAAAATACAAAAATTAGCTGGGCATGATGGCGGGTGCCTGCAATCTCAGCTACTCGGGAGGCTGAGTCAGGAGAATTGCTTGAACCCGGGAGGTGGAGGTTGCAGTGAGCCGAGATTGTGTCACTGCACTTCAGCCTGGGCAACACGAGCGAAACTCTGTCTAAAAAAAAAAGACTTAACCCACTGCAAGATTATATACACATTTGCTTATACTTTTTTGGACCCTTCCAGGGTTTCTATTTTTACATTTAAGATATTAATCCAACTAAAATTTTTTTGAACACCATTTATTACATATTCTCTCCTTTCTGCATTAATTTGTTAATTAATCAACAGTACATCTATCTAGGTCAGTGATTGTATGTCCAGTGACCCGGGGATCTGTATGTCTCTTCTGCAGCCCAGTGCTTCACTGTTTGACTTGCAGCTTAGTGATGCCTGTTACGACTGGCAGTTCTGTGTGCTAGACAGCCCTACCAGGCTCAGCTCACTTTCTGACAGTGTAGCCTCCATGGCACCAGGGGGAATGTTTGGGGCAAGGGAGCTGGGCAGGGAAGAGGTCAGGGTGAAGGTGGGGTGTCCCAACAGTGTGCAGTCCCAGCAGACCCAGCCACACCCACCTCTCTGCCAGGCCAGTGCCATGACCTTTTTGGGGCCTAGCTGGTTACAGATTTTTTTCTGGTTTACGGAAACCCCCTTATAGGGCTGCTCTTCTCCTCTGAGTCTTCCACATAATCCATACTTTGGCTTTTCAGACCGAGGTGATGGCATCTTGTCAACCAGGATTTTTGGGGCTGGGTCGGGGGGAAATGCCCTGTAAAGATGTCACTGTGGTGTCTTCTTTGTCAAGCCAAAGTCCTTCCATAAAATGCAGCTGCAAAAGTTAATTGCCAATAATAGTGACTAATAACACTAACATAGTTATGTTAGTGGCTAACACTTGGAATGCTTAAATGTCCCATATATCATTTGGTAAGCACTTTGCAATATTAACTTTGCAATATTTATGTATGTAAAATATTAAGTGTATATTAAGTACACACACACACACTATTATTATCCCCATTACAGATGAGGAGACAAACTCAGGGAGATTAAGTAACTTGCCCAAGATCACACATCTCAGAAGAGGCAGAGCCAGGAATTAAACCCGGTCTATTCCAGCTCTGTACTCTTAATCAGTACACTATGCTGAAAATAAGTGAAGAGCTACAGGAAGGAATGGGACAAGGGCCCTGGGCTAGGTTTCAGTTGATGCCTATTCTATTCCCCTTAAGAGAGGAGAGAAAGGGTAGGTACAGTGCCCCCCAACACACACACTGCCACGTACACTCCCCTATGGTCCTCCCCAGCCAGGGAAGGGCCCGCCACCCCCGTAGGGTCTTGAACCTGCTTAGCATAGGCTGCCCACGGCCAGCATGTCTCAGTACCTGCCATTCCCTCGTCCGAAGTCACACCTTCAAATCCTGTCTCTAAGGCCAGAACCAAAGTGGGCCCTTCTGTGAACAGGTCCTTGGGTCACTTCTCACCTTCCTAAGCTGATGGAAGCCTGGCTTAGCAGCCGGAAGGCCTACCAGGCACTGTGCACTATGAGCATGTGTGCAAAGAGTACTCTCTCTGAGCCAAAGCATGCCTGCTCATCTCCCCTGTGGCAGAAGGGAGCCCTGAGGGGGCCTCTTCCATAGGCTGGGCCCGAGCATGAGTCCAGGTGGCTGGGTAGGCTTTGGCCGCACCTGAGAGGTCCCAGACATACTTTGATGAAGTAATTTCCCCAATCTGGGGTACTATGTCCTGGAAAGGAATGTCTGTTAATGCTCATTTGGTGAGTTTTGGTCATTATTGTTGATTTGTTTGGGTTTGCTTTTCATACAGGTGATTTTTCTTTACAATCTGCTGGCAAAATATTTGCAAAATCAGGTACAGGTCTTTGGTGTGTGGGGAGGCCCTTCTCCCAGCACACTGCCCTATTCCAGTGGGAGGGGGGCCTGGGGCTTTCCCCTTCTCTCCACCATCTGTGAACCAGCTCTTGAAAGGGGTCACTTCCAACCCACCTGCCATATCCTGACCTCCCGCACAGAGGCAGGTGAGAGGCTGTGCGTCCCAGCCTCTTCCAACTCCTCAACAGGGATGGCTGAAGGGGCAGGAGGAGGAGTCCCCATTCCAAACCCCGGGTTTGTCCATCCTCCATCCATCTCACTCACACCTTAGCAGGGCCAGTTTTCATTTATTTCAGAAGATCACCTGGCCCCAAGTCCTCAGTGGTGTGGTGGGCAACTGTGTCAACGGTGTGGCCAACTATGCCCTGGTTTCTGTGCTGAACCTGGGGGTCAGGTGAGCCCGGGGG
Source organism: Homo sapiens (assembly GCF_000001405.40). NCBI lineage: Eukaryota > Metazoa > Chordata > Mammalia > Primates > Hominidae > Homo > Homo sapiens. The sequence continues at coordinate 19,708,288 of NC_000017.11, read as the reverse complement.
CTGGTGGGGCCTGGTCAGGGGACACTGCCCACTGAGCTCTCCACCCCTGGTGGAGACAGATCAGTCACCATCCTGGCCCTGCCTGTGCCGTCCTGAAGTGGAGGGTTATGGGGAGTTGGAGGGGCCTGATGGTCCCTTGGGGACCTCAGTTTGACGCTTGATTGGGTGAGAGGACAGCCACTCCCCGCTCCTGCCCAAGCCCACCAGGAGAGGTGAAGTGGGCACTGGCAAGGTGGCCCCCAGGACACTGTAGTCACGGCTGCCTTGGTAGAGCCACCATGGCCAGAGGTGCCTGTGGGCCCTGGTTGAGTCTGATCCCAGGATGGGGGAAGAGCAGAGCCATGCCTGCCCCACACGGGCTGGCCGCCAGAGCCACCTCTCTCTCAGGCAGGGCGGTGGCAGAGAGTTGGCATCAGTCGCAGCCCTGTTCTCCCTCCTTACCCAGGGGCTCCGCCTATGCCAACATCATCTCCCAGTTTGCACAGACCGTCTTCCTCCTTCTCTACATTGTGCTGAAGAAGCTGCACCTGGAGACGTGGGCAGGTGGGAGGCCTGGCCTGCTCTGGGAGGCTGAGCAGGCCAGCGGTGGTGCTGCCCTAGCCTTGGGGCAGGGTGGTCAGCAGGCAGAGGGTGCAGTAGAGCCTGTTGGAGGAGGTGCAGGACCCTGCACGGCCCCCTCCTTCCCCTTTGCTTCCCCAGCCCCAAGGGCCCAGAGTCCCTCCACCCAAGGTGTCACGATGCAGAGCCCTGCTGGGTCCATCACAGAAGCCTGGCCCAGGGAGCTTTCTTGCCCAGCCTCTGCTCTCAGGATGGCGGTGAGAGCAGTGACACCCGTGGAATACCAGGCGTCAGCAGTGCGTGGGGTGCCTGACATTCCTGAATTCATTTAAACCTCACCCCACCTCATTAGCCCCATTTTACAAAGAGGAGATTATGACAGACGGAGGTTAAGTAATTTGCTGAAACAGCAGGCGTGTAGGGGCCTGCCTGTCCTTTTCTGCCTCTTGAGAGCCAATCCCATACAAGGACCTTCTCCTGCCAGGCATTTCAGGAACAGCTCTGCAGGCCCCTGGGGCCTCATGTGGGGCAGGGCCCTGGCTGAGCCCCTTCCAAGCTTGCCCAGTGCACCTGTGGTGTGTTTCCCTTCAGCATCCTTGATCTCATGCCGCCTCTGAAAACTCCCCAGGGAGGCAGGGCAGCTATAAGGCCTGGGGTTTTCAGATGGAAATGGAGCCTGCAGAGTGGTGGGTGGTGGAGTGGGGACCAACACCCATGCCCTGAGCCCTGGGGCCACACCGTGGACTGGCCAGGTGAGCCTGGTGCCCTGTTCCTGCATCCTCCTCCTCCGTAGGCCCCAACACCAGCTCTAGACCAGCTGCATTCCCTCTGCAAAATGCCCAGTGCCTGAGCCTGCTAAGCCCCAGAGCAGGAAGAGCCAAAGGGGTTTAGGGGCCTCCTGGCAGTGGGGAGCAGGAATGAGGTGGGCAAGCAGGGCAGGCTGTCAGCTCATGGGGCCTCTGTTTCCAGGTTGGTCCAGCCAGTGCCTGCAGGACTGGGGCCCCTTCTTCTCCCTGGCTGTCCCCAGCATGCTCATGATCTGTGTTGAGTGGTGGGCCTATGAGATCGGGAGCTTCCTCATGGGTACGTGGAAGAGGATGGGGGGCGCAATGGCGTGTGGGCGGCTCACCCAGCCCAGAAGCCCCCTCCCCAGGATGGCGGCTCACCCATCCCAGAAGCCCCCTCCCCAGGATGGCAGCTCACCAGCCCCCTTCCAGCTTCACTGGCCAGGCCCTCAGGCTTGGACCCAGAGAACACCACTGCCCAGCGGGGCTGATCCGTCTGTTGCTGGTCTGCCTCCCCAGTAGGCTGTGAGCATCCAGGAGGCAGACTTGGGCCTTTTGTGCCTGAATCCCAGCATGGGCCAGGCAGAGCAGGTGCCCGTGGGAGGTGGCTGAGGCACGGAGGAGTGAGAGATTCAGTTGGTTTGCGGGTGTGAGCAGAGGTCCAGGCTTGCCAGTGTGAGGCTCCCACCTGCTGCCTTGTGTGTGCTCATTAGAGCACTCGGTGAAGTGAGGACTCCAGGCAGCCTGAATGTGAGAACCCCTGCCCTGCCCCGCATTTGCAGATGAGAAAACGGGGCCCCAAGAACACAGGAACTCCACAAATAGAAAATCAGTGGGAGGGCCAAGAACCGAACTCGAGTTGCCGGACCCTGGTCCTGTTCTCTGTCCCCTCCCTCACACTGCCACCCTGAGTTCATCTGGAAAGACAGACCACACAGGGAAGCCTGCAGGGGCCTCCGGGGCACTGGGCAGAATTTTCCTAACAGGCTGAAGGCCAGGCAGGAATGTCTTTTTGTTGTCATTGTTACCAATCTGCCCTTCAAAATCAGCCGGGCTCAGTGGCTCATGCCTGTAATCCCTGCACTTTGAAAGGCCGAGGTGGGTGGATCACTTGAGGCCAGGAGTTCGAGACCAGCCTGGCCAACATGGCGAAACTCTGTTTCTACAAAAAAATACAAAAATTAGCTGGGTGTGGTGGCACCACCTGTAGTCCCAGCTACTTGGGGGCCTGAGGTGGGAGGATCACCTAAGCCAGGAGGTGGAGGCTGCAGTGAGCTATAATTGCGCCACTGCACTCCAGCTCAAGCGACAGAGTGAGACCCTGTCTCAAGGAAGAAAAAAAAAAAAAGCCCCTGAGTCCCCAAAGCAAAGCAGCGTCCTGTCGGCGCAGGGTCTGGGTGTCTGGGGCTGCGGGCCGGACTCACGGCGGGCCTCTTCTCTAGGGCTGCTCAGTGTGGTGGATCTCTCTGCCCAGGCTGTCATCTACGAGGTGGCCACTGTGACCTACATGGTAAGGCTCCTGCAGGGGTGCCTTCCCCACATCCCCCACCTGATGGCTGGAGGTGTCATAGGAGGGGGGCAGGCTGTCACCTGAAGCTATCTCTGTCTCCCGAAGGACCCTCCCCGGGCCTCTCGTGCCCACCAGGTCCAGACCCTGCTCAGCTTACGCCAGGACTCACACACAGGTGCCCACAACCTGACGACCAAGGGTGATATTTCACTCACAGATGTTGGAATTTTAAAAATTAATTAGTATCATTTTAAAATTGGGAGATTTCACATCACAATCTTATTTTTGGATTTTCTTTAAAAATGCACATTCCAGGCTGGGCGCAGTGGCTCACGTGTGTAATCCCAGTACTTTGGGAGGCTGAGGGCGGATCACAAAGCCAGGAGTTCAAGACCAACCTGGGCAATATGGTGAAACCCCATCTCTACTAAAAATATAAAAAGTTAGCCAGGTATGGTGGCACAAGCCTGTAGTCCCAGCCACTTGGGAGGCTGAGGCAGAAGAATCACTTGAACCCGGGAGGCGGAGGTTGCAGTGAGCCGAGATCGTGCCACTGCACTCAAGCCTAGGCAACAGAGTAAGACTCTGTCTCAAAAAAAAAAAAAAAAAAAAAGCACATTCCATCGAGCAGCAGGCCACATTCCTGCACACTGCAGTCGGCCAGAGCTGGGTGACAGCGTCCCCAGCAGGGCCATGGGCTCTCCTCCACCACAGCCCCCACCTCCCCTCTACTCCCCACAGAGACACAGCCATCGTCTTGCTTATGCAGCCCATGTCACTCGGGTACGCATCTGCATGTTATCCCTGACCCCAGCTTTAAGCAAAGGAGTCACAAAAATCTACATTACAAAATCAATTTAGAGATTCTTATTTTTACAAGTGGTTTCTGCTGAAATATCTTTTTTCTTACAGGGAGCTTTTCTGGGACTAAGACCACAGTCACCTCTTTAAAATCTGTTTACTCATTTGATTTGGACAACACAGTGATTTCGGTTGCAAGGCCCGCCTGCCTGTGCTGCTTCTGATGGCGCAGGTGGTGGTGGGACTGGCTGTGTCACTGGGGGTACCCCCACCCTTCTCCCAGCCCCAGCCCTCCCTGCCTCATTGTCAGCAGCAAGAATGTGACGTGCCTCTTACACTGCATGCCTGAGATCTGCTCTGCCTTCCCGCTCACGTCCCTCTTGGCCCAGGCTGGCTCAGGACTTCAGGGGTTGGAGGGTGGGCCCACTGACAGTGCTTTCTTATCTTTGATCCCAGATTCCCTTGGGGCTCAGCATCGGGGTCTGTGTCCGAGTGGGGATGGCTCTGGGGGCTGCGGATACTGTGCAGGCCAAGCGCTCGGCCGTCTCGGGCGTGCTCAGCATAGGTAGGTGGAGTCCTCTCCTGGTGGGCCTTCAAACGTTGGCCTGAGTCACCAGCCTGGGCCACAGGAAGGCTGGCATGCTGGAGGCAGGGCTGGCCTCGGGAGCTGCCAGGTTTATCTTCCAAGCCTGCTGGACCTGCCATCTGACCCAGGTCAGCCTCTGCTGATAAGCTGACAGCTGCCCCTCCCTGAGCAGCAGGCGTCCCTCCCACCACTTTCTCCCCATCCCCACTCACTCCTTCCCTGCTGCTGTGATTCTGGGACTCTTCTGGAGACAGCTGGCTTCTACCACTTACCTTAGAGCAAACCCTGACTCTTTGACGGCCCTTCCTGCCCAGCACTCTCCTTCCAGCTGTCCAGAGTCCTTCTGCAGGCCTGGCCCTCCCAGCACCCCCATGAGCTTGGCAGCTGCCAACCCACTCTGGAGAAGGAGCCACTCATGTCCTCTGACATCATGGCTGTGCTTTCTGAGACTGGAAGGCTCAGACCGGCTTCCCTGTAGAAAGCAGTGGTTCTTAGGCTGTAGCCTGCGCTGGAATCCCCTTGGAGGGCTGGTCACAGATTGCTGGGCCTCACCAGCAGGCTTTGGTTCAGCAGGTCGGAGGCAGGGTCTGAGAATCTGTTTCTAACAAGTTCCCACGTGATGCTAATGCTGCTGCGCCAGCGTGCCGCCCACTCTGAGAACCACTGGAGTGGAAGCATTTTCCACACTGCCCTTCCTACAAGACTGTCTAGCCCAAATGAACGCCTCAGATGCGGGGGACATGAAGGCCTGTGACAAAAGGCACCTGGTTGCAGAGGGCTGGGCTGACTTGCACTGACATAGGGGCCAGCCCTTTGCTGATCTGAGCAAGGGTGCTTCCTGGCTTGGGGTCTGTCATTGCTGCACCTTTTGTCTCTTCCAGTTGGCATTTCCCTGGTCCTGGGCACCCTGATAAGCATCCTGAAAAATCAGCTGGGGCATATTTTTACCAATGATGAGTAGGTAATCAGTTTTCTGTGCTGACTCTTGGAAAATGTCAAAGTGGTTCCCAGTGTGTCCTCAGATTTATCACATTCCTGGCTCAGTGCTGGGCCCAAAGGAAGCAGGAAGAGCCCAGGCTTGGCTCTCACTGAGAGGAAGCCAACTTCTGTCTATCCACCCCAGGCCTTTAGTGCCTGTCCATAGACAAGAGGCTAATTGAAGGGCAGTCCAAAATTGTGGGGGCTCTTCTGAAGTTTTAGGTGTGACCCACAGACACAGAAAACTCTGGGCTAGCAGTGCCAGTTACATTTGTGTGGGGCAACTACCTCTATTCCAAAGCTTTTTCTTGTGGGGGTGGGGTGTGGAATAGAAGGGATATAAATGGGTCTCAAAGGATACATCTGTGTCTTAATGCTTTCTCATTTCTTCTGCAGAGATGTCATTGCCCTGGTGAGCCAGGTCTTGCCGGTTTATAGTGTCTTTCACGTGTTTGAGGCCATCTGTGTAAGTACCACTTTGATCCAAAGCCTGACTCCCTGGGACATGATTTATGTACTTGTGCCCTCCCCAGGACCTCGCAGGGCTGTGAGGATGAACTTGTTAATACACATGAAGGGCTAACTGTATAGTAAGTGCCCAAAGTATTTGCTGATAATAGTTCCATTCTTATTTCAAACAGTGACTTCCCTCTTCTTCTGCAATTTACACGAGCTCAAAAGTGAATGCAGATTAGCAAAGAACTGAAAAATTGCAGCAGTGTAAAGCCACAAATCTTTTTCTTCCGGATTCCTCATGAGCTGGGACCATGACATTGACCTGTGCCCCAGGCTGGCCAGGAGCTGAATGGCAACCATATCCTGTTGCCAGCACAGAGGGACATTTCTACAAGGGAACGAGCCCACCCAGAACACAGAAGGAACTGGACTTTCTGCTCCTTTGATCACTAAAGGACAGGTGTCATTTAACACAGATTTGAATTATGTAATTTTTTTTTTTTTTTGAGACAGGGTCTCGCTTTGTCACCCAGGCTGGAGTGCAGCAGTGCGATCATGGCTCACTGCAGCCTCAACCTCCTGAGCTCAAGTGATCCTCTCACCTCAGCCTCCTGAGTAGCTGGGACTACAGGTGCATGCCACCACATCCAGCTAATTTTTAAATTTTCGTATTTTTTGTAGAGACAGGGTCACACTATGATAGGTGGAATCCTCTCCTGGTGGGCCTTCCAACGTTGGCCTGAGTCACTAGCCTGGGCCAGAGGAAGGCTGGCATGGTGGAGGCATGGCTGGCCTCGGGAGCTGCCAGGTTTATCTTCCAAGCCCTGGCTGGCCTTGAACTCCTGGGCTCAAGTGATCCTCCCATATCAGCCTCCCAAAGTGCTGGGACAATAGGCATGAACTACTGTGCCCAGCTATGATTTTTTAAAAACACAAGAAAACAACAAAACCCAAAACACTAAACTCTTGCTTAATAAGCAGAATTTGAACTCATAGCTCTCCTACTTTGCATCTGGAGTTACGTGAATTCTTCAGGAACACACCCCTTGCATACATTCCCATAGCTCTGCAGAAGGATATGCCCTTACTTAGCAATACTGGCGCATTCCAGCCCTTTCCCTACCTGGGGAAAAAACACTTGCATAATAATTACCAACTCATTACAAATCTACTGAAAGAAATCATATTTATGGAGGATATTTCCAAAGGCCTCTGTGTACTCCATCCAGTTCGCTAACTATTCTAGGATTTATTTTTGAATATAGCCGGGCATTCAGAAAGCGACAAGCTCGGGCCACATGTTCTTAGCCTCAGCAGAAATTCCCTCTCTGGGCTGTGTTCTGGCATCATATTTGTGGCCTTTATCAAGGAACATTAAATGAAACTACTTTATGGAGCCCATTATTGCTTTTGTCATAGGATACTATTTTTTTTTTTTTTTTTTTTTGAGACAGAGTCTCATTCTGTCGCCCAGGCTGGAGTGCAGTGGTGTGATCTTGGTTCACTGCAACCTCCACCTCCTGGGTTCAAGTGATTCTCATGCCTCAGCCTCCCGAATAGCTGGGATTACAGGCATGCACCCCCATGCCTGGCTAATTTTTGTATTTTTAGTAGAGACAGGGTTTCACCATGTTGGCCAGGCTAGTCTCAAACTCCTGACCTCAGGTGACCCACCCGCCTCGGCTTCCCAAAATGCGCTGGGATTACAGGTGTGAGCCACCGCACCTGGCCTGGATACTGTTAAAAGACACTATTCATACTTTTTCTCTAGTGTCTGGGTGAGACCACACCTGAGAAATCATTCTTGAAATTGAAAGCTAGGAATAGCTTTGCTTTTTTTTTTTTTTTTTTGAGACAGGTCTCACTCTGTCACCCAGGCTGGAGTGCAGTGGTGCCATCTCAGCTCACTGCAGCCTCGACCACCTGGGCCCAAGCAATCCTCCTACCTCAGCCTCCTGAGTAGCTGGGACTACAGGTGTGCACTACCATGCCTGGCTAATTTTCTTTTTAAAGTTTTGTAGAGATGGAATCTTGCCATGTTGTCCAGGCTAGTCTTGAGCTCCTGGGCTTAAGCAGTCCTCCTGCCTTGGCCCCCAAAGTGCTAGGATTACAGGCATAAGCCATGGCACCTGGCCCAGCATTTCTTAAGAAATTAAGTATGCCTCCCCTTCCAGGGGGCAGTAGTTCTCTAGTCACTTGGCTACCAAGAAACTCCGAGTCAGGTTTACAGAGAACAGTTACCAGGGCCTGAGGGCTTGTGTATGTGCAGCCCATCATTTTTCCTCCTGGCTAGTCGGTTTTTTCTTAATTTACATTTTCCATGAGCCTTATTTTTATATTTTGTAAACTTTTAGTGAGTTATAATTTACATATGATAAAATTCATATATAAGTATACAACTCAGTGATTTTAAATGAATTTGGAGTTATGTAACCATCACCACCATCTAGTTTTCCATCACCCCGCAGAATTTCCTGGAGACTGTTTTGTAGTTAATCCCTGCTCCCATCTCCTGCCCTGGGCAATCCACTGCATTGCTTTCTGTCTGTATGAACAATTTCATATAAGTAGGGTCTTATGATATGCAGTCCTGTGTCTGGCTGCTTCTCCTTAGCATACTGTTTTTGAGGTTCATCAATGCTGCAGCATGCGTCACTGCTTCATTCCTTTTATTACCGAGTAGTTCCATTGTATGGAAATACTGCCTTTGTTTATCCATTCATCAGTGGATGGACATTTGGGTTGTTTCTAGTTTTTGCTATCATCAATAATGCTGTTTAGAATGTTCACGTGGAAGTCTTTGTGTGGATTTGTTTTCATTTCTTTTAGTAGAGTTCTGGGAGTTGAACTGTTAAGTCAAATGATAACTTTATTTTTAGCTTTTTAAGAAACTGCCAGCCAGGTGCAGTAGAGCTCATGCCAGCATACCAGTGCTGGTAATCCCAGCACTTTGGGAGGCTGAGGTGGGAGGATCATTTCAACCAAGGAGTTTGAGACCAGCCTGGGCAACATAGGGAGACCCTATCTCTACAAAAGTTTTTAAAAATTAGCTGGGGGAGGGGGTCGGCGGGGAGGCGGGGTTGGCACACACCTATAGTCTTCGCTACTTGGGAGGCTGAGGCAGGAGGATTGCTTGAGCCCAACAGTCCAAGGCTATAGTCAGCTATGATTATACCACTGCACTCCAGCCTGGGCAACAGAGTGAGACCCCCATCTCTAAAAATAAAGTAAAATAAAAAATTTTAAAAAGTCACGGTGTAACCCAAATTCACCTAAATTTTCTATTATTTTGTAGGAGTTTTATACTTTTGCATGTTGCTTTTATGTCTGTGGTTTTAACTTTTGTAAAACAGGATATCTAAATTCATTATTTTGTATGTGGATGTCCAGTTGTTCCAGTACCATTTCTTGGAAAAAAAAAACTAGGCTTTCTCCAGTTGCCTTTGCTCCTTTGTCAAAATCAGTTGACTGTATTTGTATGGGTCTATTTCTGGGCTCTCTCTTCCATTCCAGTGATCTTTTTTGTCTATTCTTTCACCAATAGAATCATTCCTAGGTATCCTTGGGCAATTGGTTCCAGGACCCCGCAAGGTACCAAAATCCACAGATGCTCAAGTTCCTGATATAAAACGGCAGAGAATTTGCCTATAACCTATGCCCATCCTCCTATGAGTTTAAATCATCTCTAGATTACTTATAATTCCTAGTACAATGTAAAAGCTATGTAACAGTTGCTATGCTGTTTATTTTTTTATTGTTGTATTATTGTTTTTCAAATATTTTTGATCCATGGCTGGTTGCATCCACGGATGCAGAAGCTGTGGGTATGGAGGGCTGGCTATATACTTAACACTGCTGACCTGTACACTTAAAAACATTTAAGACAGCACATTTTATGTGTATTTTATCAAAATTAAAAGAATTTTTTTTAATCAACCCTGACATAAAGTATTGATACAAGGCTGGGTGCAGTGGCTCATGCTTGTAATCCCTGGACTTTGGGAGGCTGAGGCAAAGGAGGTCCTCACTTGAGGTCAGGAGTTCAAGACCAGCCTGGCCAACATGGCGAAACCTGTCTCTACAAAAAATACAAAAATTAGCCAAGCATGGTGGCACATGTCTGTAATCCCAGGTACTCCAGTGGCTGAGCATGAGAATTGCTTGAAGCCGGGAGGTGGAGGTTGCAGTAAGCCAATATTGCGCCACTGTACTCCAGCTTGGATGACAGAGCAAGACTCTGTCTCAAAAAAATAAATAATAAAAAAAGTACTGATACGAGAAGTAACTGAGCTAACATGTATGAAAGTGTCTGAAACACAGTAGCCATTTAATAGACATTAGGGTTGACTATAATGCAACAGACAAGACCTTGTGGACAACTTTACCATGCTGTCTTGATCACTGCAGCTTTATAGTAATTCTCGAAATTGGGTAGTATCACTCCTCCAACATCGCTTTTCTTTGTAAATGTTGCGTTTTGAGTCTTTTCCCTTTCTACATAAGCTTTAGAATCAGTTTGTCAATATCTACAAAACAAGCTGCTGGATGGCTTTTCCTTTCTTGTTGCAGCCATCCCAGTGGGGATATGCTACTATGTCACTGTGGTCTCAGTGTGCATTTCTCTAATGACGAGCCCCTTTTTGTGTGTTTATCATTCATTCATATGTAGCCTTCAGTGAAATTTCTATTTTAGTCTTTTGCCCATTTTAAAAATTAAGTAGGCTAGGTGTGATGACTCAAGTCTATAAAACCATCACTTTGGGAGGCTAAAGAAAGAGGTTGGCTTGAGCCCGGGAGGTCAAGACCAGCCTTGGTGACATGGCAAGATACCATCTCTACAAAACATTAAAAAAAAAAAAAAAAGCTGGGCATAGTGGTGCATATCTGTAGTCCCAGCTACTAGGGAGGCTGAGGTGGGAGGATAGCTTGTGCCCAGAAGTTCAAGGCTGCAGTGAGCTATGACTGCATCACTGCACTCTGGGCTGGGTGACAGAGCAAGGCCCTGTCTCAATCTACAAAATAAATAAAACAAATTTTAAAAATATGAAAATATAATATTTGGTAGCTGGTTGTATTTGCTTGCTAAGTGCTTTGGTTTGAATGTGTCCTCCGAAGTTCATATGTTTATGTAACAGTGTTGAGAGATAGAACTTTTTTTGGTTGTCTTTTTGTTTTTTTGAGACAAAGTCTCATGATGTCACCCAGGCTGGTCTTGAACTCCTGGCCTCAAGCAACCCTCCTGCCTCAGTCTCCCAAAGTGTGCCCTGTCGAGGTGGGACCTTTAAGAGAAGGATTAATGTCATTATCTTTTTCCTTTGAGACGGAGTCTTGCTCTGTCTCCCAGGCTGGAGTGTAGTAGCACGATCTCAGCTCACTGCAAGCTCCACCTCCCGGGTTCATGCCATTCTCCTGCCTCAGCCTCCCGAGTAGCTGGGACTACAGGCATGCACCACCTACACCTGGCTAATTTTTTTTATTTTTATTTTTAGTAGAGACAGGGTTTCACCGTGTTAGCCAGGATGGTCTCGAACTCCTGACCTCGTCATCCGCCCGCCTCAGCCTCCCAGAGTGCTGGGATTACAGGCGTGAGCCACCACGCCTGGCCTTAATGTCATTATCTTAAGAGCAGGTTAGTTATTTCAAGAGTCGGTTCCTGACAAAAGGATGAGTCTGGCCCCCTTCCCCTCTTTCTTGTGTGCTCTTTTGCCCTTCAGGCATTGGGATGATACAGCAAGAAGGCCCTCAACAGATGTTGTCACTTGATCTGGGACTTCCCAGCCTCCAGAACCGTGAGCCAAATAAATTTCTGTTCATCATAAATTACTCAGTCTAGGGTATTATGTTATAGCAACACAAAATGGACTAAGACACTAGCACTGCCATAACAAAGTACCAAAAATTGGATGGCTTACATAACAGAAATTTACTGTCTTACAGTTCTGGAGACCAGATATCCTAAATCAAGGTGTCAGCAGGGTCATACTTATACTTCCTTTGAAGGCACTAAAGAAGGATCTGTTCTGGGCCTCTCTTCTAGCTCTGGTAGCCTCAGGGGTTTCTTGGATTGTAGATGGTCATCTTTTCCCTGTCTCTTCAAGTCTTCCTTCCATGTCTGTCTCTGTCCAAATTCTCTCTATTTTTTTTTTTTTTTTTTGAGATGGAGTCTTGCTATGTTGCCAGGCTGGAGTGCAGTACTGCAATCTGGCCTTACTGCAACCTCCACCTCCTGGGTTCAAGCAATTCTCCTGCCTCAGCCTCCCAAGTAGCTGGGACTACAGGTGCGCACCACTCTGCCTGGCTAATTTTTTTTTTTTTTTTTGTATTTTAGTAGAAATGGGGTTTCACCATGTTGGCCAGGATGGTCTTGATCTCCTGATCTCATGATCTGCCCACCTCGGCCTCCCAAAGTGCTGGGATTACAGGTGTGAGCCACCGCACCAGGCCCAAATTCCCTCTTTTAATAAGGACACCAGTCATATTGGATTAGGGCCTACCTTAATGACTCCATCTTAACTTGATCATCAGCAAAGGCCTTATTTCCAAATAAGGTAACATTCACAGGTACTGAGAGTTAGAATTTCAACATCTTTTGGCCAGACACAGTGGCTCACACCTGTAATCGCAGCACTTAGGGAGGCTGAGGTGGCAGATCACCTGAGGTCAGGAGTTCAAGACCAGCCTGGCCAAAATGGTGAAACCCCCATCTCTACTAATAATACAAAAATTAGCTGGGCGTGATGGCACACACCTGTAATCCCAGCTACTCAGGAGGCTGAGGCAGGAAAATTGCTTGAACCTGGGAGGTGGAAGTTGTAGTGAGCCAAGGTTGTGCCATTACACACCAGCCTAGATGACAAGAGCGAAACTCCACCTTAAAAAAAAAAAAAGGAATTTCAGTATCTTTTGTGGGAGACACAATTCAACCCATAACATTTATTATTAGTTATAAGAGTTCTTTATATATTCTGGATACAAGTCCTTTATCAAGCTTTATGATTTGCAAACCCAGGCTGTGGCTTATCTTTTTAAATTAAATTTTATTTTTTAAATTCACAGATAAATATATTTATGGTATACATTTTTTCTTTTTTTTTTTTTTGCTGTTTTTTTTTTTTGTTCTTTGTTTTTTTTTTAAGACAGGTCTCACTCTGTTGCCCAGGCTGGAGTGCAGTTGGCACCATCATAGCTCACTACAGAACTCCTGGGCTCAGACCATTCTCCCACCTCAGCCTCCCAAAGTGCTGGGATTACAGGCATGAGCCAATGCACCCAGCCACTATGTTTGTATATATGTAAACATTTCACTATGTTTAGACATTGTGAAATGGCTAAATCAAGCTAATTAACATATGCATTACCTTACATAATTCTAATTTTCTTGTGGTGAGAACATTTAAAATATACTATTACCAATTTTCAAGTATACAATAGTTAACATGTTGTACAGTAGGTCTCTTAAACTTTTTCTTCCTGTCTAACTGAATCATTTTCTTAATGGTATCTTTTGAGTTGCAAAAGTTTTCACTTTCAATGTAGTCCAATTTCTTAATTTCTTTTATGGCTCATGCTTTTGCTATTTTATATATAAGAACTCTGCCTAACCCAAGGTCACAAAGATTTTCTCCTCTGTTTTCTTTAAAAAGTTTTAATGTTAAGTCTTTCTTACATTTAGGTTTATGATCCTTTTTTTTTTTTTTTTGAGATGGAGTCTTGCTCTTTTACCCGGGCTGGAGTGCAGTGGCACAATCTGGGCTCACTGCAACCTCTGCCTCCCGGGTTCAAGCGATTCTTCTGCCTCAGCCTCCTGAGTAGCTGGGACTACAGGTGTGTGCCACCTCGTCCGGCTAATTTTTGTATTTTTAGTAGAGATGGGGTTTCACCATGTTGGCCAGGCTGGTTTCGAATTCCTGACCTCGTGATCCACCCGCCTTGGCCTCCCAAAGTGCTGGGATTACAGGTGTGAGCCACAGCGCCTGGCCTCTGATCCATTTTTAGTTCATTTTTGTGTATAATATGAGGTAAGGGTTTAAATTCATTTTTTACATATGGATATCCAATTGTCCTGGCACCATTTGTTAGCACATGAAAGACTCATTTCTCCAGTACTAAGTTTCTTGGAAACACAGTTGAAAATCAACTGACCATAAATGTAGTGGTTTACTTCTGAATTCACAATTCCGTTCCATTGATTTATGTCTATGCTATGCCATTGTGACAGTCTTAATTACTGTAGCTTTACAGGGAGTTTTGTAATCAGGTACTATTAATATACCAACTGTTCTTTTCTGTCCCCAAACTCTTTTGACTCTTTTAGGTCCTTTGCATTTTTGTATGTATTTTAGAATCAGCTTATCAATTCCTACTAAAAAGCATGCTGAGATTTTGAAAAGAATTGTGTTGAATCTATAGATCAATTTGGACAGAACTGTCATCTTAACAATATTGAGGCCTCCAATCCATGGGCACAGAATGTCTCTAGTTATTTAGAACTTCTTTATCTCGGCAATGTTTTATAGTCTTCAATGGACAAATCTTATACTTCTTTTGTTAAATTTATCCCAAAGAATTTTATTCTTTGGATGCTACTGTGAATGAAATTGTTTTCTTAATTTCATTTTAGATTGTTCATGTTTATAAAAAATCAATTGATTTTTTGATTATTGATCCTTTATCCTGTGACCTTGTTCTAATAGTTTGTGTGTCTGAGCTCCTTAAGATTTTCTACATGTAGGATCATGTCATCTGTGAATAGACACTTTTACTTCTGCTTTCCAATTTGGGGAGAACCTCCAATACAATGTTGTTTTGTTTTGTTCTGAGACGGAGTCTCGCTCTGTCGCCCAGGCTAGAGAGCAATGGCGCGATCTTGGCTCACTGCAAGCTCCGCCTCCCAAGTTCAAGCGAGTCTCCTGCCTCAGCCTCCCAAGTAGCTGGGACTACAGGCACGCAACTCCGTGCCTGGCTAATTTTTATTTATTTATTATTATTATTATTATTATTATTTTTAGTAGAGACGGGGTTTCACCATTGGCCAGGGTGGTCTCCAACTCCTGACCTAAGGTGATCCACCCTCCTCAGCCTCCCAAAGTGCTGGGTTTACAGGTGTAAGCCACTGTGCCCAGCTCTCCAGTACAATGTTGAATCCAAGTGTAAAGAGCATACATCTGAGCCTTGATTCCACTATTAAGGGGAAAGTATTCGAAGTATTCAGTCTTTCTGTGTTAAATTTTATCTGTAGCATTTCCCTAAATGCCCTTTTTCAAGTTGAGAAAGATCCCTTCTAATTCCTAGTTTGTTGAGATATCTCATAATTGGGTGCTAGATTTTGCGGAATGCTTTTTCTGCTTCTATTGAGATAATCATGTGGTTTTGTTCTTTATTAATATGGTGTTTTGCATTAATTGTTCTTTATTAATATGCTGTTTTGTATTAATTGATTTTCAGGTGTTATACCTTGCATTTCTGGGATAAACCTCTTTTTTTTTGAGACAGAGTCTCACTCCGTCGCCAGGCTGGAGTGCAGTGGCGTAATCTGGGCTTACTGCAATCTCTGCCTCCCGGGTTCAAGCAATTCCCCTGCCTCAGCCTCCCAAGTAGCTGGGATTACAGGCACGCACCACCACACCTGGCTAATTTTTGTACTTTGAGTAGAGATGGGATTTCACCATGTTGGCCAGGATGGTCTTGATCTCCTGACCTCGTGATCCACCTGCCTCGGCCTCCCAAAGTGCTGGGATCAGAAGCATGAGCCACTGCGCCTGGCCCGGATAAACCTCTCTTGATCATGGTGTATATATTTTCTGTATATTACTAAATTTGGTTTGCTAATATTTTGTTAAAAATTCTGAGTCTGTGTTCATGAGGAACATTTGTAATTTTTATTTTTTGTTATCTTGATCTGGCTTTTGTGTAAGGGTAACATTGGCTTTACAGAATGAGTTTGGAAGTATTCTCTCCTCCAGTACTTTCTAAAAGAGTTTGTGAAGAACTGACATTATTTCTTGTTTAAATATTGAATACAATTCATCGGTAAGGTCATGTGGGCTTTGGCTTTTGTCAGAAGAGTTTAAATTATAAATTCAATCTATTTACTTGGTATAGGTCTATTCAGATTTCCTATTTCTTGTTAAGTTAGTTTCAGTAATTTGTGCCTTTCTAGGAATTTACTCACTTCACCTTAATTGTTTAATTCCTTTGCATGAAGTTGCTCTTCATATTTCCTTTAATTTTCTTCTTTATGGTCAGCAGTGATGCTCTCATTTTCATTTCTGATTTTGGTAATCTATGTCTAACTCTCTTTGTTTTTTGGTTTTATTTTACCAAGATCAGATCCTTGGTAAGCGTGGGTCAATTTTATGGATCTTTTCTTTTTCTTTTTTTTTTTTTTGACATGGAGTCTCGCTCTGTTGCCCAGGCTGGAGTGCAGTGGCACGATCTTGGCTCATTTCAACCTCTGCCTTCCGAGTTCAAGCGATTCTCCTGCGTCAGCCTCCTGAGTAGCTGGGACTACAGGTGCCCACCACCACATCTGGCTAATTTTTATATCTGTGGTAGAGACGGGGTTTCACCATGTTGGCCAGGCTGGTCTCGAATTCCTGACCTTATGATCTGCCCACCTAGGCCTCCCAAAGTGCTGGGATTACAGGCGTGAGCCACTGCGCCAGCCAATTTTATGGATCTTAAGAACTAACTTTTGTTTTTATTAATTTTCTCTGGTTGTTTATTTATCTTAATAGGTACATATTAGATGTATATATTTATGGGGTACATGAGATATTTTGATAAGGCATGCAATGCCTAATAATCAGGATAAATGGGGTTTTCATCACCTCAAGCATTAATCATTTCTTTGTGCTACAATCAATCCAATTATACTTTTATTTTAAAATGTATAATAAATTATTGTTGCCTATAATTACGCTGTTGTGCTGTCAAATGCTAGATCTTATTCATTCTATCTAACTACATTTTTGTACCCATTAACCATCCCCATTCCCTCTCCCACTATCCATCCCAGCCTCTAGTAACCATCATTCTATTCACTATCTCCATGAGTTCAATTGTTTTAATTTATGTCTCCTACAAACGAGTGAGAATGTACAAAGTCTGGCTTTCTGTGCCTGGCTTATTTCACCTAACATAATTTCCTCCAGGTCCATGCATGTTGTTGCAAGTGACAGGATCCTATTCCTTTTTATGGCTGACTAGTACTCCATTGTATATACGTGCCACATTTTCTTCATCCATTCATCTGTTCATGGATACTTAGGTTGCTTGCAAATCTCGGCTATTGTGAATAGTGCAATAAATATGGGAGTGCAGGTATCTCTTCGCTATACTAATTTCCTTTCTTTTGAGTATATACCTAGCAGGATTGCTGGATCACGTGGTAGTTCTTAGTTTTGTGAGGAACTTCCATACTGTTCTCCACAGTGGCTGTACTAATTTACATTCCCACCAACAGTGTACAAGGGCTCCCTTTTTTTTTTTTTAGACGGAGTTTCGCTCTTGTTGCCCAGGCTGGAGTACAATAGCGCAATCTCGGCTCACTGCAACCTCCGCCTCCCAGGTTCAAGCAATTCTCCTGCCTCAGCCTTCCCGAGTAGCTAGGATTATAGGCATGCACCACTACGCCCAGCTAATTTTGTATTTTTTTTAGTAGAGAAGGGGTTTCTCCATGTTGGTCAGGCTGGTTTAGAACTCCCGACCTCAGGTGATCCGCCCACCTCGACCCCCCAAGGTGCTGGGATTACAGGCCGTGAGCCACCGTGCCCGGCCAAGGGGGGTTCCCTTTTCTTCATGTCCTCCCTAGCATCCATTAGTGCCTGCCTTTTGAATAGAAGCCATTTTAACTGGGGTGAGATGATATCTCATTGTAGTTTTGATGTGCATTTCTCTAACGATCAGTGATGTTGGGCATCTTTTCATATATGTTTGCCATTTGTATGTCTTCTTTTGAGAAATGCCTATTCAGATCTTATACATTTTAGGATTATTTTTTCTATTTCTGTCCATTTTTAAATCGGATTAGATTTTTTTCTATAGAGTTGTTTGAGCTCCTTATATATTCTGGTTATTAATCTCTCATCAGATTGATAGTTTGCAAATATCTTCTCCCATTCTGTGGGTGGTTTCTTCACTTTGTTGATTGTTTCCTTTGCTGTACAGAAGCTTTTTAACTTGATGTGATCTCATTTATCCATTTTTGCCTTGGCTGCTTGTGCTTTGGGGGTATTATTCAAGAAATCTTTGCCCAGATCAATTTCCTGGAGAGTTTTCCCAAAGTTCTTCTTCTAGTAGTTTCATGGTTTGAGGTCTTCAGTTCAAGTCTTTAGTCCATTTTGAATTGATTTTTGTATACGGTGAGAGATAGGGGTCTAGCTTCATTCTTCTACGTATGAATATCCAGTTTTCCTGGCATTATTTATTGAAGAGACTGTCCTTTCCCCCATGTATGTTCTTGGCACCTTTGTCAAAAATGAGTTCACTGTAGATGCATGGATTTACTTCTGGGTTCTCTATTCCGTTCCATTAGTCTGTGTGTCTATTTTTATGCCAGTACTATGCTGTTTTGGTTACTACAGCTCTGTAGTATAATTTGAAGTTAGGTAATGTCATTCCTCCAGTTTTGTTCTTTTTGCTCAGGATGGCTTTAGCTATTCTGAGTCTTTTGTGGTTCCATATAAATTTCAGTATTATTTTTTCTATTTCTGTGAGGAACATCATTGGTATCTTAATAGGGATTACATTGAATCTGTAGAATGCTTTGGGTAGTATGAACGTTTTAACAATATTAATTCTTCCAATCCATGAACATAGAATATCCATTTTTTGTGTGTCCTCTTCAATTTGTTGCATCAATGTTTTATAGTTTTCATTGTAGGGATCATTCATTTCTTTTTCTTTTTTTTTTTTTTTGAGACAAGGTCTCACTCTGTCACTTAGGCTGGAGTGCAGTGGCATGATCATGGCTTACTGCAGCCTTGACCTCCTGAGCTCAGGTGATCCTCTCACTTCAGCCTCCTGAGTAGCTGGGACCATGGGTGCATGTCACCACACCCAGATAATTTTTGTATTTTTTGTGGAGACAGGGTTTCGCCATGTTGCCCAGGCTGGTCTTGAACTCCTGGTCTCAAGAGACCCACTCACCTTGGACTCCCAAAGTGCTAGGATTACAGGCATAAGCCAGCGTGCCTGGCCATCTTTCATTTCTTTGATTAAGTTTATTCCTAAGTATTTTACTTGTAGCTATTGTAAATGGGAATACTCTCTTGATTTTTCAGATTGTTTGCTGTTGGCATACAGAAATGCTACTGATTTTTGTATGTTGATTTGTTGGATTTATCAGTTCAAATAGTTGTTTGGTGGGGGTCTTTAGGTTTTTCCAAATATAAGATCCTATCATCTGGGCCAGACATGGTGGCTCACAACTGTAATCCCAGCATTTTGGGAGGCTGAGGCAGGAGGACTGCTTGAGGCCAGGAGTTTGAGACCAGCCTGGGCAACACAGTGAGACCCTATCTCTCCAAAAAGATTTTTAAGTTAGCCAGGAATGGTGGTACATCTCTACTAAAATAAAAAAGTAACCAGGTATGGTGGTGCATGCCTGTAGTCCTAACTACTTGAGAGGCTGAGGTGGGAGGACTGCTTGAGCTCAAGAGGTCAAGGCTGCAGTAAGCTGTGAATGCACCATTGCACTCCAGTCTGGATGACACAGCGAGACCCTCTCTCTTAAAAAAAAAAAAAAAGATATCACCAGCGGGGCACAGTGACTCACGCCTGTAATCCCAGCATTTTGGGAGGCCGAGGTGAACAGATCATTTGAAGTCAGGAGTTCAAGACTAGCCTGGCCAACATGGTGAAACCTTGTTTCTACTAAAAAAAATACAAAAATTAGCCAGGCTTTGTAGTGCAGGCAGTGCAGTGTAATCCCAGCTACTTGGGAGGATGAGGCAGAGAAGTCCCTGAACCCTCCAGCCTGGGCAACAGAGCGAGACTCCATCTCCAAAAACAAAACAAACAAACAAAAAAGATGATATCACCTGCGAACAAGGATAATTTGATTTCCTTTTCAATCTGGATGCACTTTCTTTCTCTTGTCTGCTCTAGCTAGGACTTCCAGTACTATTTTGAATAACAGTGGTGAAAGTGGGTATCCTTGTCCTGTTCTAGATCTTAGAGGGAAGGCTTCCAATTCTCCCGTTTGGTATGATACTAGCTGTGGGTCTGTTGTATAAGGCTTTTATTGTGTTAATGTTCCTCCTATACCCAGTTTTTTTGAGTTTTTTTTTTTAATCATGAAGGGATGTTGAATTTCATCAAATGCTTTTCAGCATCAATTGAAATCATATGGTTTTTGTCCTTAATTCTCTTGATATGATGTATCATACTGATTGGTTTGCATATGATGAACCATCCTTATATCCCAGAGATAAATCCCACTTGGTCATGATAAATTTGGTATGCTAGTATTTTTGTTGAGAATTTTTGTATCAATGTTTATCAGGGATACTGGTCTGTAGTTTTCTTTTTTTTGATGTGTCTTTGGTTTTGGTATCAAGATAATACTGGCCTCATTATAGAATGAGTTTGGAAATATTCCTCCCTCCTTTATTTTTTTGAACAGATTTAATAGGACTGGTATTGGTTCTTTAAGTGTTTAGTAAAATTAAGCAGTGAAGTCATTGGGTCCTGGGCTTTTGCTTGCTAGGAGACTTATGATTACACTTGATCTTAGCCAAAAGGCTGAGAAGTGATAGGAGACTTATTATTACAGCTTCAATCTCATTATTTGTTATTAGTCTGTTCAGGTTTCAGATTTGTTCATGGTTGCATTTTGGTAGGTTGTATGTGTCTAGGAATTTATCCAGTTCTAGGTTTTCCAATTTATTGGTATACAGTTGCTCATAGTAACGTTTAACAATCCTTTGCATTTCTTGGTATTAGTTATGTCTCCTTTTTCACTTCTGATTTTATCTGGATCTTTTCTCTTTTTTTTCTTCATCTGGCTAAAGCTTTGTCTATTTTGTTTATTTTTTCAAAAAAACAACTTTTCATTTCATTGATCTTTTGTATTTTTTTGGTCTGTTTCCATTTAACTTATTTCTGCTCTGACCTTTATTCTTTCTTTTCTTCTACTAATTTTGGGTTTGGTTTGCTCTTGCTTTTCTATGTTTCTGGCTGGCCTCACAGGACACAGACTACTAATTTTGGGTTTGGTTTTCTCTTGCTTTTCTAGTTCTTTAAGATGCATCATTAGGTTATTTATTAGATGTTTTTCCACTTTTTGACGTAGGTGTTTATTCCTATAAACTCTCTTAGTACTGCTTTCATTGTATGACATACGTTTTGATATGTTGTTTCCATTATCATTTGTTTCAAGAAATTTTAAAAATTTCCTTAATTTCTTCATTGACCCACTGGTCATTCAGGAGCATATTAATTTCCATGTGTTTGTATAGTTTCCAAAATTCCTCTTGTTATTGATTTCCAGTTTTATTTCACTGTGGTCAGAGAAAATACCTGATAGGATTTCAATTTTTTCTGAATTTTTTAAGACTTGTTTTGTGACTCAAATATGGTCTGTCCTTGAGAATGATCCATATGTTGAGGAGAAGAATGTGTATTCTGCAGCAGCTGAATGAAATCTTTTGTAAATATCTATTAGGTCTATTTAGTCTCTAGGGCAGATTAAGTCCAATGTTTCTATGTTGACCTTCTGTCTGGATGATCTGTCCAGTGTTGCAAGTGGGATGTTGAAATCTCTAGCTATTATTGTATTGAAATATATTTCTCTCTTTAGTTCTAATAACATCTGCTTTATATATCTGGGTTCTCCAGTGTTGGGTACATATATATTTATAAATGTGATATTCTCTTGCTGAACTGACCCCCTTTATCGTTATACAATGACCTTGTCTCTTTTTACAGTTTTGGTCTTGAAATCTATTTTATCTAAGTATAAACTACTCCTGATCACTTTTGGTTTCAATTTGCATGCAATATCTTTTTCCATCTCTTTATTTTCAGTCTATGTGTGTCTTTGTAGGTGAAGTGTGCATCTTGTAGGCAACAGATCATTGGGTTTTGTTTTTTATCCATTGAGCCACTCTATGTCTTTTGACTAGAGAGTTTTTAGTTCATTTACATTCGATGTTATTATTGATAAGTTAGGACTCAGTCCTGCCATTTTATTATTTATTTTATGGTTTGGTGGTCTTCTCTTCCTTTCTTCTTGTCTTCCTTTTTGTGAAGGTGATTTTCTCTGGTAGTATACTTTTTATTTTTTGTGTATCTTTTGTAGGTTTTTGATTTGAGGCTACCATGAGGCTTGCAATATTATTTATTTATTTGAGACAGGGTCTCGCTCTTGTAGCCCAGGCTGGAGTGCAATGGTGTGATCTTGGCTCACTGCAACCTCTGCCTCCTGGGTTCAAGCGATTCTCCTGCCTCAGCCTCCTGAGTAGCTGGGACTACAGGTGCTCACCTCCATGCCCGGCTAATTTTTGTATTATTAGTAAAGACAGGGTTTCACCATGTTGGCCAGGCTGGTCTTGAACTCCTGACCTCAGGTGAGGTCTTTTGCTTTTGCCTCCCAAAGTGCTGGGATTACAGACATCAGCCACTGTGCCTGGCCAATAATCCATTATTTTTAAACTAGTGACAACTAAATACTGATTGCAAAAACAAACAAGCAGAGAAAATTAAGAAAAACTTTAACTTCATCCCCTGCTGTTTCTTAACTTTGTTGTTTCTATTTATATCTTACACTATGTCTTGAAAAGTAGTTTATTTATTTATTTATTTATTTAGTATTTATTGATCATTTTTGGGTGTTTCTCAGAGAGGGGGATGTGGCAGGGTCATAGGATAATAGTGGAGAGAAGGCCAGCAGATAAACACCAGAACAAAGGTCTCTGGTTTTCCTAGGCAGAGGTCCCTGCGGCCTTCGGCCCTGTTTGTGTCCCTGGGTACTTGAGATTAGGGAGTGGTGATGACTCTTAATGAGCATGCTGCCTTCAAGCATCTGTTTAACAAAGCACATCTTGCACCGCCCTTAATCCATTTAACCCTCCCAGACGGGGCGGCCAGGCAGAGGCGCTCCTCACCTCCCAGATGGGGCGACTGGGCAGAGGCACTCCTCACTTCCCAGACGGGGCGGCCAGGCAGAGGGGCTCCTCACATCCCAGATGATGGGCGGCCAGGCAGAGACGCTCCTCACTTCCTAGACGTGGTGGCAGCCAGGCAGAGGCGCGCCTCACTTCCCAGATGGGGTGGCCAGGCACAGGGGCTCCTCACATCCCAGACGATGGGCAGCCAAGCAGAGACGCTGCTCACTTCCTAGATGGGGTGGCGGGCGGGCAGAGGCTGTAATCTTAGCACTTTGGGAGGCCAAGGCAGGCAGCTGGGAGATGGAGGTTGTAGCAAGCCGAGATCACGCCACTGCACTCCAGCCTGGGCAACATTGAGCATTGAGTGAGCGAGACTCCGTCTGCAATCCCAGCACCTCAGGAGGCCGAGGCGGGCACTTCACCCGAGGCTAGGAGCTGGAGGCCAGCCCGGTCAACACGGCGAAACCCCATCTCCACCAAAAATACAAAAACCAGTCAGGAGTGGCAGCGCGTGCCTGGAATCCCAGGCACTCGGCAGGCCGGGGCAGGAGAATCACCGGAGCCTGAGGCAGGGAGGTTGCAGTGAACCGAGATCATGGCAGTACAGTCCAGGCTCCGCAAGAGAGGGAGACCGTAGAAAGAGGGAGATGGAGAGCGAGAGCAAGAGCGGGAGGGAGAGGGAGAGGGAGAGGGCGAAAAGTAGTTTTTTTAATAGATGCATGTTTTAGTCTTCTGCTGTTTATTTCAATGATTTCACACTAATCTTTTATCTATTTATTTTTTAACTTTTAATTTTTTTTTTTTTTTTGTAGAAAGAGTCTTGCTATATTGCCCAAGCTGGTCTCTAACTCCTGGCCTCAAGCAGTCCTCCTGCCTTGGCCTCCCAAAGTGCTGGGATTACAGGTGTGAGCCACCATGCCTGGCCCACACTAATCTTTTACATTCTTATCCTTTTACTTCATTTAGGTATAGTTTGTTCTTCTTTACTAGCTTCTTAGGGTAGAATAGTAGGTCATTGATTCGAGACCTTTCTCCCTTTCCAATATAGGCATTTGAAGCTGTACATTTCCCTCTAAGCATTGCCTTAGTTGCATCTAATAAATTTTGATGTTCATCAAAATTTTCAAGTTTGAAATATTTTTAAATTTCTCATGTGATTTATTCTTTGACTTATGGTTTAGAAGTGCATTTAATTTCCAAATATTTGGGGTTTTATTTCTGGCAGGCATCTCTAATTTAATTCTGTTGTGGCCAGAGAACATACTTTGTATGAATTCAGTCTTTCAAAATTTGCCAGGCATGATGGAATGTGCCTGTAGTCCCAGGTACTCAGGAGACTGAGATGAGAGCACTACTTGAGCCTAGGAGTTCAAGACCAGCCAGGGTAACATAGCAAGACTCCATCTCTTAAAAAAGATTGTTTTAAGTTTAGTTTATTGAGATTTGTTTTGTGGCCTACCGCAGGTCTATCCTGGAGAATGCTGCATGTGAGACCCAAGGAATGTCATTGTGTTGGTTAAGTAACTTGCTTAGACTGATTCTGTGACTCCTGTCTCCTCTACAATGTACAGCTGCTGATGTCTCTTGCTCAGTTTTTTCCCCCTTGTTCTTATTTTTTTAAGTCTAGCTTTCTAGTTTAAAATGTTCTTTCTAGGATTAAAAATGTCTGCAGAGCTTAGTGTTCAGCCAATTACTGGTCAGAGACTGTGTTCAACACCTCTGATAGCTAGCAAAGCTTCCATTCTCTGCTGACAGATCCATGTGTGGGCTAGAGACGTATTCAGAGTTCCAGCTGTTTTCAAGTGAGTCCTGGCTTTTACTTTCTTCTGGGTACTACGGGTCTCTTCAGCCCATGTGGACAGGCTCCATTGTCCAGGAACATGTGGGAGGCTTGGTCTCTGCTACACCATATGCACAGCCTCTGGTCAGCTTGGGATATGTAGAGAACTTACCAGTACCTCCCCATTCCCTTGGCTGTTTTACCTCATCAAACTCCCTCTTAAATCCCTGCCTAGTCCACTGGTCGATGGCTTCTCCCAAACAGGCCCACAACCTCAGGCTAGCAAAGCCACTGGCCCTTCCTGCCACTGAAATTGCCACTTTAATTCACAATACTCTAAATCAGAGTTTCTCAACCTCAGCACTACTGGCACTTTAGACCAGATAACTCTTTGTTTGGTGGGGGGAGGGCGGTCCCCTGGGCATTGTAGGATGTTTAGCAGCATCCTTGGTCTCTACCCACTAGATGCTGTAACACTTTCCCCCACCACACCCCCACAGTTGTCACAACAAAAACATCCCAGAATTTGTCATCCCCATTTGAGAAACACTGGTCCAGGGTACATCAATCATAATTTGGGAGAAGTCTTTAGCCAAAAAAGATCATGCCATGACATATAATAACCAGAAATATACATACCATATTACAAAGTTCAAGAGGCATACATCTCCTAACCCCAGTGCATTACCTCTTTGTTCAAATGTGTACAAACCACAAAATACTCCCCACCTCTCACAGGAACAAAATAAAAATAACCAAATATCTATTGGCCAATAATCCTGACCAAGGATGAGCTGTGCCTGTAGTTCAGAAGATCTGGAATCACGTTGGGAAAATGAGACTAATGAAATAAACAGTACTTTTTCCAGAGCAATTCTCATCTTTGAGATGAGACATAATCACAGACAGCAGTGGGTGAGGGCTGCTTGTCTCATATGGAATAAGCTAACAACCACTGTTTGCCATGCATGGTAGGCAAAATAATGGCCCCCAAGTTTCAACGTCCACATCATAATCCCCAGAACCTGTGAGTGTTTCAAGGCAAATGGGACTTTGCAGGTGTGATTAAGAATCTGGAGATAGGGGGATTATCCTGGGTCATCCAAGTGGGCCCAATGTAAATACAAGGGTCCTTAGAAGAGGGAGGCAGGAGAGTCAGAGGAGATGTGAGGCTGGAAGCAGAGGTTAGAGTGATGTGGGGCCACCAGCCAATGAATACAGAAGGAATTCTAGAAGCTAGAAAAAGCAGAGACACATTCTCAACTAGGGCCTTCAGAAGGAACAAGCTCTTGATTTTGGCACAGTGAGACCCAATTCAAACTTCTAACCTCCAGAACTGTAAAATAAAATAATAAATTTGTGTGTGTGTGTGTGTGTGTGTGTGTGTGTGTGTGACCAAGTCTCGCTCTGTCGCCCAGGCTAGAGTGCAGTGGTGCATCCTAGGTTCAAGCAATTCTCGTGCCTTAGCCTCCCAAGTAGCTGGGATTACAGTGCCACCTTGCCTGGCTAATTTTTGTATTTTTAGAGATGGGGTTTCACCATTTTAGCCAGGCTGGTCTTGAACTCCTGACCTCAAGTGATCTGCCCTCCTCAGCCTCCTAAAGTGCTGGGATTACAGGCATGAGCCACCATGCCCGGCCCAAATTTATGTTATTTTAAGCCACAATATTTGCAGTAATTTGCTACAGTAGCCACAGGAAACCAACACACCACCTCTGTATCATGTGAAGTTAGTCCAGTCTCCCAGACCAACTGGTTGCTGGCCACCAATTCTACCTTTACTTTCTAGGGAGGCCATATGGTGTGGCAGTGAAGCCTGAGTACTGTAGGGTTGTGTTCAAAACACAGTTACTTCTGTGTAACATGGACAAGTGATCTGACCTGTCTTGGACAGCCACCCTCAGGGAAGAAAGGGAGATAAGGGCACCCATCCAGTGCTGTGAGAACTCAGTGAAGCAATGCCATGCGAATGGCTTAGCACAGTGCCTGCTGCATGACACCTGCTCTTAGTCTCATCATCCTGACTCTTGCCCATTTCTGTCTCCCCTCCTAGTGTGTCTATGGCGGAGTTCTGAGAGGAACTGGGAAGCAGGCCTTTGGTGCCGCTGTGAATGCCATCACATATTACATCATCGGCCTACCACTGGGCATCCTTCTGACCTTTGTGGTCAGAATGAGAATCATGGGTATGTGGTGTGAGGAAGTCGGGAGAGGCCTGGGTGGTCGTCGGACATTGTTCCCATCATCACTTGTCTCCTCCAGGCCTCTGGCTGGGCATGCTGGCCTGTGTCTTCCTGGCAACTGCTGCCTTTGTTGCTTATACTGCCCGGCTGGACTGGAAGCTTGCTGCAGAGGAGGTAAGTGGGTCAGCTGACCCTGGCCACAAGACACCCTGCACCTGACCCCAGCAGGTGGAGTGACTACTCAGCCAGAAATGCCCAGAGCACATCAGAACTTGGCAGCAGTGTGGTATAAGCTGCAGGTGTTTTTTTTTTTTGTTTGTTTGTTTGTGAGATGGAGTCTCACTCTGTCGCCCAGGCTGGAGTGCAGTGGCGCGATCTCAGCTCACTGCAAGCTCCACTTTCTGGGTACATGCCATTCTCCTGCCTCAGCCTCCCCAGTACCTGGGACTACAGGCACCCGCCACCACGCCCAGCTAATTTTTTGTATTTTTAGTAGAGACGGGGTTTCACCGTGTTAGCCAGGATGGTCTCGATCTCCTGACCTCGTGATCCGCCCACCTTGGCCTCCCAAAGTGCTGGGATTACAGGCGTGCTGCAGGTGTTTTGTGGGGGATTACAGAGGGGCCACCTGAGCCTCAACAGTGGCTCCTGTCACTGTAATTGGCCAGTATAAGAAGCATGCTCTGCAGTTATAAACAGAAACAAAACCAAAAACCTTCCTTAGACAGCCCCATCTGTGGAAAACCAAACAAACGCAAAGAACTCAAACTAGTCTGAACCCAGATGAACCCCCGAGCGTGTGCCTTGACTTTGGAAGGGGTCATAAAATCACCCTGCCCACCATCCTCTTTGATGTCCTTTTTAAACAGGGCAGGGCAGCCTTTGCATCTCAGGCACAGCAAAGGCACAACTCAAGTCTGCAAGCAGAGCACAGAAGCAGTGTTCTCTCAAAGACCCTGAATCCTATCAGGGTGTGGTTTTGCCTTTGTGCACAGAAAAAGTCATCCTGACACTTAAGATGCTGGATAAACAGATATTTAAAATGATACATTTATTTATTTGAGATGGAGTATCGCTCTGTTGCCCAGGATGGAATGCAGTGGTACAATCTCGGCTCAATGCAACCTCTGCCTCCTGGGGTCAAGAGGTTCTCCTGCCTCAGCCTCCTGAGTAGCTGGGACTACAGACATGCGCCACCATGCCCAGCTAATTTTTTAGTATTTTTGGTAGAGACAGGGTTTCACTATATTGCCCAGACTGGCCTTGAATTCCTGAGCTCCAGCAATCCACCCGCCTCGGCCTCCCAAAGTGCTGGGATTACAGGTGTGAGCCACCATGCCCAGCCTTAAAATGATACTTTCTAAAAGCCCCATGACTATGAATACATGCATATATGCTGCTTCAGCTTGCAATGTTTTAAAAACAGAGAATGCGAGGCTAGCAGTGAAGGGGTGAACTGTTGAGCTGGCAGGTTGACCCAATTGAGTTCTTTCTCCTTTAGGCTAAGAAACATTCAGGCCGGCAGCAGCAGCAGAGAGCAGAGAGCACTGCAACCAGACCTGGGCCTGAGAAAGCAGTCCTATCTTCAGGTAATACTGTCACCGCTGCTTCTACTTTGGTACACATATAAATGTCAGTGGCATGTTGCTCTTGTCTGCCCTCTGTGCCTCATGCAATTGGAAATTGTACAAGCCCAAGCTATTTTTCTTCCCATTATTATGAAAATGATGTCCTAAGCACCAGGAAGACAACAACATCTATTGTCTAGCAGGCATGCAAGTACCAGGCCCCACACCAAGTCTTTGGCCTTGAGAGGCAACTAGATGTATGCCCATTTTCAGATGAGGAAGTGAGGCTGAAAGAACTTAGGTATTTCCTCCCTCATCCCACAACTTGTAAAGGCCAGACATAAGATCTGCGCATCAACCCGTCAGATTCAAGAGCCCATGATCTCCCCCACTGAACTCTGCTCAAGACGGAAGGCCAACTTTTAACTTGTGGGGAGCCTGGCTTGTCAGCCAGCCTGGCTTGACTCATTGGCTTTGGGGGGGCACCTGCTATCTACCTCTCTCCACCCCATCAGGCAGACAAACATCTCTCTGGTTTGTGCCCAGTGTCCATGTCATGAAGTGATGGCCCCAGCTCTGCCCCAGGGCTGGTCCTGAGTGCCAGGCGTGTGTGCACATGGCCCAAAGCTCACACAGATGATGTCTCCATGACCTCATCCATCCTGGGCTAATCCTTGATCAGGGCAGTAGTGAGCCAGCTAAAACTCTGGGAGCGTAAGTTGTCATGAGAGAATACGGTAAGACATGATTAATTGTGTTTCCCACGTGCTTTTGAAGCCACAGATCATCACAGGGCCAAGCGTTGACAAGAACACTCCTCATGAGATCCTAGTAGTAAGCATTATCTGCACGTGAAATTCACAGTTTAAGATGCTTTCCTGCATATCTCCTCCTCTGATCTTGCTTGTAAAGTAGATAAAGCAGTTATTTTTCTACTGTATAGGCATCGTCCCTTGTGAGGTGTAACAAACACAGCCAGGTGGTTAACCTAGGTTTCCCGATTCCAAGGCCAAAGCTCTCCCTCTGACCCCTGACCTGCTGAGTTTGCTCCTGTTTGCTTCCGCAGTGGCTACAGGCAGTTCCCCTGGCATTACCTTGACAACGTATTCAAGGTCTGAGTGCCACGTGGACTTCTTCAGGACTCCAGAGGAGGCCCACGCCCTTTCAGCTCCTACCAGCAGACTATCAGTGAAACAGCTGGTCATCCGCCGTGGGGCTGCTCTGGGGGCGGCGTCAGCCACACTGATGGTGGGGCTCACGGTCAGGATCCTAGCCACCAGGCACTAGCAAAGAAGCTTGGAAATAGAAAGCCAGGAGTGGCTGTCCCCAGTATGCAAACACACCACGGTCTGCCCTGCAAAAACACCAATGGGGTCTAGTGCAGGTGGACACTTTGAACCACTCCTCAAAAAAAGAACTTTGGCTGATTCCTTGTGGTGACACTCAGAGGGGTCTGAACAGACTTGACAATTCTGTTCTGGTCAAGCTGGAGTTTTCTTCTGTGACTTGGACTGCTCTACAGAAGACATCAGCCAACTGCACGAGTCAGAGTCCAGGGATTGTCACTATTATTAATAATGTAAATGGCTTCAAATGGGACACTGCAGATAAAATCACAAAAACCACTGTTATATTAAAGATTACACATTTCCTGGGCACAGCCTGCTGCTCAAGTCTGTCATAAAGCCTCTGTGAAGCTCTGAGAAGGGGACCAGTGGGCCCTGTCCAGACAACCCGTGTGCTCCTGGCAGATGCAGGTGCTGTGAGACCCTGACCAGGGCAGTGGCTGTCCATACACCCTTCTTCCCCTTTTCTACAGTTCTTTCATTCCATCAGCATTTTCACTTATCACAGACTTTGAGAAATACTTGTTCTTACTGAACTTTTTCTTCTAGTAGTGACATGATATAAATAAGGGCACAAAACAAGTAGGAACAGAGCACAGCAAAGTCATCATGGAAGCAATTCCAGACTCTATGCCACTGTTTGCCCAAGTGTGGTCCATGGTTAACAGGTATTAAGGTAAACGGCTCCGCGGTCAAGGAAGTCTGGGAGCTGCACACACTAGCACTTCAGAGGTTCCAAATGACCTGGGTCCTTTAGTTTGCTGATGTGCTTTACAAGCCAGTGGTATACAGGACTGGTGGCAGGACCATTTTTTTGTGTAAAATCTTGCGGGATTAGTGTTCTACAAATATGCTTACAGAAACACTTGTTCTAGATCAGCAACTGGGGGTAGGAGGATGCCACTGGAAAAACCTATTTACTATAGCTACTAACCACCACCCCCAACACACACAGCAGAACATAAAGTTTGAGAAAATCTTCTCAGCTAAGAATTTTAAAATGAGAAAAAAAAAGTTGACAAATACCATCTATGATAAAGACATAAAATGATTTATAGTTGGGGAGAATTTATGATCAAAGGATTGTCTCCAATAGGGTATATCTGAGGTTCCATACCAGGAGCGTCATTAAAATTGATGCCAATTTTATGAAATATGTTCATTTTGAAGCAGATGTGTATTAGTAGACAAGCCAATAATTTAAACATACTCAATGAAAATTCCATAGTGCAATTTTATCTAAGGTATTTTATGATTACTCTCTTAGAGCCACAGTTTTAAGCAGCTTTTTCCTAAACTAGGCTCGTTATTAATTTTCAACACTTCATACTATGATGAAGACATCACATACTTTAGACAGCCTTAATAGAACAAATTATTCAACAAAGTTGATTATACGTTCTATAAAGTAAATCACATTCTCTCATTGAGTGAGCTGAGTCTTTTTGAGTGTGGGGACAGAGTCCCTGCAGTCAGGAGCTCCAAGGCATAGAACTGCCTGCCCTGCTCTGTCCAGCAGGTAATGCTGCATTCCACAGGCCTCTTCTTCAGCCTTGCCCACTCAGCAGAGTACCTCAGGTTGTGACCATGAACGACTGATGAGAGTAACTTCTGACTTGCTCAGGGGATCCTCTTGCCATCAATTCCCTTCAGTATGACCAACCGCAGTGGCTTACTCGCTTCTTGTCCAGACCATCCACCATCTGTCTGCCCCATGATGCTCTCAAACCCCAAAGTCCTAATATCCCAGGCCTCTTTGTCTGTGAGAGGAAATGGTTCCCTCACTTTAAGTTCTGTAGGCTAATCAGAAAGGGATCTCTCTATAGTTTCAAAAAGTGAAATTTTACTTGCACTACAGAAATAAGAAACTTACAGATTTGTCCTTGAAGACCTACTAACCTGCAACTTTAGGGTCCTGAAAGAGGATTAGTATGTTTATAAGTACTTTTATTACAGTATTTTTTATTTGTTTCGGAGACAGGGTCTTGCTCTGTTGCCCAAGCTGAAGTGCAGTGGTGCAATCACAGCCTGCTGCAGCCTTGGCCTCGCAGGCTCAATCAATCCTCCTGCTTCAGCCTCCTAAGCAGCTGGGAACACAGGCTCATGCCACCACATCTAGCTAATTTTTATTTTTTGATAGAGATGAGGTCTCACTGTGTTGTCCAGGCTGGTCTCAAATTCCTGGACTCAAGCAATCCTCCCACCTCGGCCTCCCAAAGTGCTGGGATTACAGGCATGAGCCACCACGCCCGGCCACAGTATTTTTTAAATGCCAGTTAGGTTTTATAAGATGTAGAATTCTATAACTCCAACACAAGAATGACAGGTGATGCTTGCATGACTTTGGCAACTAACTTCCAGGAAGCCCTAGGATTTACAAGATGCTTTGAGTGACATTAGTCACAAGAGATTGTTGCAACTAAACAGAACACAGGATGATAAAGAATGAATGAGGAAGAATGAAGACCACTGGTGAGATGGCACTTCTGACCAGGGGCCTACTCCTGGAGGTCAAGTCCTTGAGTCCCATTGGAGGAGGAGTAACCCCTCCCTTCCCCACATAGAGTTTTAGTGCCTGAAACCTCACAGGGAACCAAGAAGATCTAATCTCACCTCTCTGGACTACAGAGGACTGCCGGTAGCCCTGGGAAGTACCAAGCTCTTGAAAGCTTCACACAGTGATGGTGGCAGCAGAGGCAGGAAGTGAGCAGTGCCATTAACTGGAGTGAAGGATTCAGTGAGGTTCTGAGACTCCCTTACAACCCCGCAGTTTGTATTTAGTCTAATACATTCTCCTCCCCTAGCTCAAAGTTCCAAGATTTAGATAAGCACAATTTAAGACAGGTTCCCTGAATACCCTATTAGGGAATGTTGGGACGTAGTTGAAATGGCAACTTTTATTAATGATGAATGGCAATGACTTTTAAGTTTGATCACAGAGTGTTTGCATATTTTCTTACTATTTTTGGTATGATTTAAAAATTATTGGTTCATTAACCATTTAAAAGAGGAATAATTCAGTAGAGGCACTAGGAGGTTGAACAGGATCATTCTTCAGTAATATTCTGCCTGGAGAGAGGAAAAAAGGATTCAGTTTACTCAGCTGCTTTAAAAACCTACCCACAACCAGCCTTGCAACACAAGCTCAGCACTGGGACTCAGACACCTCCTGTCTGAAGAGACTCTACATGCATTGTACAAAAAAGGACTACATATCCCTAGGAAGCCTAGGAAGCACGGTTTAGGCCAAAGGATTATGCCCTTCCTCAAAAAACAACAATAACAATAAGAGTAAGACAACGTGATAATGAAGGCTATATTCTGTCCACTGTCAACTAGCTAATGTCAGAGTAGAGACAGAAGATGAGAGTACTAACTTATTATCCTAGCATTTTCAGTAGGAAGCTGAAGTCTCTACATGGAATTCAAAAACTGGTATACAATTTTGTTTCTAAAATTCAAAAGTAGTACTGAATTTAATCCTTCCTATTGAAGACTGAGGAAGGGCTGCTGCAATCTCAAGGTTCAAATGTCATATTTAGTTGTCAAAGGCCTAATGAAATTTATCAACATTAACCTCTTATGTTTCTCGACCTTTTAAAACCCACATCTCCCACAATGCCTTCTGTAGCTTATAAGCTTTATTGGAACTTTACTTTGTGTACAATACTTCTGCTCTAAATCCCTTCTAATTCTAGTAAGGTAATTAATAAAATAAAATCCAAGAGTGTAACAAAATAAGGAAACTATTAAGTACATAAAAGCCATTTCAGAAAAATGTAATTACAATAAATAGACTATTCAGGTAAATATACAGTACAGATTCAAAGTCATTTATTTTAAATAAAAGGTAATTTGATAAAAAGAGGATTAAAAGCTCAGAAAGGAGCAGAAAAGCAGCAAAGTGGAAAAGAAAACCAAATCTCTACCTAGTTCCAGATTGAATCCAAAGAAATATTAACAACTATTAGTAATGAGAATTGAGCGGAAGGGTTGAAAGTGGCCTGGGGAATCACTGACACCTACTCCCTCACCCTGTAGATGAGCAAGCTGAGGCCCAAGAAAGAGCTCAGAAAAGGCCTTGCCCAAGTTCATTGAGCCAGGAATCAAACCACATTTTTTTGTTTCTGCTAAAGGTTTTATATATTGCTGCTTCTTTTATATATTGCTGCTTCTCTAGACCCTCACAGAGAAACATGCCTGCCAAACCCTTTGGGAACTCGAACCTGCCTGGCACACTGCACTGCACCTGAGGGAGGCTTCTTGGGGGTTTGGTAAGATTGGAGAATGCAGACTCAGCCTGGGCCTCCGTATTTTCCATGAGGCTAAAATATTCTATCCTACCAAGATGCATTATCAAACTGAGGAACCGAGGTCTTGGGAAAAGAACAAAAGAGACAGATATTGACCAGAGACCCAAGTAAGCTTCCGACCACACCTCCAGCCTCAGGAAGGCAAAGAAAGTAGCCCCTAAATTGTATACTACACCTTGATTTCACGACATTTGCTGCCATGAATTCCAAAGTCAAACCTTTTTTTAAAAATGAAAACAAATCAAAACTACTTAGTGATTTAAAAAACATATTCTTAAATTATGACATAAAGAGTTCAGTGCCTAGATGGTGACAAGTCTGAATTAGTCAGCTGGCACCTCCCCCAGGAGAGCTGAGTAGAAGGGGAAGAGAAATGAGGCTCACACTCAGCTGCCCTTTTCCAAGAAATGATGTATGCTTCACCTGGACGCAGCTAAGCCATTGCCTCTGCACACTTCTCTTAGATTCCTAGCAAGTCACTTCACCCTTTTAAAATTGTGGATAAGTGGAGTTTTAACACCCTGATACTCTGGGCCCAGGTCCAAAATGTCTAGAGATAAGTAAGTTAAACATTCTTTTTTCTTTCTTTTTTTTTGGAGACGGAGTCTTGCTCTGTCACCCAGGGTGGAGTGCAGTGGCACAATCTTGGCTCACTGCAACCTCTGCCTCCCGGGTTAAAGCAATTCTCCTGCCTCAGCCTCCCTAGTAGCTGGGACTACAGTCACGTACCACCACACCCAGCTAACGTTTGTATTTTTAGTAGAGATGGGGTTTCACCATGTTGGCCAGGCTGTTCTCGAACTCCGGAACTCAGGCAATCCACCTGCCTTGGCCTCCCAAAGTGCTAGGATTACAGGCGTGAGCCACTGCGCCCGGCCCATTCTTTTTTCAATAACCCTTAAGCCTCCAACTGTAGCAAAAAAAAAACAAAAATAAAAACAAAAACAAAAACAAAAACAAAAACAAACCAAAAAACCCTTGAAAACATACCCCAACTTGGCCCACCTTACATATAGAAAGAAAACAAAAAGTTCCTACCTCACTCTTAACAGACAGGGCTGGGTTTTGAAATCTGGTGTTCATCTCTGCTTACTGGACCAACGCAGTCTGTGAACTACCAGAAAAATCAACAGGGCCTTTCTCCTCAGCACAGCTTGGTATTTCTGAGAAAACCCAAATGATTTCAAATGCAACTGGTATCTCCAATTCCACTAAGGCTGGGATACTGTAAGATGAGCCAAACCCCTTTCAAATTTTTGTTGTTGTTGTTGTTGAGATGGAGTCTCGCTCTATTGCCCAGGCTGGAGTGCAGTGGCATGATCTTGGCTCACTGCAACCTCCACCTCCCGGGTTCAAGTGATTCTCCTCCCTCAGCCTCCCGAGTAGCTGGGACTACAGGTGCGTGCCACCATGCCTGGCTAATTTTTGTATTTTTAGTAGAGACAGGGTTTCACCATATTGGTCAGGCTGGTCTTGAACTCCTGACCTCGTGATTCCCCTGCCTCAGCCTCCCGAAGTGCTAGGATTACAGGTGTGAGCCACTGCGCCGGCCCCCTTTCAAATTTTAAACAAAACATAAACACAACTATTACCATTGCCTTTTCCAAGCCCATTCTTCACTGATATGGTCAATATTTTCAATGTTATATCCTCAGTTGAACGGCTGAGGGCACCACAGACACAATTGCCTTCCTCATTCCATCTTAACTTTAATTACGGATTTCCTCTTTCATCTCAAAATACGCAAACTGCTTTGAGAAGGCAGCTATCATGAGGGCCTCTTTGCAAGCCCATCCCTATAATGACTAATCACCAAAGATAAACTTTATCAGGTAGTGAACTTTGGAGGAAAAAAACTCAAGCCTAATAAAATATCCCTCACCAAAGCTGTTGTACCAGAGTTCTTGCCTTCACCTCTGTGGTAAGCTGATTTCATGCACATTCAAGAACAAAGCTGTAAGTGACAAGGAAAGTCCAATACCAAAAGGATCAAAGGGCTAACCCTTTGATCAGACAGCTCAGAATTCTGCAATCAAGTTCTACGCTGTTTTAATCTCTTAGACCAGAGATCAGCAAACTTTTCTGTAATAATTTAGGCTCTGAGGGCCATTCAGCCTCTGTTGCAACTACTCAGCTCTGTCACTGTCCCATGAAAGCAGCTGTGGATGATTAAACAAGTGGGTGTGGCTGTGTTCCAATAACTTCAGTGACAAAAACGGGTAGCTGGCCAGCAGGCTGTGGTTCACTGACCCTGTCTTAGACTCTACAAGTTAATGTAGAGTCCTGCTAGAATATGCATCTGGCAGCCATCAGGCCAGGACCAGACTGAATGGCACTCATGGGTTATAGGGACTCACCTTGACAAGCACAGCGGCTACAATACCCAGGAAAGTGAGCAACAGGAGACCGAGTTTTTCTTTGTTGAACCGTTTCAAGAGAAAAAATTTTCCCCAATCCACCTTTGACTGGCTGTTGGGAGGATATCTGAGTTTGTTAGCACCTTCTCTCTTTAAACTTTTTAATAAACAGGGACGCTGATGAGAAAAAGTATCAAAACTATGTTTTCCGTGATAAGCTCCCATCCCACTGGAACCTGAAATAAAGGGAACAGACAAAACAAGCTTCACTGTAGATGATGCAAGCTACTTCTGTCTAACAACGACCGGGAAAGCTCACATGCACTCCCTGCTGCCTGGGAACCCCACTGAACATCTCTGCCAGCTGAAGTATCTCTTTTCAGGAAGTCCTTACCAACTTCCCTGGAAAAGTCAATTTCCCTGTCAAACAGGATGCTTTCCATGAGCAAGACAAGGACTTGCACCTCTTCTAGAGCTGTGGCTCTCATTTATGCCAGGGACTGTGCTAAGAGTTAAATCATTCTCTTAAGATAATTCTCACCACAATCCCACTTGGTGAATTATCAGCAGCCTCATTTCCAGAGAGGGAAAGGGAGCTTACAGGGTCAGTTAACCTGCCCAGGGTCACACGGCTGCTAAGTGGCAAAGCCAGAACCCGAACCTGGATCAGACTCTAAATGCTATATGTGCTCTCTTCCCACCATCCCATGTGGCTTCATTCATCCATGGCCCCACACACCCACTTGCTTTCTCAAAGCCTGTGGAAAGTAAGACAGGGCAACAAGGTTGCACAGCTGGATGATAATAAGCAAGTGTAAATCTCTGCCCTCCACAAAGCCATGCTCTGTGACAGTTTCATTTCTCTAATTCATTGTGTGTACAACAGACTGACAGGCACAAAGCGGAGCAGTGTGAGCTGGGCAGAGGGAATGGCATGTGTGATATAAGACACAGGTGACCAGAGGCCAGGGAGCAGTTTACCAAGGCCAGGCTGCAGGAAGGAATCATTCATGAAGCAGGCCTGGTGTGAGAAGAGACCCAAGGACAAGACCATGAGAAACCCTAACTCTGAGGGAGGGTAAAGAATGAGGGAGGGGGCCGGGTGCGGTGGCTCACGCCTGTAATCCCAGCACTTTGGGAGGCCAAGGCGGGTGGATCACAAGGTCAAGAGATCAAGACCATCCTGGCCAACATCGTTAAATCCCGTCTCTACTAAAAATACAAAAATTAGTTGGACGTGGTGGCGCACGCCTGTAGTCCCAGCTACCTGGGAGGCTGAGGTAGGAGAATTGCTTGAACCTGGGAGGCGGAGGTTGCAGTGAGCTGAGATCGCGCCACTGCACTCCAGCCTGGGCGACAGAGCGAGACTCCGTCTCAAAAAAAAAAAAAAAAAGAATAAGGGAGGGGCGAGCCAAAGACATAACCAAGGTAGTAAGAAACTGGGAAAAATTTGGGAGGCTGATGCAGGAGGATTGCTTGAGCCCAGGAGTTCAAAGTTGCAGTGAGCTATGATTGTGCCACACTGCATTCCAGCCTGGTCAACAGAGTGAGACCCTGTCTCAAAAAATAAATAAAAAGCAAAAAACTGACATGAAGGAAATTACAAAGTTTTGTTGAAAGATATAAAAGGGCTATATAAATGAAGAGATGATATAACATATTCCCATTAAGACTCCACATTTTAAAGATATAAATTCTTCCCAAAATAATTTAAGTTTAAATCAATTTTAATAAAAATCCTAGGGGATTTCGGAAGGTTTTGTTTGTTTGTTTTAAGTAGGAGGAGGTAGTGATTCCAAAGATCATCTGGAAAAATAAATTTAGATAAGAACAAGCAAGAAAACATCGAAAAACAGTAATAATGAGGAGCTTTTACTTTTAGGTATTGAAATAGTACTGTGTCCTAAAGAGCAAACTACTGGATTGGTTGAATATGTGGGTTTTGGAGCCAGACAACTTTGGCTCATTTCTTGGCTTTACTACTTATTAGTTGTCTGTCTCTAAAATGCGTGCATTTGACCGGGCACGGTGGCTCACACCTGTAATCCCAGCACGTTGGGAGGCTGAGGTGGGAGGATTGCTTGAGCCCAGGAATTCAAGACCAGCCTGGGCAACACAGTGAGACCCCGCCTCTATACAAAAAAAATTTTTTTAATTAGCCAGGCATGGTGGTGCACCCTTGTAATCCCAGCTATTCAGGAGGCTGAGGCGGGAAGATTGTTTGAGCCTAAGAGGTTGAGGCTGCAATGAGCCGTGATTGCACCACTGTACTCTGGCTTGGGTGACAGAGTGAGACCCTATCTCAAACAAGAAAAAAAAGAAAAGAAAAGGCGTGGATTCAACCGCAGTACCTGGCATACAATAAGCACTTACTAAATGTCACTTATAAAGCTAACTGTACAACTACTGTAATTGAAACTGTGGTACTGGCCCACGGAAAAAACAAACCAGAAAGATAATGCAACCAATGAGAAAACCCTAAGAATGACCCAAACGTGTTTTTATTGAGTACTGATGGTATAAGGATGATTATTTCAAAAAATGGTGCCAGCATAGTTTACTCTTTGGGAAAAAAAAGGTAAATTATTACATCATGCAGCGTATGGCATTCTAAAGTGAACTCCAGGGTGTTTTTTTTGTTTGTTTGTTTTTTTGAGATGGAGTCTCGCTCTGTTGCCCAGGCTGGAGTGCAGTGGCATGATCTTGGCTCACTGCAGCCTCCGCCTCCCAGGTTCAAGCGATTCTTCTGCCTCAGCCTCCCAAGTAGCTGGGACTACATGTGCATGCCACAATGCCCAGCTAATTTTTTTTTTTGTATTTTTTGTGGAGATGAGTTTTCACCATGTTGGCCAGGCTGGTCTCAAGATTCTGACCTCGGGTGATCTACCTGCCTCGGCCTCCCAAAGTGCTGGGATTATAGGTGTGAGCCACCATGCTTGGCCAACTCCATGGTTAAATGGAAAGAAAAGAAAAGAAAAAAGAAAAGAAAAGAAGAAAAGGAGGGAGGGAGGGAAGGAAACTACAGATAATATTTAATTATTTATTTATTTTATTCTTATTTTTTTGAGACAGAGTCTCGCTCTGTTGCCCAAGCTGGAGGTACAGTGGTGCACTCTCTGCTCACTGCAACCTCCGCCTCCAGGGTTCAAGTGATTCTACTGCCTCAGCCTCCTAAGTAGCTGGGATTACAGGTGGTGCCGCCACACCCAGCTAATTTTTTGTATTTTTAGTAGAGACGGGGTTTCACCATGTTAGCCAGGTGCCTTGGCCTCCCCAAGTGCTGGGATTACAGGTGTGTGCAACCGCACCCAGCCTACAGATGATATTTATATAATAATGAAATAGGGAAAGCTTTTCTAAGCCTACTTTCCAAATCGGAAACCAAAAAACAAAAAGCCACACAGGCTTAGGCCAGATGTGGTGGCTCATGCCTGTAATCCCAGCACTTTGGGAGGCTAAGGCAGGTGGATCACCTGAGATCAGGAGTTGAGGACCAGCCTGGCCAACATGGTGAGACCCCATCTCTACTAAAACTACAAAAATTAGGTAGGAGTGGTGTCGGGTGCCTGTAATCCCAGCTACTTGGGAGGTTGGGGCAGGAGAATTGCTTGAAGCCAGGAGTCAGAGGTTGCAATGAACCGAGGTCGCGCCATTGCACTCCACCCTGGGTGACAGAGTGAGACTCTGTCTCTAAATAAATAAACGCTTCAAATCATAGATAAAATTAAAAGAAAAATTAAAATCTGGAAAGGGATATGTATTACAGATAGGACTGAGGATTTTCTTACTTATAAAAAAGGCTATTTATATACCAATAATAAGGAAGATGTGAACACAGCAAAAATATCAAAGGACATAAATAGAAAATTCATGAGAGTGGTAAAAAAAATTCAAACTCACTAATAATCAAAGGAGTACAAATTGAAATGAGACCCTTTTCTGTCTAGAAATTTAATAATGGAATAATCCAGAATTGGGGATATAAGGAAGTAAACACTCATATACTGATCATGGGAATATAAAGTGGCAGAAATCTGCAAAGACACTTGAAATATCTATCAAAAGTCTTAAAGAGAAGCATTTCTAAAGAAAAACCTAGGCTGGGTGCGATGGCTCACACCTGTAATCCCAGCACTTTGGGAGGCCAAGGCAAGTGGATCTCTTGAGCCCAGGAGTTTGAGACCAGGCTGGCTAACATGGCAAAACCGTGTCTCTACTAAAAATACAAAAATTAGCTGGGCCTGGTGGCACACACCTGTAGTTCCAGCTACTTGGGAGGCTGAGCCAGGAGAATTGCTAGAACCCAGGAGTTGGAGGTTGCAATGAGCTGAGATCACACCACTGCACTCCAGCTTAGGTGACAGGGAGTCTCAGTCTCGATAAAAAGAAAAAAAAAAGAAAAATCTAAACTATATGCCAAAATATTAAAAAGTTTAACTGTTTAGACTTTTTGCCACTGTGTCTATATTACTTTGAGAATTAGAAGAAAAAAGCATTTTTTTCAATTTGGAAAATTGTATAAGCCCTTTTAACAGAGTAATTACACTTGTAGACATTTTTCCTAAAGAAATAATCAGAGATTGCATAAAGATACATTATATAAGAATCGTAATACCAAAAAAATTGAAATCACAAAAATCTAATACTGGGAATTGGTTACATAAATATGCCACATTCATATGATGGAAAAGTATGCAGCTACTAAAATTATGACATGCAAGAATATTGACATGGAAAAGTGTCACACTATTCTGTCACATACAGGGTACAGAACAATATATAGTATGATACCTTTTTGAATAGAATATTCAGATGACCGTGTATATGTGTGTGCATATGTGTGCAAGACATATACCAGTTATCTTTACATAGTGGGGTTATGGGTAATATAAATGTTTATTCTTTGGGCTCTTCTATCTTTTCCAAGTTTTCTTAAAAAGCCTGTATTCTTTTTACATTTGGGGGTCAAGGCTTGTTTTTATTTTTTATTTTTATTTTTTTACAGCATGGCCACTATAATAATGTATTATATGCCTGAAATTTGCTAAGAGAGTAAACCTGTTTTTTTCTTTTGCATCTTCTTTTTGTATTTTTAATTTTTGTGGGTATATAATAGGTTGCTTGTTTTATTTTATTATTTTTATTTATTTATTTATTTATTTATTTATTTATTTATTTTGAGATCGGAGTCTCGCTCTGTTTGCCAGGTTTGAGTGCAGTGGCGCAATCTCAGCTCACTGCAACCTCCACCTCCCTGGTTCAAGCAATTCTCCTGCCTCAGCCTCCCTGGTAGCTGGGACTACAGGCACGCACCACCACACCCAGCTAACATTTGTATTTTTAGTAGAGATGGGGTTTCACCATGTTGGCCAGGCTGGTCTGGAACTCCTGACCTCAAGTGATCCACCCACCTCGGCCTCCCAAAGTGCTGGGATTACAGGCATGAGCCACTGCGCCCAGCCTTGTTTTGTTTTAAATAAGATGGTATAGTCAATGATGCCACAGGCTATCTTGTCAAGTAGGACAGGGACTGAACCCAAGTCACTTAGATTTGCAATTAGAGGGCAGTGGAGACACCATATGGAACAATTACCGAGTTGATTACTGCACTAGCACAGTGGATGCCAGGATCCTATGTGGTGAGCTGAGGAACAGAGACAACAGAGTCCAATCTTTTAAGCATTTGGGCTACAAAACTATTACTTACTCCAGCCAAAATCCCAGGAGTCATCCTCTCTCATTCACCCCCTCCTCCAACATTCACTCCATCAGCCAATCCTGCTGCTTGATCCCAAAAATACCCCCTTCCCTTTCCACTATCTCCCCTGCTACCACCCTCTACAAGCCACCACCATTTCCAATTTGGATCTGGCAATACCTACCAATTGGCCTCTTCCCGCCTGTCCCTCACTCATGTCAGTCACTGTGCTGGGTGCTGGCAATATGTTTACCTCCTAGACAAGGACCTGTGGCTATATAGGTCAAGGCTCCTTGGTCATAGGACAAGGTTTCCTTAACCAGGAACAGATGGTCCTGCCAAACTGGGCCATCGCATCCCATGGAGCAACTGACTTAGGACGGTATTACAAAGGGAG
Source organism: Homo sapiens (assembly GCF_000001405.40). Classification (NCBI taxonomy): domain Eukaryota; kingdom Metazoa; phylum Chordata; class Mammalia; order Primates; family Hominidae; genus Homo; species Homo sapiens. Next base: position 19,665,861 of record NC_000017.11, on the reverse strand, counting down.
AGGATAGAACAGGGCTTTAAGACAGTGGCTTTTCTGGTTGGGTTTTTGTTATGAGAATGTTTACATATCGGCTATTTTGTAATAGCTCTAGTAGAGAGTAGAAAAGCCCACCTAGCCTAGGTCCCAAAGGAGAAATAAAAAGCTGAGTCAGTCATCTCACATGTGGGAGAGGCAGGCAGGTCATGTTCTAAAGGGAAAAGCAAGGATCAGGCTATGTCCACAAAGCTTCACTTGGAATGAATTTCTTTCTGCCCATCCTCTCTAGAACAGGGGGAGTCCCGTTTTACTCAAATCACAAAACAATTCAAGGAGAGGCTGCTCCTCCCAACAAAGGGCTGGGGAACAATGCAGGTAAGAACTGAGCAGAAAACAAAGGCACATTAGAAAACCCCTCTACCTTCTGTCCCTGGTATTCCGAACCTTTCATTTGCTACTTCATTAAACACACACACCACACACACACACACACACACACACACACACACGAAGAGAGATCTTCTTAATTAATTTGAGACCTGATTCTTGGTTCCCAAATCTCCTAAATGTGGCAGGATAACAAAATCAACGAAGTGAACAAAGCTGTGGTCAGTCAGTGCTGCTGACAGAAAGAGAGTGACAAGACATTTGCCCTATGCTGGAGGGGTGGGTGGGGAAGCAGGAAAACCAGTCAACTGGGTGACCAGGAAAAGGTCTCCCTCAGGAGAGGACAATCAGGGTACGCAACAGCTGGCTATTTCAGCAGCCCATACAATCCACTCATGAAATGGTGGTGCTTTTGAAATATCTACTACAAGCAGGAGAAAATAAGACTCACCCACTCCTCCAAATGGGAAAGAGTTGAGCGTGAAGTGCATAATGACGTCATTGCCTGTGACACCTCCACTGGATGTCTCATCAATCATCCGTTTGATGAGCTGAGGACAGACCAAAGGTGTCCAGGTCAGTGAAGTTGCCCCTTAGGGAACACTCATGGCCCCACCACACAGAGGGCTGTGTGCTCAGTTATGTGCTCAAAGCATGCACATTCTGGCTTTGTGTCAGTGAAAATTCTCGAGTTTGGGGACACCATGCCAGATAGACAAACAATCTCAACTGGTTAATTTAGCAAAGTGACTGATACCCAACTTCTCAGACACACATCTAGTGCACAAAAGGAGGCAGCTCCAAACCTCTGGGCCTACTCAGCCACAACCTGGAGTTGTACTCCCCAACACAGCAGCAAAAGACTCTTTAAAAGGGGACAGCTTAGACTATATTCCAGCTTTAAAAACTGTTATTATTTCTTTCTTATCTCTGCTTTAAATTATAACACATGATTAATAGGTATTATTTAGTCTTTATGAAATGTAAAAATATTTAAGACTTTAGATTTAGCATCCTATTTTTTAAGAAATAAATGGTTGTTTGGCCTAAGGCTCAGAAAAGCACAAGAACACTTGACTAGTAAACGTCATTTACCCTTGGGTGCCAGCAAGCCCTTGACAATTGTTCATGGCAAACGTCAAGTCTGGACTATAGTGACCTCGGGTGACCCACTGCTGGGAAGTGCTCCACACCTGACTTATACCCTGGCCAGCCTACTTTCGGCTTCAGGGTTCCTTCCTGCCCACATTATCCATGGTTTTAAATGTCAAACCATTGTTTTGTTAATAACCCAGTCTTTACTGAGCCCCACACATTTGGTCTCACTTCAAATACCTGTAGCTATCTGTATCTCAATAGTCTCACAAGCTCCAAAAGCTGTCACATGACTATCTATACATTACCATCAGAAGCTCTCCAGAAAACATTTGGGCCATGGTCTCTTAGTAGCGGCTGGTCACCTAGTGACATGAATGAGTGAGCCATGCAGAAAGTGGCAGAACTGCTCAACCAGGTGATGCAGTTCCACCACTCTAACAAGAAGCTAGCGTCATGTTAGAAACTAAAATCCATCATATCACAACCATTTATGTGACAGTGTCGGGGTCTTTGTCCCACACAGTGGGTGTGAATGCCATTTTGTGCAGGCTGTTATTCAGCAATGCCCTGTGGATTAACATCAGAAAAGCATTTAATGCTGGCACATATAAGTCTTCCAATTATACAGGAGATGTTTGTGAATCAAAAACCTTGTGACACTCAACCCTGCAGACTCAGATCTAACCCGAGGGAGGAGGGGAATGGATGCTGTGATAACCCCAGAGTCTCATTAACCAAGACAGCAACCTCGGAACACAACCTCACTTAGTGGATGGACTCTGACATGACACAAAAGAAACCATCATTGTTTCACATTGTTTTTTGCATTGTTTTACAGCAAAGAAGGAACATGACTCTTGACAGTTGCTTATGCTAACTAGCTGTTCTCTCTAAAGCTTACCTTATGGTTATGCGAAAATACATAAAGAGCCAGAGGCTTTTCACGTTCATTTATGAAATTTATGGCCTCATCTACATTTTTCACAGGCACTATTGGAAGAATTGGTCCAAAAATTTCTTCTTGCATCACCTTGGTTTTAGGATCAACATCGGTAAGTACTGTTGGGGCTAAAAAGAAAATAAACAAAATGAAAATGCTTATTAGACAAAAATGCACAACTCTCATATTACATCTCTTTCATTGGGTCACTTATCCATGCCTTTCCCTCTCCCACCCAAGTCATATCTATTGAAAAATCCTGAGCACGTGGATGAACTGTGCACATACTCAATGTCTCCAAAGCCTGTGAATCACAACCCTGCGGATACTTGTGCAAACCAAGGGAACGATACACACTCAAATATATCTTTTTCACATTGAACCCTGTTCACAGCCATGCATGTATTTAACTGTAGATTATACTTAACATTTTTCTGTGGACAGGTTTTTTTTTTGAGATGGAGTTTCGCCCTTGTTGCCCAGGCTGGAGTGCAATGGTGCCATCTCGGCTCACTGCAACCTCCGCCTCTGGAGTTCAAGTGATTCTCCTGTCTCAGCCTCCCGAGTAGCTGGGATTACAGGCATGCACCACCACGCCCGGCTAGTTTTGTATTTTTAGTAGAGATGAGGTTTCTCCATGTTGGGTCAGGCTGGTCTCGAATGGACAGGTCTTTCTAGGAGCAAAGACAGCTCCTCTGTGAATCAAATCAATACTATTTTTCTTAACTCGAGTGCTTTCATATATATGATCTCATTAACCTTTATTATAACTCTGTTAGACAGATTAAGAAAACAGACTTAAATGGTCAAAATTCCCTAAACCTTAGTCCACTGTTCCATCTACCATGGGGAAGAGGCACAAGAAAGGAGGGTGAAACAGATGCTGGGGAGGCTAGACAAAGTGTCCCAGCATCTGCTGCCAATGTAAGTCACCAACTAGCAGTACTCCAAAAGATGCTGTAAGTAAGAAACTGGCTCGTCAACCAAAAGAGAAGTCATCTGACAATAACAAGTTGGCACTTTTCCTTTACCCCCAGTTTCTAATAGGTTATCTTGGCAATGTGGCTGGGGACAGCTTCTTGCAGCACCACTTCCAGGGGGTATATAAACTGCCACTCCAAATCCATTGCCCACATCTTCCTCAGGTCAGAGAAACAATTTGGGCTGAGTGTCTACTTCCTCTGCATAGCCATGCTCAGGTAAGATGATCCCAGCTCGAAGTCAGGGGAAAGTCCTAATTAGTCTATAAGCTAATCAGGATAGCCCCTTCCTCTTACCATTCATTAGCCTAGAAATAGGCAATGTGGACATGCTGAGGATGGGAGAACAGAGAGGTGAAACAAGTAGAGTCTGTTTTCTCTTTTTTCTACAGATGTATTCCCCAATTCAATCTGGGCTGCCACCAAGAGAGATAGAAGGCACAAGGATTGTTTTCTTTTGCATCCTAGTACAAAGAATCAGGGTTTTTTGATGGTACCACGGGGCCACTGAATTATCTAGCTCAGGAGAACCTCGGGACTGCTAATTATAAGAGAATCAATTCTGCTTATTATTTCATTTTTAAGTTTTTTTTTTTAAAGTTGATTTTTTTTTTTTTGGTGACTTATAGCATCTTATCTGATAAAGGGGATAAGTAAAGCTAGGTGGTGCAGCTTCTTTGCCAGCAAAATGTGTCTAATTTTTCTGTCACCTTATATGTTACTGTAGAAAAATGTGCTTAACATTCAAAGTAATACATATTCAAGGCAAAGAAGAAAAAGCACAAAGAAGGTACACAAATAATAAGGTCAAGCATGATGGACCAAAACATTATTTCTGGAATGGTACCGTCACTGGTTAATTGTGGAATAGTGGCCAAGCTATTTCCTTCTTTGTGCTGTTTTCCCATCCACAAACTACAGATAATTACATCAAGTTCTATTCTGCTTCTCAGGATTGTTAGGAGGAAAAAAGGAGTTATGTGTAAATATGAACAACTGGAGCAACGCTGGTGGCATCATTCAATACACAGAAACACAGACATTTTAAATAGTTTATAACAAAAGCTACAGGTACAGTATACCAGAAAGCAGGATTTAGTACTTTAACAATTAAATGCTATATATTTAATAGTTTATCTAGTGTTAATAAGTAGTGTCAGCAAAAACTGCCAAATTGCCATCTTCCCATAGGAAAAGGAGAATTTCCATTACCTATGTAGCGTGTGGCCTCATCAGTCTCCCCACCAAAAGCTATCTTTTGTCCTTCAAGCAAACTTAGTATCCTCTTAAAATGACGAAGATTGATGATCCTTTCATAATCAGGAGACTCTTTTATATTTTCTCCATAAAATTCCTATTTAAAACAACAGGAGTATATAAATGTCACAAAGACCCACAATTCAATTTCAGTAAGTACAAAATCCAGCCATGCCCCAAAATCAATCTGGTTTTATATCCTCACAGAATCTAACACCCCACCCCTCAAGTAATTTAACAGTAGTATGATAGTAGCAAGTTTCAGCTTTTTGGCAGGTCGAGGACCAGAAAATAAAGCATGCACACACACAGAGATCTGTCATTGTCCATAGTTCCAAAGGTTCTTATGGATCTCTTAGAGTCCACCCACAGGCCTTCACCTCCTGGGGCTGACAGTGGGAGCAGGCTGGGGAAAGAAGTCTTGCTCTGCATCAGAGTTGCCTATTTGTTAGCACATTGGCTGTGCCTGCTTTCCCCCTACAGTAAGTTCGGTAGTTACAGCAGAGACCCTAACATCTGCAAAGCCTGAAATATTTACCATCTAGCCCTTTACAGAAACCATTTGCCAATCTTTGCTCCACTTTGTTGTTTTGGTCTTCTTTGAACTGGTATTTCCACCACTTACACATGATGGTGAAACCACCCGAAGGATCAAAATACAGCTTTGGTAAATTACCAAGGTAAAAGAACGTCAATAATCATACAATCAATATTTACTTAGTAAAACAAACAAAATTACTGAATTGCTGCATCACTTCAAAGCCTTGTGAGAGTTCCCAATTTCATCCCAAATCAAAATGAACATTGTTCATCCAACCTCTACCAAGAGCAATTCTCAAGTCTGGGTGGTCGGAATCACTGGTGCAGCTTGCTAAAATGCATGTGCCTGGGCTCTGACTCGAGAGTCACCAACAGTAGTTTTCAATGCTGAATGCATCATAGAATCACCTGGAGGCCTCAGACGAGCTGAATCTTTGGAGGGTAAGGCTTGCAAACTTGTTTTTAAATGGCTCACTAGGGTAACATGTAGCTTGAGAACCACTGTGTTAAGAGTATAAATGCCTCAAAGGGAGGCAGAGGCCCTTATTCCTTTGAAATTGAATTCATCACCACACTCAACTAAGCATTCTCCAATTCCCAAATATTTTCAATCTCACAAGTATCTTTAACCACTCTCTCTTCCCACATACCCTGAATCTGGGCAACTCTCCCTTCATGTGCTCATCTGGATCCATTTTTAGTCCTATGACTAAAAATGATAGTCCAATTTCCATGTCAAGACCCTAGCACCTCATCCCCCAAGTTACTCTGCCTGGAACACATAGTGAACTATTGTCCTGAACTTCCTGGTACATAATTTTCTCTTTTTTTTTTTTTTTTGAGACAGGGTCTCACTCTGTCACCCAGGCTGGAGTCCAGTGGCACATTCTTGGCTCACTGCAGCCTCCGCCTCCCAGGAGGATCAAGCGATCCTCCTACCTCAGCCTGCCAAGTAGCTGGGACCACACGTACACGCCGGTACACCTGAATTTTTGTATTTCTTGTAGCGACAAGATTTTGCTACGTTGCCCAGCTGGTCTTGAATTCCTGGCCTCAAGTGATCTGTCTGCCTTGGCCTTCCAAAGTGCTGGGATTACAGGAGTGAGCCACTGTGCCCAGCCAATTTTCTCTTTTTTTGTTTTTTTGAGACAGAGTCTTATGCTGTCACTCAGGCTGGAGCACAGTGATGCAATAATGGCTCATTGCAGCCTTGAACTCCTGGGCTCAAGTGATCCTTCTGGCTTCAGCCTCCTGAGTAGCTGGGACTACAGGCATGTGCCACCATACCCAGCTAACCTTTTTTTCTTTTGTAGACACAGGGTCTCATTATGTTGACCAGGCTGGTTTTGAACTCCTGGGCTCAAGCGATCTTCCCACCTTAGCCTCCCAAAGTGCTCGGATTACAGGAGTGAACCACCACAACGGCGACAATTTTCATATCTTTTTTTCTTTTGAGATAAAATCTCATTCCGTTACCCAGGCTGGAGTGCAGTAGCATGATCTTGGCTCACTGCAAGCTCCACCTCCCGGGTTCAAGCAATTCTTGTGCCTCAGCCTCCCAAGTAGCTAGAATTATAGGTGCGTGCCACCATGCCCGGCTAATTTTTGTAATTTTAGTAGAGATGGGTTTTGCCATGTTGGCCAAACTGGTCTCTAACTCCTCACCTCAAGTGATCAACCTGTCTTGGCCTCCCAAAGTGCTGGGATTACAGGCGTGAGCCACCATGTCTGGCCAACAATTTTCATTTTCAGATCACATGCATTACTCTTTGGTGTTTTTGATCCTTCCTTTTAGTGCTCAATTAACATCTGTCGAGTAAACAGTGACTGCTCCAATAATTTCTTTCATCTGAGGGGTTAATGATCCTCACCCACTGCTGAACTCAGTCACACTGGTCATTTGGTCATCCCATTCTTCTTTTTTTTTTTTTTTTTAAAGACAGAGTCTTGCTCTGTCGCCCAGGCTGGAGTGCAGTGGCGTGATCTTGGCTCACTGCAACCTTTGCCTCCCGGGTTCAAGCGATTCTTGCCAGGGTTCAAGCAAATCTCGTGCCTTAGCCTCCTGAGTAGCTGGAATTACAGACATGCACCACCATCCCCGGCTGATTTTTTTGTATTTTTAGTAGAGACAGGGTTTCACCATATTGGCCAGGCTGGTCTTGAACTTCTGACCTCAAGTGATCTGCCCCCCTAGGCCCCCCAAAGTGCTGGGATTACAGGCATAAGCCACCGTGCCCAGCCCCCATTCCTTTCTACCAACTTAAATCCTATATTTCTTCAAGTCTTGGCTTAGGACTCTACATGCAGTCTTCCTTGGTTCCCTCACTGCAAATATTTACTTTAAACACGCTGAAAGATTGTTAATTATATAAAGGGTATACTGTAAGTAGTTATTTAATTAAGTCACTCCTCCAAACTACTGGCCACCCTAGGCCCTCTACATACACAAAAACTGATAACCTTCAGCAGCAATGGCCAATATGCCAAAGAGTCTCTCTGATTATACCTAAAGGGTTGGCAACATTCCCTCAAAACCACGGACACACGATTATTTAACTTTTTTAAAAAAAGTATATGCCACAACTAATCATCAACAAATCAACTAGACAGTTTAAGTAGATTTAACACCAATGCAACCTTGCTCCCAGCATATATTCTATGGTACACATAGCATTTTCATATTAGTCAATAAGTTCACTGAGTCACATATGATTTTGAAATTTTCCTGAAGGGAGAAACAAATGGGGATGCTGCCTGCGAATAGTTAATTTGACTCCTTATCTTATTAAAATCAGTGGAATCAGATGTTTTTAATACAAACCTTCACTGTTTCCTTAATCTTCCATACAATTTGATTTTGGAGGGATGCTTCACAGAGAATATAGTCGGGTGCAATGCAGGTTTGGCCACAATTCATGTATTTTCCCCAGGTTATGCGTCTGAGGGGAAAACATCCAGAACAGCTATATAATTCAGTAATTCAGTCAAATATTCATTTGTTACATTGTGTTGTTTGAATGTCTTGCAACTAAAATAGATTCATATATTTATCTGGCAATTTTTATAAAAAAGTTAAAAACTCATTTCTAAATCAGTTGTTTGGAACTTAGAAAGTATTTTCCAAATGAGGTGGAATATTTTACATAGCAGGGAAGTTCTCAGGCCAGCTCACGGCAAACAGTACTTGGTAAACAGTGAAGCCATTGCCTGCTGCAGGAAAAGAGGAGAAACAGCCTCCCAATGTCCTTTCCCCTCTTCCAGTCCAGCCAAAGGAAAGTCCTGGATGACCAGAGTTCGGTACAGACTCTCCTGGTTGTGGCTTTTGGCTCTGCCTGCAAGATGTTCAGGTATAAAGCAGGATGTCAGCCAGCCTCCAAGGCCATCCTCCTCTTTGTGGAGCCCTGCCCCACTTGGGAAGACCTTTCCTATGCATGGGCAGAAACCCATGCCCTAAACATTCACTAACTGAGGGTGTCTGGTTTTGACAAATGGATTTCTACTTAGGAAGCCAACCTGGAACCCTGACCTGGAATCTCTGAAGGGCAGAGAAAGCCACACCACCCAGAGCACAGAGTCAGTTCTATGATTTGGCACTTCTTAGTAGCTAAACCGGATTTAGCAGAGAGAACCTGAAACCTCTTATTTTCTAATTTTCAGATGCAAGATGTTATTCACAGTTAAAAAATGAGGAACACTTGTTTTGCCCACAAAGGATCTCAGTTAAGATATCAGCATAATACCCTCTCAAATGGGCATTTAAAGATTTTATTAGGCACACACAATACTTTGGATTATGTACTTCACAGATCACTGGCCAGAAGAACGTTAAAATTTCTTGCTAGATCTAGCTGTAATCTTGAGAACAGATATAACTTTTTTAAAATTCCTAAGGACAACCACATGATGTCAGGACTTACAGCTCACCATTTTTGACAGTGGCGCCAAGAGACAGTGAAAGACTCCTGTTACTCTTGAGGACATCAACCACCAAAGCTTAATAATGTATCTTGGAGCCATAAGGTATGGGGTTCAAGTACAAAGAGTAACATTGTCAGGAAAAGTCTCCATTGTGCTGGGAAAACCTCAGAAAATCAGAGAGCCAGACTCACCTGCAAACAATGTCCAGGTCACAATCTTTATCAATATAACATGGACTTTTCCCTCCCAGTTCAAGAGTCACAGGGGTCAGATGCTTGGCAGCAGCTTCCATGACAATTTTGCCAACCGCAGTGTTTCCCGTATAGAAAATGTGGTCAAATCGCTGCTTCAGGAGCTCCGTGGTTTCCTCAACACCACCATTAATAACAATATAGAGATCCTCAAAGAAAGAGAAACACAAACTCTTGCACTGCCAAATAAATCCTAACGTCTAACATCAGCAATCTCTTCAACATAAACATGTAACATTCAGTAAAACCCAGAGAGTGTCAAGACCAGTCCCTGTGAGGGATGGGAGAGGGAACTGACCAAGGACAAGAGGAGAACACACAGTCCGATGGCATCTGGGAAGCATGAACCCACATAGAACTAATCTGGAGACTCCAGTGTTTTTTTACATGAGCTCAGCAACAAAGACACTAAGGAGAACAAATGGTTGAATTTGACCAGGGAAAATGCATGAGACGCGGGTGTGTGCAGAAGTGCCTCTGGTGAAGAGTGGCTCCCACAGGACAGGTCATGCATGTCTTAGTCTGAATGTTCTCTGTCTCACAACACAGAGTGGGCTTAGCCCACGCTATTCTGAATGAATGGTATATCCGGCACAGTAGCTGAGAGCGCTTGCTTTTGAAGTGTATCTGGTTTGAATCTGGGCTCTGCCACTCACTAGCTTATGCAACCTTAGGCAAGCTACTGAACATCTCTGAGCCTCAATTTCCTCATCTGTTACTGGGAGAATTCACGTAGCTTCTGTGGACTGAGCCCATCTATGCATTGTGCTATCATTACCAGCTATTCTAAGAGAGAACATCTTGGACAATAACAGCATCAAAAGTAAGAGAACAGATGGCAAGCAAGGAAGACAGAGAGGTATTCAAGACTCCAAGGTGGAAGTGTGAAGTAAAAGCTGGCTTGTGGATCTCATGTTTCCACTTGAAGGCGAATTAATTTCATTCACTTCATGGTTCAGCTGCCCAACAAATGTTTCAAGCTTTAACTTTTCTATGGCTTAATCTACATAGCATATATTATTGATCCCCTAACACGGTAACTGAAGCTGGTAGAGCATTATTATCCTCCTTATCCGGACAGAGTCAGTTATTGAAGAATTTACCCCTGGTCAGGGGCAAAGCGGTACCTTCAACCTCTATCTTCTGGTTCTACGTCCTATTCAATCCTTGACATCTCACTGTCTTCCATTTCATCTTTCTTGATTGGATCATCACAGCTATTAGAACAAAATGGCTCTAACAAAGAGAAAAATATCATTCCAAGAACCAGAACTGGCCTCAATCCATCACAAGTTGATGTACAGAATACAGGTAAGATATTTTTAAGCTGTATTTCGCTTAAAGCTAAATGAAGACTCCTCCCTGTAGCAACTGCATGTAGAACTCAGCAGTGCCAATTTCTTCGCGGCATCATAACTTCCTCCCCAGGAAGGCATAAGAACCTCTGACTCAGACAGATGAACTACCCGCAGTTGGGCAGATCATTTTCTTTATTCAGTTCTTGATATTCTTAAATGCCAGCATGTTAAGTCAGTGTGAGGATCTGCCCTCTAGTTCAGGAGGGCACTTTTTGTGTATGTGTGGCATGTTTTCATGCCACAGACATGTCTTTTTTGAAAGCAGAAGTACTCTTATAGGCTGGGTGAGAGGTGAGAGCGTGCGGGCAACCCTTGCTCGCTCTCAGCACCTCCTTGGCCTTGGCACCCACTCTCGCCACGCTTGAGGAGCCCTTCAGCCCACAGCTGCACTGTGGGAGCCCCTCTCTGGGCTGGCCAAGGCTGGAGCCGGCTCCTTCTGCTTGTGGGAAGGTGTGGAGGGAGAGGCGCAGGCAGGAACCGGGGCTGCGCGTGGCGCTCACAAGCCAGAGCGAGTTCTGGGTGGGCGCAGGCTCAATGGGCCCCACACTCGGAGCAGCTGGCCGGCGCCGCCAGCCCTGGGCAATGAGGGGCTTAGCACCTGGGCCAGCTGCTGAGGAGGGTGCCCCGGGTCCCCCAGCAATGCCAGCCCACCAGCGCCACACTCGAATTCTCGCCGGGCCTCAGCCACCTCCCCGCAGGGCAGGGCTCGGGACCTGCAGCCCGCCATGCCCAAGGCCCCCACCCCGCCCCTGGTGGGTTCCCATGCTGCCCGAGCCTCCCTGATGGGCGCCGCCCCCTGCTCCACAGCGCCCAGTCCCATCGACCGCCCAAGGGCTGAGGGGTGCAGGCGCGCAGCGCTGGACTGATGGGCAGCTCCACCCACAGCCCCGGCGTGGGATCCACTAGGCAAAGCCAGCTGGGCTCCTGAGTCGGGTGGGGACTTAGAGAACTTTTATGTCTAGCCGGAGGATTGTATATGCACCAATCAGCACTCTGTGTCTAGCTTGGGGTTTGTGGATGCACCAATCAGCACTCTGTATCTAGCTAATCTGGTGGGGATTTGGAGAACTTTTATGTCTAGCTAGAGGATTGTAAAAGCACCAGTCAGCACTCTATGTCTAGCTCAAGGTTTGTAAATGCACCAATCAGTGCTCTGTGTCTAGCTAATCTAGTGGGGACTTGGAGAACTTTTATGTCTAGCTAGAGGATTGTAAATGCACCAATCAGCATTCTGTGTCTAGCTCAGGGATTGTAAACGCACCAATCAGCACCCTGTCAAAACGGACCAATCAGCTCTCTGTAAAATGGACCAATCAGCAGGATGCGGGTGGGGCCAGATAAGGGAATAAAAGCAGGCTGCCCAAGCCAGCAGCGGCAACCTGCTCGGGTCCCCTTTGACACTGTGGAAGCTTTGTTCTTTCAGTCTTTGCAATAAATCTTGCTGCTGCTGCTCACTCTGGGTCCGCACTGCCGTTATGAGCTGTAACACTCACTGCGAAGGTCTGCAGCTTCACTCCTGAGGCCAGCGAGACCACGAACCCACCGGGAGGAATGAACAACTCCAGACAGGAGGAACTAACAACTCCAGATGCGCCGCCTTAAGAGCTGTAACACTCACCACGAAGGTCTGCAGCTTCACTCCTGAAGCCAGCAAGACCACGAACCCACCAGAAGGAAGAAACTCCGAACATGTCCGAACATCAGAAGAAACAAACTCCGGACACACCATCTTTAAGAACTGTAACACTCACTGCAAGGGTCCGCGGCTTCATTCTTGAAGTCAGTGAGACCGAGAACCCACCAATTCCAGACACATGGGCATGGTGGCTCACACCTGTAATCCCAGCACTTTCGGAGGCCAAGCTGGGCGGATCACCTGAGGTCAGGAGCTCGAGACCAGCCTGACCAACACGGTGAAACCCCATCGCTACCAAAAATACAAAAACTAGCTGGGCATGGTGGCACACGTCTGTAATCCCAGCTACTTGGGAGGCTGAGGCAGAAGAATCGCTTGCACCCAGGAGGCAAAGGTTGCAGTGAGCCGAGATCACACCACAGCACTACAGCCTGGGTGACAGAGCAAGATTCCATCTCAAAAAAAAAAAAAAAGTACTCTTATATAATCACAGAAAAGTACATTTTGTTAGAACAAAAGAGATTGTTAGTAACAGAAATATGTCAGCACCCAGCACAGTACCAGTCCCTCATTAAATAATCCATTAAATGAAAACACCTAAAATCATGTTAGCTCAAAAATTAACCCCAAATCCCAGACAAACACAGAATCTGTTTGGCATGAAGCCATGGGCCTACATATATTGTGTAACCCCAAGAGCTGGGTGACTCCACACAAAATACACTCCGTGTATTTTGGAACCGAACTTCTTTTGCTAAGCCAACTGTTGAAGGCTTAAAGAGACTGCAATTGGGTCCCCGGCCAGCAATAACATGCAATAGCAAGAAAATAAAATGTGTGTTTTCCACAGTAAACACATATGTTGGAGATGAGTCAAGAAATTCTTACCTGGTCTAAATACTGAGGGAGAAGCTTTGCCAAGATCTTGGCTGTATTTTCACTCAGTTCAGAAGGCTTTATAATCACAGCATTTCCTAAATAAAGTAAAAAGTAGAACAGTATCATCTAATATTTAACTTTAATAGCTACCAAAATGATGTTCAGTGGGAAGAACAGGCTAGGTACTCCCAATTATTTCTGCAGCTCTCAATGCTGCATATCCTCATAATTAGCATAAGAGCTCATCTCACTTTCTCTTCTAAGGCTAACTCCTTAGCTGTCCTCATCTTCAGGTCACTGACAATGGGTTCCAGCAGCCTTTCCCACTCCTCCAGCTTTCTATCGCTTTTCTCCCACTTCTGCCCTTAGATTGTCCTCTCTGCCCTGGAATTATTGGGCAAGTGAGCCATTTCAACATACATCTCTCTATCTGGATCCTGCAAAGTGAGAAATTAATCTCCTGGCATTTGCTATATACCCAAGCTAGCATTACTCTCATAGTCTTTATTTGAATGAAGAAACTGGTCAGACAGAATCAAATGGTTCATCCGAAGCCAGAGCCAGCAACTGAAACCATATTAGAACATGGATGCCTGACTCCAAACTCCTGGGCCTGCTGACTCACACATCTTTACACTCCCACAGGTTCATTCCCCAGGTGCTTCAAAACATAGCCACACAAATCTCCTCAGCAGCCCATTTAAAAATATGTATGGTATGTATGAATTCTCAGTACACTGGTGGTGTAAACAAAGGCAAATCACCAAGTAAATGTATTTAATTAGCCACTATCCTTAATTTCCAATTAATATGAGAAAATAAGCCTCCCTAAAAAGGTATATAGACATAAGGTGGCACCAGACCTGCAGCGATGGCTCCTATCAGTGGCTGAATGGTGAGAACGAAGGGGTAATTCCAAGCTCCGATTATCAGCACCACTCCCAGAGGCTGTGGCTGAATATAGGCCTCATCCAGCATGGTGAGCACGTTCTTCTTAACTGGTTTAGCAGTAACCCATTCAGGAAGATTCTCAAGCATAAAATCAATTTCCCCAAGGACAGTAATGACTTCCTGACTGTACACATTGAATTCACTCTGTTATAAGAGAATCACAGTTAATCTTGCAGAGTAAGTATGATACACTTGGCCCTGAATGTCAGAACACTCACACCAGGTACACCTGTAGTGACAACAACTGGCATTATCAGACTAGCTGTTTGCCATTCAGACTCCTTTTGCACCCTTCACGCCCCTGGTAAGGGCTTGCTAATTCTCTAATATATTTCTTTTAAAAAAATCAAAGATTATTTCAGGGAGTAGTAACACTAGTCGAATACCATTAGTAAATCCTTCTTTAGTAATCCACACCCTTTAAAAGCCAGGCTTAAATATTACCTCTTTCAGGAAGATTTCCTTGAGCAATAAAGGTCTGCTCTGAACACACTTTATATATTACAGCAATCATGCTTTTGACCTGCATCTTAATATTCATCCTTAACACACTGGTTTATAACTATCACTCACATTTCATCTGTGTATGTTCTGTTTCCCAGTCAAGTTTAAAACTCTTGAGGACAGGGAACTTATTGTATTTCTTGAGTCATCCTATATACACACATACTCACACAAACATTTAGTTCTTCAAGTATGATTAAATGACACAGACTTTTTGGAATCTTAATTACCCCATCTTGTTTATTTAATATCACAGCCCCTTTCCACCAAAAGTACTCTAAAAGAAATTTCATAGTTGCTACTAGTACTACCACTATTACGACTTATTAAAATAATCTTTGATTGAGGGGATTGTGGGGAAGGGAAAAATCACAAACCCAGAGCAAAGCCTTGCTACACATGTAATGCAGATAAAAAGTAAAAACAAGATGATAGGCCAGGCACGGTGGCTCACGTCTATAATCCCAGCACTTTGGGAGGCTGAGGCGGGCGGATCACAAGGTCAGGAGATGGAGACCATCCTGGCTAACACAGTGAAACCCCGTCTCTACTAAAAATACAAAAAATTAGCCGGGCACGGTGGCGGGCGCCTGTAGTCCCAGCTACTTGGGAGGCTGAGGCAGGAGAATGGTGTGAACCCGGGAGGTGGAGCTTGCAGTGAGCCAAAAGAGCACCACTGCAGTCCGGCCTGGGAGAAAGAGCGAGACTCCGCCTCAAGAAAAAAAACAAAAACAAAAACAAAAACAAGATGATAGCCTCATGCCTGTAGTCCTAGTATCTGGGAGGTTGGGGCAGGAGGACTGCTTGAGCCTAGGAGTTGGAGGCTGCAGTGAGTTATGATTGAGTCACTGCACTTCAGCCTGGGTAACAAAGGGAGACCCTGTCCGTTTAAAAAAAAAAAAAGTAACAATATTATCAGCAAACATACAGGAATATACTTACACCCTAAAACACTACTTAAAACTTTGCTACCACAGGCCGGGGGGGTGGCTCACACCTGTAATCCCAGCACTTTGGGAGGCCCAGGCAGGCGGATCACTTGAGGCCAGGAGTTCAGGACCAGCTTGGTCAACATGGTGAAACTCCATCTCTACTAAAAATACAAAAATGAGCCGGGTGTGGTGGCGCACGCCTGTAATCCCAGCTACTGAGGAGGCTGAGGCAAGAGAATCGCTTGAACCCAAGAGATGGAGGTTGCAGTGAGCCGAGATCGCACCACTGCACTCCAGCCTGGGAGACACAGTGAGACTCCGTCTTAAAAGCAAAACAAAACAAGCAAACAAACAAAAAAACCACACACACAAATCAAAACAATAAAAACTTTGCTACACAAAGCGTGCTTCCAAAAGAGGCATATGATATCACTGGGGACCTTGTTAGAAACTTGGAATCTCAGATCCCACCCCCGACATACTGAACCATAATCTGCATTTTAACAAGATCCCCAGGTGACTGTTAGTGCATTAAAATTTGAGGAGAACTGACCTAATAATACACAAAGTTATGAAGAAAAATTTGACTGCAACTATAACTTAAAAACAAAACTCTGTCTAACAAAGAAACCATAAACAAAGCTAAAAGACAAGAAATAGACCCAGAGGCTGGTCTGATGGTAATGGGTTATTCAGAACTTATTAATATTACTGTTATTCAAGTTGGTATGCAACTCTCCCACTGCTAAATTTGGCTTAAAAAAAAAGAAAAGAAAGAAACCCAAAGAAAGTATCCACAATACAGTAAACTGACAAATTACTTAAATCCAGAATATACAAAGAGTTCCTACACATCATAAGGAAAAGAACCACAAATGTAACAGAAAAATGGACAAGAATAGAAAAGGCAGAAAAGGAACCACAGAAGCTAGGTAACATATGCCCTTCTGAGTGCTAGAGGACCGGGAAAGTCTGCGGGAACTTTGGCTTTATCTGTATCGCTGGAGATCATACTCCCAGTGCTGGAGTAATCCGAAATGTAAAAGCAAAAACAAAACCCAGCCGAAGCTCCAGTCCACAAGTGCGCGGCGGGGGCCAGTTTCCCCACACCCCGCCGCACGCGTGCGTACCTTGCACAGGTCGGCGGCGATGGCCGTCAGGATATCCTTCTCGCGCTCCTGCACCATCCTCCGCAGGGCCTCCAGCTGCTGCAGCCGAAACCGCAGAGGTCGCGACCGGCCGGACAGGAACGCCTGTCGGACCCGCCGGACTTCGAGCTCCATGGCCTGGTCCTGCAGAGAACTGCACGGTCCGGGGGCGCTGGGGAGTGGGAGGCGGGAAGCATGCAGGTGCAGGCCTCGCCTCCCTTCCCTCCGCCTCCCTCCGGGGGGTGTCTCCACCGTCAACCCACAGCCACAATTCACTCGCCCAGGGCTCGCTCGCTCAGCCGCGACCTCCACGCCCGCTGAGTCCCACTGCCAGTCGGAGGCGCCGGGGGAGGACTGAGCTCGACCCAAAGCCTCACCCCTATTGGCCTGGGCGGCCCACGTGACAGCCGCTGTTCACGGCCTCGCCCACGCGGCCCCCGCCCTCTCCCCGGCTCTGGCAGCGGGCTGGGATGTAGGGGGTGGAGTGAGCAGTGCGGGAGCCGAGCGCGGCCACGGGCCAGGGGGCGGCGGGGTGTAGGGATGGAGGGAAGGTGTTGGCCATCCTGCTGAGAGCGCCCCGGGGCGGCCCCAGAAAGGGCGAAGAGGAATCCTGGAGGAGCAGGCGGAGGGCGCTCGGCTGGGAGTGGGCGCCCTGCCGGAAGCGCCCCGACTGCGACGGAGAGCAGTCTCCGCTCTGGCACGCTCTGAGGGGTTCCCTCCTCCATTTTGTGGCTCTTCAAACATGGCCAGATGGACGTAGTTGGAGGCCTAGCGCTCCCCATTCCGCTTCCCTGTCCCCTGCTCCTTCCTTCAGCGAGGAGCTGCCTCGACCGGCACTGACCGTCCCAGTTCCCTGGAGAGCTAGTCCCTGAGGGCGGGAAGCCGGGGTTCGTCTCCCGCGGAGCCGGGACAGCGGTCATTTCCTTCTTGCACAAGCATCATCCTCGCACGTCCGTTACTCAGAGCTTCTCCCCAGGCTGCATTTGCCTCGCTGCCCATGGTTCCGTGTTCCCGCTCCCAAGAGAGAACCCGCTGCCCTCAGGTTTCCCCCTCCCGCCTTATTGCCTTTCGGGCGAGAGACTTCAGCTCTCATCACTGTACTCAGCAGCAGTTGGCTCAGCTGATCGGTCCTGTCTTGTGGAAAGCTTTCTTTTCTTTACCATTTCCCTGCACTCTTCTGCACTTTTCTTTTTAGCTCACTGGCCGGGTCCTCTGGGGTTCCTTTGCTGGATTTTTCTCCCCTTCCTGACCTCTCACTTGTTCAGGTGCCCAGGGCTTAGTCCGGGGCCCTCTTTTCACAGCCACTCCCTCATGTAATCCCATGAATAGTGCTCACAGAAGGCTCTAATCCCAGCCTTTCCTCTGAACTCTAAAGGGTATATTTGTGAAAAGAAAATAACTCGGGGCCCTGGCCCAAATGAACTCTCCACTTATGTACAAAACAACAAAAACCGTGGGAGCTCAATTCACTATGCCAAAAGGAAAAAATTAAGCAAAAAGCTGAGTCATGCAAGAAACTGCCTTTCTCTATGTCCCTAAGCAGATAGCTACAGATAAAAGGTTAAATGTCCCCACAGGTAGCTGCTCTGTCCTCACCTTATCTTACTGAAGTGCTGATTTACACAGCAGGAGGCAAATACATAATTGACTATTCCCCTGCCTGTTCCTTTTTCTATTTGTGCAATGTGTGGATTCAGTAATGACCATGTTCTCCCTCTTTCCCCTCCAGCCCGCTCCTCCCTTTTAAATATTGAAGCCCTCAAAATCATCTTTAGATAAAGGCACAGACCTCCCTCCCAAGCATGTCCTTAACCTTGGCAAAATAAACTTCCAAATTGATTGAGAGCTGGTTTTGGTTTACAAGCTGGCAGCCAAAGGAAGTGACTCAGTGGAGGTGGCCCTGACCTTTGACAAATCTATCAGTGCTTGGTACCAGCTTGGGCTATTTTTATTGCTCAAACAGGACAATTTGCTGAGGCCTGGGAGCACCCCACTCCAGAGAATCCCTGATGTCCCAAAATTTGGTTGAGATCTAAAGTTTATTTTGCTGTACACCTCTTTGTCTGCAGTTTTACTTACTCCCAACAAAGAAGGTGCGTTTTCCTGCCTCCATGACGATGGAGGGGAGGCAACTCCTTTCTGGAATTTCATCTGGCTTCCAGCAGGGAAGGTGAGTCTGAGTTTTTTTTCTCCTTCTAAAATGGTAAAGAGCAGTCTTGAGCCTGGACCCTATTCCTAGGTAAGCACCTGAATTGGAGTTTTGTCTTGGAAACTCTCCTTGGTGACTAAAGTTAAGATTAACAACCAGCTGGTCTTAATTTCTCCTTACCATTAGAGCGCTCAATAATACAAATTGTGCGATCATTTCTTTTGCTTAACTGTTTCTTTGTTTGTTTCTGTTGTTGTTTTGGTCTTTTTCCCATTGGGTTTGACCAGCTCTACTTGACTTGGTCAAATCTGAAGGAAAGTTGAAATTATGGAGAACAAGGTCTTTGAATTGGCTAAATTACCACAGCTGAGGGGAAAAAAATGAAAAAGAAAAAACAGGCCGGGCATCCTGATGGTTTCCCTGCTTCTACTCTTTCGGGTTTTTTTTTTTTTTTTTTTTTAGACAAGGTGTCACTCTTGTCACCCAGGCTGGAGTGCAGTGGCCATGATCATGGCTCACTGCAGCCTCCAGCTCCCAGGCTCAAGTGATCCTCCCACCTCCACCTCCCAAGTAGCTGGGACTACAGGTATGTGTCACCATGCCTGGCTAAATTTTTTTGTATTTTTTGTAGAGATGAGGGCTTGCGATGTTGCCCAGGCTGGTCTCCGACTCCTGGGCTCAAGTGATCCCCCTCCCTCAGCCTCCCGAAGTGCTGGGATTACAGATGTGAGCCACCTCGCCGGCCCCCTGCTTCTACTCTTGACTCTAGAGATTGTTATTTCTCAGTTCTACACTTGCCCTTTTATACTCTACTGCAGGGACCTAGAGTGTGTGAACCCCATTTCCCAGGCTCTCGTGCCCGCTGGCTTCTGCCAGTAGGGGGCACTATAAGGAAATCAGAAGGCAGGAGGTGGAGAGTAACTTACTGCTTCTGGATTCAATCGTGTGGCAGTTGCTGGCCATTTCTATAGTGAAAGTGGAGGAGGGATTATTCTTTACTCTAGGAATTCCTTCCATGGTCAAGGTGGCACCTCTCTAGTAGACAGAGGATGAAAGTGATAGTGTCTCCAAATGGCACAGAAGCTGGTGCAGTTCCATTGGTTCCAGCTAAGGGTATTTTTAGCAGCTTTTTTATCTATGATGTCACTCCATTATTCTTTTTGACATCTATTACTCTTAAAATTCCCTCTGCATGAAATAACTAGATAGTTTATCTTTCGTGACTGGACTCTGATAACACTTTGTTGTAGCCTGTTCTCCACCTAGCCATTGGTGTCCGAAGGTACCCTGATCATGTTAATTCACTGCTTAAAACTTTCCAATAGCCTCCCCTCACGTTTAGAATAAAATTCAAAATGTGAATTTTTCTACACATATTCTACAAGCCCTAAATGCCCTGGCCCGTGACTACATCTTCAACCTCTTTTTGTAGGATTCTCCCACTTAGTGAGTTTCAGCCAGAGTGCCTTCCTTGCTGTACACTACTGAGCATTCTAAACACATTCCCAGCCCGGGGCTTTTGCATTCATTCTGTTTCCTTTGCCTGTAGTGTCCAGCTATCATTCTCACTTAATTCAATTGCTGCTTCAATATTACCTCCCTAAAGAAGACTTCCCTGACCACCATGTCTAAAATATCAGTCTCTGCTACTTTCTGTCCCTGACCCTGTTTTATTTTTCTTAATATAAATGTATCTATTTGTTTGTTGTTTTTAATGTGTCTTCCTCACTGGAATATCTTGTAAAATCAGGGTCTTTGTTGTTCATGTTCACTGTAATGTTAGTACCTTGAATAGAATCTGGCCCACAGTAGGTGCTCAGTAAGTATTTATTGAATGAATGAATGAATGAATGGTACACTCTCACATACTCTAGTCTTAGTGTCTTGGCACTGTCTACTTTTGTGGCTTTCTCAACAGCCTGTAATTTGAAGCTTAAGGAGATTCATGATGAAGCAAGGAAATTGGCAAGACCATCAAACTCTTCTTCACTTCTACTTCTCGCTTGCCTGCTTTGGACAAAAACAAAAAAATCCAGCCCATGTGGAAATACCATAGTTAAAGTTGGGAGACAGTAGGTGAAAAGGCAAGCAGGCTTATATAACAAAAGCAGTAGCTCCAACATATACAAAGTGTTTAATTCAATTATGTAAGTAACTGAGGAGTGCTTGTGCATAGGAAGCCAATCAACTAATATCAGTATCTAGAACCGTGTGGCAACAATATTTAAATCAGCTCAAAGGCCGCCAGAGAGTGTACCCAATAATCTTTATCTGATCTGAAAGGGTAACCAGTTCTAAATGCTGGCTAATAAATATTGTGTAAGGAACTAGGTAAATTGAGATATGAATCATGCTTCCATTTAAAAAAAATGTAAATAATGAACAGAATTCCAGTGTGGAATTAGAACAGGAATCGGTTTCACCTAGGGCAAATTAATTGCTAAGTAGCGAAGAGCTGCTGCTTTTGCTGAGCATAAGATGTGAGGATTTCTTTCTTTCTTTCTTTTTTGAGGCAGAGTCTCGCTCTGTCGCCCAGGCTGGAGTGCAGTGGTGCAATCTTAGCTCACTGCAACCTCCACCTCCCAGGTTCAAGCAATTCTCCTGTGTCAGCCTCCTGAATAGGTGGATTTCAGGCATGTGCCACCATGCCCAGCTAATTTTTGTATTTCTAGTAGAGACAGGGTTTCACCATGTTGGTCAGGCTGGTCTCAAACTCCTGACCTCATGATCCGCTGCCTCAGCCTCCCAAAGTGCTGGGATTACAGGCGTGAGCCACCGTGCCGGGCTGAGGATTTCTTACAAACGATGTACTCTGATTCTAATGGCATAATCACCAAGAATTTACTACCAACTCTTGAACATTTTCTTTATTAGTTAGAGAAATCAACTGATGGCATTTTGTTGGGCATATTTAAAAATCACATCCAAGTGCTTTAATAGAACAAGGTGATATATTTATGGAACCAAAGAGAGGACTGGGAATTCTTTTACTACACTCCCAAGCTGAAACATTCTCCCTTCAGCTTTTGAATATGATATACTCATTGATTTAAGTAGCTATGGGTAATGAAATCACCACAGCAGGTTATAGGGGTAAGGGGTGAGTCCTCACAAGCTTCTCCTTTCAGGAATGCAGTAGACTGTAGTGATTTTACTATGCCTGCCCACTATACTTTTCCATCCTCCTTTTTCAGCTTAAAAAAAACCAAGTTTTTCTTTTTGTTTTTATTGGGGGTAATCAACTCCATGACCCTTCTCCACCACAACCTTTAGATCTTTGATCTGCTCAGTTATCAGCAGGGAGAGTTTTCTTAAAGGCAAGGATGAAACAGACACTTTTAATTATTTAAACCTCAGGGGGACTAAGGTAGTGAGTGTGTACCCAGGAGTTCTTTCTGCCTTCTGGCCCAAATTTCATTACATTTTCATTGGATACTACATAAATACAAAACAGTGCCTACAGTAAATTATTACAGAGTTTACCTACCTGTATCTATGACCCAGAACATTACCAGCATTCCTTTTAGGCCCCTACCCAATCACCACTATAGAATTTCTGGGTGAAAGTAAATACATGTTTTAACTTTAGAAGCCAAATAATTTTTCAGTGTTTTTATACCAATTTATATTCCCTACCACACAGTCTAGCAGCTGCTTTCTAAAACTTGATTTAAAAAAATAATTACCCATTCTGGTGGATGCGTAGTGATCTCTCTCTCTCTCTCTCTTTTTTTTTTTTCTTTTTTGAGACTCTGTCTCAAAAAAAAAAAAAAAGGAATGCAGCGGTATGATCTCAGCTCACAGCAACCTCTGCTTCCTGGGCTCAAGTCATCCTCTCACTTTAGCCTCTCTAGTTGCTTGCGTTACAGGTGTGTGCCCCCGTGCCTGGCTAATTTTTATATTTTTAGTAGAGACAGGGTTTTGCCATGTTGCCCAGGCTGGTCTTGAACTCTTGAGCTCAAGACATCCACCTGCCTTGGCCTCCCAAAGTGCTGGGGTTACAGGTGTGGGCCACTGCACCCAGCTTGTAGTGATATCTCCTTGTGATGTTAACTTCCATTTCCCTAGTGACTAATCATGGTGGGTTCCTTTTCATGTGTATTGACTATTTGCACATATTTCCATAGCTGGGAATAGCAGATTTTATGAAAGGTGTTTAAGACAACAGACGTGAATTGAAGCCTCAGACTGCCTTGGACACCTTTCCTAACTTTCAAAACACTCTTCTTCAGCAAATGCCAATATAAATGTTTGTGTCCACAGATCAATAATAGAAAAGAACAAACACAGGACCATAGACACTACACACACGCACACATGCATATAACTCTAAGGAAAAGGAGATAAAGATCTTTACAAAAGATGAAGCATTCTGATGTGTAATTCTCACAATCTCTTAAGACACTGACACATGATCTTTGGGGGCGGGGGCGGAGGAGTTAGCCCAAAGGAAGGCTGTGAGGGATTAAAGAATAGATTATAAGAAAACAGGAGAGGGCAAACTCGAATTGAAACTCAGGAAAGAAAGAGAAGAGAAAAGCACACCTTAATAGAGATGAAAGTTGCATGAGAACAAAAGGTAAGAGATACAAAAAGAGAAGTTTGACAAAATTACATAAAATGAAAAGGAGACAAATGATTCCATTTACATGATAGAATAGTCAAATTCATAGAAACAGAAAGTAGAACAGTGGTTACTAAGGGCTGGGGCAGGGGGCAAGGGAAGCGGTTATGGTAACAGAGCTACTGCTTGATGGGGACAGAGTTTCAATTTGGAATGATGAAAAAGTTCTGGAGGTAAATAGTGGCGATGATTGCACAACATTGTGAATGTACTTAATGCCACTGAATTGTTCACTTAAAATGATTAAAATGGTAAAATATACATAAAAGATACAAAAAATACATAAAACATGTGGATGTAAGTTTTCAACTCATTTGGGTAAATAGCTTATTTGGGTATGTGCTTATTGGAGACCTATGCTTAGCTTTGTAAGAAACTGCAAAACTCTTCCAAAGTGGCTGTACCATTCATCATGCATTCGTACCAATATATAAGAGTTCCTGCTGTGCCACATCCTTGCCAGCATTTGGTGGTGTAAGTGCTTTGGATTTTAGCCATTCTCATAGGTGTGTAGTGGTATCTCATTGTTTTATTGCCAATTCCCTGATGACACATAATGTTGAGTATCTTTACACATCTTTATTTGCCATCTGTATAGATTCTTCGGTGAGGTGTCTGTTTAAACCATTTTTAATTGGGTTGCTTTTTATTGTTGAGTTTAAATAGTTATTTGTATATTTTAGATAAATAGTCTTTTATATAAGCTATGTTTTTACAAAGATTTTCTCATAATCCTTGGCTTGTCTTTTCATTCTATTAACAGTGTTTTTTTACAGAGCAAGTTTTAAATTTTAATGAAGTCCATTTTATGAATTTTTTCTTTCATGAATTGTGCTTTTGGTTTTGTATCTAAAAAGTCATTGCCAAACCCAAGGCCACCTAGATGTTCTCCTGTGTTATCCTAGGAGTTTTATAGTGATGCATGTCAGGAAGAAAAGAAAGATACAAGATTTTTCTCTAGGTTTTGGTTTTGTTTTATTTTTTGGCATGTGGATATCTAGTTGTTTCAGTACCATTTGTCAAACAAGCTGTCCTTTCTCCATTGAATTGCTTTTGTTTCTTTGTCAAACCTTAGTTGACTGTATTAGTGTGAATCCATTTTCAGTTTTGTATTCTGTTCTATTTATTTGTCTATTCAGTCATCAATGCCACATTATTGTGTTTACCTTTATGGTAAATCCTGTAGTTGGTAGTGTCAGTCTACCAACTTTGTTCTTCAACATTGTGTTGGCTATTCTGGGTTTTTGCTTTTCCATGTCATCTTTAGAATCAAGTTGGTCAATATCCACAAAATAAACTGCTAGATTTTGATTGAGAGTGTTGAATCCATGTATCAAGTTGAGAAGAACTGGCATCTTTTCAACTTCAACTCTTCATTTTCATGAACATGGACTGTCTCTTTATTTATTTACATCTCCTTTGGTTTCTTACATCAGAATTTTGTAGTTTTCCTCATATAGATCTTGTATATATTTAGATTTATATCTAAGTATTTCCGCCCCTTTTTGGTGCTAATGTAAGTGGTGTTTTTAATTTTAATTTCAAATCCAAAGTGTTCATTGCTATTGTATAGTAAAATAATTGACTTTGTATAATAACTTTCATCCTGATACCATGCTATAATCACTTATTAGTTCCAGAAATCTTTTTTGTTGATTATTTGGGATGTTCTACCTTGATAACCATGTTATCTGTGAACAAAGGCAGCTTAATTTCTTTCTTCCTAATATGTATACATTTCCTTTATTTGTCTTATTACATTAGCTAAAACTTCAGTTACGATGTTGAAAATGAGTGGTGAGAGGGGACATCCTTGCTTTGTTCCTAATATTAGCAGGAAGGCATGCAGCTTCTTTTGACTAATATGTTATCTGTAGAATTTTGTAGATGTTTGTGATCCAAGTGAGGCATTTTTATTATTATTTTTTTTTTTTTTTTTTTTTTTTTTTGAGACGGAGTCTCGCTCTGTCGCCCAGGCCGGACTGCGGACTGCAGTGGCGCAATCTCGCTCACTGCAAGCTCCGCTTCCCGGGTTCACGCCATTCTCCTGCCTCAGCCTCCCGAGTAGCTGGGACTACAGGCGCCCGCCACCGCGCCCGGCTAATTTTTTGTATTTTTTAGTAGAGACGGGGTTTCACCTTGTTAGCCAGGATGGTCTCGATCTCCTGACCTCATGATCCACCCGCCTCGGCCTCCCAAAGTGCTGGGATTACAGGCATTTTTATTATTGAAATAAAATAAATAAAACTTACTATTTTAACCATTAAGGTGCACAATTCAGTGACATTAAGTACATTCACAATGTTCTGCAACCATCAATATCATTCACTTTTAGATCATTTTCATCATCCCAAACAGAAATTGTACCCATAAACAATAATTCCCCTCTTGCTCTCTTTCAATCCCCTAATAACCTCTATACTTTATGATTTTGACTATTCTGGGCACCTCACATACGTGTAATCATACAAGATGTGTCTTTGCGTACTTGTACAAGTGTCCTTGTATAATAGGCCTGCATATGGCTTATTTTCCTTAGCACAATGTTTTCTTTTTAGGGGAAAACAGGGTCTTGCTCTGTTACCCTGGCTGGAGTGCAGTGGCACAAACATGGCTTACTGCAGCCTCAATCTCCCAGGCACAAGTGATCTTCCCACCTCAGCCTCCTGAGTAGCTGGGACCACAAGCATGTGCCACCATACCTGGCTAATTTTAAAATTTTTTGTACAGACAGGGTCTCACCATTTTGCCCAGGCTGGTCTCAAACTCCTGAGCTCAAGGGATCCTCCTGCCTCCATCTCCCAAAGTGCTGAGATTATAGGCAAGAGCCACAACACCACCAGCCCTAGCACAATGTTTTTAAGGTTCATCCATGCTATAGCATATATCAGAGTTTCATTTCTTTTTAAGATTGATTAATATTCCATTGTAAGTATACCACATTTTGTTTATCCATTTACAAAATGGACATTTGGGTTGATTCTACCTTTTGGCTATTGTGAGTAATGCTGCTGTGAACACTGGTGTACAAATATCTGTTTGAGTCCCTGCAGCATATCATAATTCTATATTTGTTAAAGATCTCACATACTATTTTCTATAGTGGTTGCACCATTTTATGTTCCCATCAGCAATGTACAATAGTTCCAATTTCTCCACATTCTCACCAAAACTTGCTTTCTGTTTTCTTTCTGTAATGACCCCTATAATAGGTATAAAGTAATATCTCATTGTGGTTTGGATTTGCATTTCCCTAATGACTAGTGATGCAGAGAGAATATTTTCATGCCCTGGTTAGCTATGTATCTTCTCTGGAGAAATGTCTGTTCAAGTCCTATGCCTAGTTTTTTTGTTTTTTGTTTTTGAGACAGAGTCTCGCTCTGTCACCCAGGCTGGAGTGCAGTGGCGTGATCTTGGCTCACTGCAACCTCCGCCTCCCAGGTTTAAGTGATTCTCCTGCCTCAGCCTCCTGAGTAGCTGAGATTACAGGTGGCTGCCACCATGCCCAGCTAATTTTTGTGTTTTTAGTAGAGATGGGGTTTCACCATGTTGGCCAGGCTGGTCTTGAACTCCTGACCTCAAGTGATCCACCTGCCTCGGCCTCCCAAAGTACTGGGATTACAGGTGTGAGCCACCATCCCCAGCCATATGCCTAGTTTTGAATTAGGCTGTTTGTATATTTTGTTCTTGTGAGTTGTTAAGAATTTATGTCCGAACATAAATCCCTTATCAGATATATACTATGCAAATACCTTTTCCCATTCAGAAGGTTACCTGTTTATATTATTAATAGTGTCCTTTTATGCACAAAAGTTTCTAATTTTTATGAAGTCCTGTTTATCTATTTTGTTGTTGTTGCTTGTGCATATCCAAGTAATCGCTGCCAAATCCAGATTTCCCCTTATGTTTTCTTCTGGCAGGCTTAGTGTTTGGTCTTATGTTTAGGTCTTTGATCACTTTTTTTTTTTTTTTTTGAGATAGGGTCTCACTCAGTCACCCTGGAGTACAGTGGTGCAATCAGAACTCACTGCAGCCTTCACCTCCCAGGCTCAGGTGATCCTCCCACCTCAGCCTCCTGAGTAGCTGGGACTACAGGCACACATCACCACACCTTTTGTGTGTGTGTGTGTGTGTGTGTGTGTGTGTGTGTGTGTGTGTGTGTGTATTTTTTGTAGAGACAGGGTTTTGCCATATTGCTCAGGCTGGTCTTGAACTCCTGGGCTCAAGCAATCAGCCCATCTTGACCTTCCGAAGTGCTGGGATTATAGGTGTGAGTCACTGTACCCAGACTGACCACTTTTGAGCTAATATTTATATATCGTAAATAGGGGATCAACTTCATTCTTTTCTATGTGGATATCCAGTTTTCCCAGCACAATTTGATGAAAAGACTTTCCTTTTCCCATTGAATGGTATTGGCACCCTTGTTTAAGTCATTTGACCATATATGCAAGGGTTCATTTCTGCATTCCCAATTCTGTCCATAGGCATGTCTTTATGCCAATACCACACTGTGATTATGTAGCTTTGTAGTTTGTTTTGGAATCAAGCAATCTGAGTCCTTTCACTTTGTTCTTCTTTGTCAGACATTTTTGGCTATTTGGGTCCATTGAGATTCCATATGTGTTTTAGGGTGGATTTTTCTATTTCTGCAATATGTCTTAGGGATTTTGATAGAGATTGCATTGAATCTTTAAATCACTTTTGGTAATATTGTTATCTTAACAGTATTAAGTCTTCATATGCATGAGTATGGATTGTCTTTCCGTTTATTTATGTCTTCTTTAATTTCTTTCAATTATGTTTTATAGTTTTTCGTGTACAAGTCTATTGCCTCCATGGTAAATTTATTCCTATGCATTTGATTCTTTTTGATGCTATTAAAAATGTAATTGTTTTCTTAATTTCTTTTTGGGATCATTCATTGCTAGTGTATAGAAATGCAACTCATTTTGTGTGTTGTGATTTGCATCCTGTGACTTCTGAATTTGTTAATTGAGTCTAATGGTTTTGTGGAATGTTAAGGGTTTTATACATATAAGATCATGTTATTTTTGAACACAGGTAATTTTACTCCTTCCTTTCCAATGTAAATGCCTTTTATTCTTTTTGTTGCCTAATTGCACCATCTTAAACTTTCAATAGTATTGTGAATAGAAGTGGGGAAAACAGACATTTTTGTCTTGTTCCTGATCTTAGGGGACAATCTTTTAGTCTTTCACCATTGAGTATGATCTTAGCTGGAGGTTTGTCATATATGGCTTTTATCATTTTGAGGAGCTTTCCTTCTATTCTCACTTTATTAAGTGTTTTTTTTTTTTTCAAAGAAAAGGTGTCATTATTGGTATAGTGAGATTAGTATCTGTATATGTTACCTTTTCTATTTTTTTGTTTTTTGTTTTTTGTTTTTTTGAGACGGAGTCTCACTTTGTTGCCCAGGCTGGAGTACAGTGGCGCGATCTCAGCTCACTGCAAGCTCCGCCTCCCGAGTTCACGCCATTCTCCTGCCTCAGCCTCCCAAGTAGCTGGGACTACAGGCGCCTGCCACCACGCCTGGCTAATTTTTTGTATTTTTAGTAGAGACGGGGTTTCACCTTGTTAGCCAGGATGGTCTCTATCTCCTGACCTCGTGATCTGCCCACCTCGGCCTCCCAAAGTGCTGGGATTACAGGTGTGAGCCACCACGCCCTGCCCACCTTTTCTCTTTGTTGTCCTTGTTACTTTTTTTCTTCCATTGTGGTTTTAACTGAGCATTTTATGAGATGCTATTTTCTTTCTTCTCTTAGCATATTGATTATATTACTTTTTAAAAACTTTTTCATTAGTTGTCCTGGAGTTTGCAATATGCATTTACAACTAACCTAATTCCACTTTTGAATAACACTATTCTTCTTCATGGGTAATGCAAGTGCCTTAGAATATTCTCAGTTCCTCCCTCTTGACCCTTATAACACTGTTGTCATTCATTTTAGCTATGCACAAGCTGTAATAACCAAATACATTGTTGCTATTATTTTCATATATTTTTTATCAATTAAAAATAAGAAGGATAAAATATTTTACCTTCATTTATTCCTTTTCTAGTACATAATTCCTTTCTTTATGTGTATCTGAGTTTCTGAAGTATTTCAGAAAATAGGCTTGGCATTATTAGTAGTATGTGATCTCTAGTAATCACAATGAGACACCACTTCCCACCCACTAGTATGATATAACTAAAATCAAAAAGAAAATCACAAGTGTTAGCAAGGATGTGGAGAAACTGGAAACCTCATACACTGCTGGTGGCAATGAAGAATGGTGCAGCCACCATGGGAAACATTTTGGCAGTTCCTCAAAAAAAATAGAATTATCCGCCTGTAATCCCAGCACTTTGGGAGGCCGAGGCAGGCGGATCATGAGGTCAGGAGATTGAGACCATCCTGGCTAACATGGTGAAACCCTGTCTCTACTAAAGATACAAAAAATTAGCCAGGCATCGTGGCGGGTGCCTGTAGTCCCAGCTACTCAGGAGGCTGAGGCAGAAGAATGGCGTGAACCCAGGAGGCAGAGCTTGCAGTGAGC
Source organism: Homo sapiens (assembly GCF_000001405.40). Lineage (NCBI taxonomy): Eukaryota > Metazoa > Chordata > Mammalia > Primates > Hominidae > Homo > Homo sapiens. The sequence continues at coordinate 19,635,769 of NC_000017.11, read as the reverse complement.
CAAGATCGCGCCACTGCACTCCAGCCTGGGCAACAGAGCAAGACTCCATCTCAAAAAAAAAAAAAAGAAAGAAAGAAAAAAAATAGAATTATCATATAACCCAGTAATTCCACTCCTAGGTATAGACTCAAAAGAAGCGAAAACAGGTGTTCAAACAAAAACTTGTACACGAGTATTTACTACAGCATTATTCACAATTGCCAAAACATAGAAACAATCTAAAAGTCCATCAACTGATTAATAAACACCAGGTGGCATATCACACAATAAACTATTCAGCCAGAAAAAGGAATCAAGTTTTGAGAGACATGCTACAACATAGAGGAATCGCGGGCCAGGCATGGTGGCTCATGCCTGTAATCCCAGCACTTTGGGAGGCCGAGGTGGGTGGATCACGAGGCCAGGAGTTCAAGACCAGCCTAACCAACATGGTGAAACCCCGTCTCTACTAAAAATACAAAAATGAGCCGGGCATGGTGGCACGCACCTGTAGTCCCAGCTACTCAGGAGGCTGAGGCAGGAGAATTGCTTGAACCTGGGAAGTGGAGGTTGCAGTGAGCTGAGATCGTGCTACTGCACTCCAGCCTGGGTGACAGAATGAGACTCTGTTTCAAAAAAAAAAATAGAGGAATTGCAAAACCATCATGCATGCCAAGTTCAAAAAGCCAGACTCAAAAGGTCACATGTTCTATGATTCCTTCATTATGAAACATCCAAAATAGGTAAATCCACAGGCACAGACAGCAGATTAGTGGTTGCCAGGAACTCAGGGAGAGGGGTATGGGGAGTGAGAGGTTAATAATCTGAGTTTCCTTTTTGGTATGATAAAAATGTTTTGGAAGGGTTAATTTTATGTTATATGAATTTTACTTCAATAAAATCTAGGGCCAGTCACAGTGGCTCACGCCTGTAATCCCAGCACTTTGGGAGACCAAGGCAGGAGGATCTCTTGAGCTCGGAAGTTCAAGACCACCATAGGAAACATAGCGAGATTTCATCTCTACTAAAACTAAAAAAAAAAATTAGCCAGAAGTGGTGGCACACGCCTGTAGTCCCAGCTACATGGGAGGTTGAGGTGGGAGGATCGCTTCAGCCCAGGAGATCAAAGCTACAGTAGCTGTGATCATGCCACTGCTTGAGCCAGGGAGACAGAGCCAGATCCTGTCTCTAAATACATACATACATACATACATACGTACATACATAATCTTCTGGAAAAAAAACTTTTTTTTGGAGTGCAGTGGTGTGATCAGAGCTCACTGTAGCCTCGAACTCCTGGGCTCAAGTGATCTTCCCACCTCAGATCCTGAGTAGCTGGGACTACAGACGTGTGGTTTTGTTGTAGAGATGGGGTTTTGCCATGTTACCAAGGTTGGTCTTGAACTCCTAGGCTCAAGCCATCCACCTGCCTCAGCCTCCCAAAGTGCCGGGATTAGAAGTGTGTACCACCATACCTGACTGAATGTTTTATTCTATAGCATCCTATTCTATATCATAGTTGAAATATTTTGCGTTACCTCTTTGAAGATGTAAGTTTTCTCCCTATAATGCCTATTTTTTTTCTGGTTGCTTTCTCCTATAATTGGATTTTCACAAATAATCTGATAATACTGGGTTGCTTGTTAACACTCAAGAGAGGGAGACAAATAAGCTAAGGGAAGCACTGGTGACATTGGGTGCTTTCCACTGTGGGCTCCTCTCCTGGGAATCTGGTGGGCTTTGTGTGAGAGAATACCCAATATTCAGATTTTTTTAAGGATTTTCTTTTTGGGCTGGTCTAATTTCCTATAAAAGACTAAAACTCTTTTGCTTTGAGGATGAGGCCACCATAGCTGCCAGCATTCTGGGAGCTGAGTAGCAGAAGAGAACACAGCTCTTTATTTTCTACTTTATTTTCTACTTTAAATGAAAGTTGCCACAAAATTAATTAAAAGGCAAAAATGCTAAAAGTTAATCTTTTGTATTGACTGTATAGCTCCAAATATTGTCAGCATACATTGTAAATTTTAAGAGGTTCCATTTTATAAAAGCTTATATGGCAATACCTGAGATAGGACTTGAACAAGCACTTAATATACACTCACTGACAAGATTAAGTACATTCATAGAGAAATACAAAGAAAATAGATCAGCAATAATATTTTACAGGACTATGAACCACTCCCCAGGAGAAGAAAGATGTTTGAAATAAGAAAGAGTAAGTAACCTTTACATCAAGGAAAATCTAATTTGTATATTTAGAAACCATGATAAAATTAACAGGGAAAACTTTACTTAAAATTATAGCCCCTTTCTTGATCTCCAATAGGATAGTGCAATTCCTTGGAATAACCAAGGAAACATCCCTGATATTCTTTCCATCCACAGTTAAGAGTAAAAACTGTCCAAATAACAAGGTCACCTTTCATACTTAACATATGGCATATAATTATCATTTCTAGTTTGTAGAATGGTGGTAATTCTACCATTTTAGCCATGGTCATTGAAAACTCTTAATGAAAATTCCTGCTGAAAGGAAAGTGACAGCAAGAGCTAAAGCCATTCCATGATAGAATATCAGCTGCCTCACTGTCAGGACCTCTCCAGCGGTGGACATTGCATACTGGGTGTTTTCTTCTGGTCTCATCAGTCGAGGGGTCTGGCTCTCTGGTCTGATGATATCAGGCAAAATGATTCCATCAGTTACTTCTCTTCCCAAGATAGGTAGATCTGTTTGCAGAGAATAGTGGGGTATTCACTTATGTCCAGTAAAGGCATATTATGTCAAGTAAAGGCATATTATGAAGTTTACCTAAGAATACGTTATAAACAATAACCCTCAGTTATCAGTTAGTATATGTGAAATTACATTTAAAAATATTTCATAGGAGAACCCACAGGTGATCTCACCAATTACTAGGGCTGAGACAAGTTTTATTGAGCAAGAGAGCAGGATCTTGCAAACTGAGCAACTCTGGCTACACTGTTTCAGTTTTCGTACCTCAGACATTGAATATACTAGAGAATGGCCTCTGTTACCTGAGGAGGTAGGCATGGTCTCTTTATTCCCTTTTAGTCCAGCTTGAACCTGTGCCTAGAAACAAGTGTCACATGAGTAAATGCAGAGTAAGTTTAATCACGCTAGTAGTTGTTTGCTAAAACTTTGACTTAAAGCCATTGTGGGCTGGGCGCAATGGCTCACACCTGTAATCCCAGCACTTTGGAAGGTTGAGGTGGGCGGATCACCTGAGGCCAGGAGTTTAAGAACAGCCTGGCCAACATGGCAAAACCCCATGTCTACTAAAAATGCAAAAAATTAGCCAGGCGTGGTGGTGGGCTAATCCCAGCTACTCAGGAGTCTATGGCAGGAGAATAATTTGAATCCAGGAAGTGGGGGTCGCAGTGAGCCAAGATTGCACCATTCCACTGCAGTCTGAGTGACAGAGTGAGACTCTGTCTCGAAAAATAAATAAAGCTACTATGAAACCTACTGCTAATGGGTTACAGTATCTAGCACAGTCTGTCTTGGTCCTGGATGTGCCATAAAGCAAGAGAACAACACCAGAAAAACACAGACTCAGTTCACAACAATAATATAAAAAGCTGCTGTTGCTGGAGCGGCAAGTTTAACATATCATTTGCACTTGTGCCCTTCAGTGCTCCGAAACACAGATAGAAGGAAGAAGGTCTGAAGGTCAATGGTATTGTGATCTAATGGGTAGTTTATGGCCCATCTTAATCTCCTATAAAGTTTAGTCCCTGAATAAATCAAACAGAAGATAGGAAAGATACAATGCATCATAGTTAGGCAAATCTAAAGCATAAAGGTGGTCAAAGCTTAGACAGTGATGGTTGACATGCCTAAACTCATCTTGTTTCCTTATTAATAATCCCTAAGCCAACCACCCATCTCTTTTTTTAAAAAAGTATTATTATTATTTTTAGTAGAGATGGCTTCTTGCTATGTTGCCCAGGCTAGTCTTGAACTCCTGGCCTCAAGTCATCCTCCTGCCTCAGCCTCCTAAAGTGCTGGGATTACAGGTGTGAGCCACTGTACCCAACCACCCATCTCATCTCAAGCCTCAAACAATAAAAACTGCTTGGCCAGGCATGGTGGCTCACGCCTGTAATCCCAGCACTTTGGGAGGCTAAGGTGGGTGGATCATGAGGTCAGGAGTTCGAGACCAGCCTGGCCAACAAAGTGAACCCCCCCAACCCACGACCGTCTCTAGTAAAAATACAAAAAATTAGCCGGGCGTGGTGGCACGTGCCTGTAATCCCAGTTATTTGGGAGTCTGAGACAGGAGAATCGCTTGAACCCAGGAAGCAGTGGTTGCAGTGAGCTGAGATCGCGCCATTGCACTCCAGCCTGGGCAACAGAGCGAGATTCCGTCTCGAGAAAAAAACAAACAAAAAAATGGCTCCCAGTTCAGCATGTAGATGCTCACATCAGTGAAGATGCAGACTCTATCCACATGTTGTTGTTCTGCCCCCAAAGTACTTCCCACAGATCACAGATACTTAACATAGTGCTTTTATGAAACTATGGACAAAATAGAAAGAGGCATAAAGAACAGCTAACAAGTCAGTATAAACAGGAAACAAACTACTATTTTCCTACAACTAGTACACCCAAACAGCAAAATATATATATCTTTAAATTAAGAGATAGGGTCTTCCTCTGTTGCCCAGGCTGGTCTCACACTCACTTGGGCTCAAGTGATCCTCCTGCCTCGGCCTCCCAAAGTGCTGTGATAATAGGTGTGAACCACCATGCCTGGCCCTAATTCCTTTTCTTTTTTAGGTTGAGTCCCTGGTTAGTAGATATTAAATCAGCTCTATATAAAGAGGAAAATGTGCTGAAATATGTTTTCTTTTGCCTCCCCTCCCCACAATGTTAGATGTATTTCATGATTCACAGTGAATCATTCTGCCAATAGCATTTTTACCATTTTGACCCTAAGAGGTTCCTTACCATGCCATGGGATTAAGTAGAGCCATGTTTCTAAAATAATACACTGACTGTTACCTGCTCCACAACTTTGCTCCAGTTTATCCTCAAGATGTACACCAGATAGAAAAGGGCTTGAAAGAAGACACAAACTATCAATCCAGACCAGAGACCTATGGGTATAAAATGAAATCAGAGTTTAGATTTTTTTCAATTCTGTTCCTATGAGCATTAAAATTCTTCCCTAACTACTGTATCCATAGAGTGAAATTTCAGTTAATTTCCCTAAAATTTTAGATAAAATTTTAGATAATTATGGACAAAGATTAGACTCAAGTTTACCACTGAGCTATTCATGGCAATCATTCAATCAATGAACGACACAACACCTCCAAAACTGTTTGCTGCTTGTATGTTAACAAATACTTGCTGCCTTCAGTTTTATGCCAGGTATTGTTTTAAGGGCTAGAGATACAGAACTGAACAGGCAGATGAGCAAGGTGTCCTTGGGAGTTTATGTTCTGCTGTGCAGGACAAATAATAAACAAGGAAGCAATCATGCAGTCATTTTAGGAGTGAGAGGTGCCAGGACAGACACTGGGCAGAGCCACGTCATAGCACCAAAGATTTGCAGATGAGAATGTGAATGAGACAGCCAGGCCCCTCTAAGGTGGGACCTGGCAGCGAGAAGACGCCATGAGAAGTCTAGGACGGGCACTGCAGGCAGAGGGAAGAGAAGAACCCCAGCCAGAGGAGTCCCAGGAGCTGAGGGGCCAGTCAGAAAGGAGCACAGTGGCAGGGGAGCATCCAGGAGATGGGGTCAGAGAAGCAGGCTCAAAGGATGTGAATGCCATGGTAGGACTGGGGTTCATCCTAAGGCTGACGGGGACCTGCCACAGAGCTCAAGCCTGGGGTGTGCATCCACAGATGTGAGACCTGATGCTTTCAAAAGCTTGCCTTGAAAACAATCCGTCCAACCACGGGATGGAAAATAGTATTGGGAATCCAAGAGTGCTTGGTAGAGAAGAGACAGTAATAAATATGGCTGTTCTGTCCCCAAATAAATAATGACGAATTCCAGCTTGAAATAAAATATCCTATGGTCCCAGCCTGTACCAGTCATTTAAGTGGGAGATGACACAGAAGACACTTACTCATTAATCCACCAGATGACATTTCCAAAAAGACGATAAGAAACAGCCGCTGTGTTTGTGTTGACACAAAGTTCTTGTGACAGCTGTAAGACTAATACTTCACAAAGAAATGGTGACAGAATCAGAGTTTTTACCTAGTAAAAGTAATGCACTGGTTGGATACAGAACAAAAGGAGTTATTTGAGTACATATTACAGGACTCATTCCATTTTCTAGTTAGACTTTTTAAAAACAAAATGAAATTCATTGTTGCTAAATCTGTAGAAAATGAAGATGTGGACATATATGCAAAACACATATATAACAACTTATCCCAAAAGCACATAAGTTAATTTGCACAATTCTTTACATTTAGAACCTCAATAAAGTGGATAATTTCCTTAAAAAATATAACTTACCCATGTTGACACAATAAAAGAAAGTCTTAATAGACTGAGAAGAAATTGAGAAAGCTGTACAAAGAATAAACTACTTCAAAATGCCAGGTCATGGCAGTTTCATGGAAGAATTACACCAAACCTTTATAAAACAGAGAATTCTTATACTACTTAAATTGTCCTGAGGCATACAAAAAGGTAAAATTTTTAATTATCTTTAAGAAGTGAGTATAACATTAATATCATTAATATCAAAACCTAACAAAGATACACAAAAAATACAATTACAGACCAATCTTACTTATAAATTTTAGTGCAAAATTTTTTAATAAAATATTTAAAAAGTGTAGCAGTTCCCTCTCCCTCTCCCTCTCCCTCTCCCTCTCCCTCTCCCTCTCCCTGTCCCTCTCCCTGTCCCTCTCCCTCTCCCTCTCCCCACGGTCTCCCTCTCATGCGGAGCCGAAGCTGGACTGTACTGCTGCCATCTCGGCTCACTGCAACCTCCCTGCCTGATTCTCCTGCCTCAGTCTGCCGAATGCCTGCGATTGCAGGCACGCGCCGCCACGCCTGACTGGTTTTGGTGGAGACGGGGTTTCGCTGTGTTGGCCGGGCCGGTCTCCAGCCCCTAACCGCGAGTGATCCGCCAACCTCGGCCTCCCGAGGTGCCGGGATTGCAGACGGAGTCTCGTTCACTCAGTGCTCAATGGTGCCCAGGCTGGAGTGCAGTGGCGTGATCTCGGCTCACTACAACCTACACCTCCCAGCCGCCTGCCTTGGCCTCCCAAAGTGCCGAGATTGCAGCCTCTGCCCGGCCGCCACCCCGTCTGGGAAGTGAGGAGTCTCTGCCTGGCCGCCCATCGTCTGGGATGTGAGGAGCCCCTCTGCCTGGCTGCCCAGTCTGGAAAGTGAGGAGCGTCTCTGCCCGGCCGCCATCCCATCTAGGAAGTGAGGAGCGCCTCTTCCCAGCCGCCATCACATCTAGGAAGTGAGGAGCCTCTCTGCCCGGCCGCCCATCGTCTGAGATGTGGGGAGCGCCTCTGCCCCGCCGCCCCATCTGGGATGTGAGGAGCGCCTCTGCCCGGCCGAGACCCCGTCTGGGAGGTGAGGAGCGTCTCTGCCCGGCCGCCCCGTCTGAGAAGTGAGGAGACCCTCTGCCTGGCAACCACCCCGTCTGAGAAGTGAGGAGCCCCTCCGCCCGGCAGCTGCCCCGTCTGAGAAGTGAGGAGCCTCTCCACCCGGCAGCCACCCCATCTGGGAAGTGAGGAGCGTCTCCGCCCGGCAGCCACCCCGTCCGGGAGGGAGGTGGGGGGGGTCAGCCCCCCGCCCGGCCAGCCGCCCCATCCGGGAGGGAGGTGGGGGGTCAGCCCCCCCGCCCGGCCAGCCGTGCCGTCCGGGAGGGAGGTGGGGGGGTCAGCCCCCCGCCCGGCCAGCCGCCCCGTCCGGGAGGTGAGGGGCGCCTCTGCCCGGCCGCCCCTACTGGGAAGTGAGGAGCCCCTCTGCCCGGCCAGCCGCCCCGTCCGGGAGGGAGGTGGGGGTGTCAGCCCCCCGCCCGGCCAGCCGCCCCGTCCGGGAGGGAGGTGGGGGGGGTCAGCCCCCCCCGCCCGCCCAGCCGCCCCGTCCGGGAGGTGAGGGGCGCCTCTGCCCAGCCACCACCCCGTCTGGGAGGTGTGCCCAACAGCTCATTGAGAACGGGCCAGGATGACAATGGCGGCTTTGTGGAATAGAAAGGCGGGAAAGGCGGGGAAAAGATTGAGAAATCGGATGGTTGCCGTGTCTGTGTAGAAAGAAGTAGACATGGGAGACTTTTCATTTTGTTCTGCACTAAGAAAAATTCCTCTGTCTTGGGATCCTGTTGATCTGTGACCTTACCCCCAACCCTGTGCTCTCTGAAACATGTGCTGTGTCCACTCAGGGTTAAATGGATTAAGGGCGGTGCAAGATGTGCTTTGTTAAACAGATGCTTGAAGGCAGCATGCTCGTTAAGAGTCATCACCAATCCCTAATCTCAAGTAATCAGGGACACAAACACTGCGGAAGGCCGCAGGGTCCTCTGCCTAGGAAAACCAGAGACCTTTGTTCACTTGTTTATCTGCTGACCTTCCCTCCACTATTGTCCCATGACCCTGCCAAATCCCCCTCTGTGAGAAACACCCAAGAATTATCAATAAAAAAATAAATTAAAAAAAAAAGAAATGATTTTGGATATATTGGGTTAAATAAAATATATTATAAAAATTAAACAAAAAAAAAATAAAAAAAATAAAAAAAAAAGTGTAGCAGTTCAATAAAAAACAAGATATCATAATCAGGATAGTTCAATATGAGGACACCAATTTAATAGTATTTATCTTCATGATAGACCTAAGGAGAAAAATTATAGAATCATTTCTGATAGCACTAAAAAGGCATCTGGCAAAATGCTCAACTATTTTTGTTTCAATAAAATAGACTTCATGGACATTTCCTGAACATGATTTCAAAAAACACGAGCACATACATTCATAGTTGTGTGTGTGTGTGTGTGTGCATTTTTTTGTTTTTTGTTTTTTGGTTTTTTTTGAGACAGAGTCTCACACTGTCACCCAGGCTGGAGTGCAATGGCGCGATCTCGGCCCAATGCAACCTCTGCCTCCCAGGTTCAAGCAATTCTCCTGCCTCAGCCTCCTGAGTAGCTGGGATTACAGGCGCCCACCACCAGGCCTGGCTAAATTTTTGTATTTTTAGTAGAGACAGGGTTTCACTGTGTTGGCCAGGCTGATCTCAAACGCCTAACCTCATGATCCACCCGCCTCGGCCTCCCAAAGTGCTGGGATTATAGGCGTGAGCCACTGCGCCTGGCCGTGTGCGTGTATTTCAACCTCAAATCCAGCATACCATTTAGTAGAGGAACACTGGCAGCACTATCACTAAAGTAATGAATAAGACAAGAATTTCCACTTTTACCACAACTTATTGTACTACTAGAGGCATTATGCCGGAAAAAAGAGAAGAGCAGTGCCCTCTTCTTCTCTTTTGCAATGCTTAACCAACAGGTATTGACAATTGTATAAATAAGTATTGAATCTGGCCCTCATTCAGAGGGCAGGACCATGTTTATTTTGTTTGCCATTGCATTTCCAGTGTATTTGTGTGGAGGAGGCACCCAATAAATATTGGGGGAGAAAATAATTTTTCCTATTAACACAAGGGCAACTTTCTAGTTGATTGCTTTTTTTTAAGAGTTATTTTGTTTTCTTGTTTCCAGTGGGGCTGGAGTCAATTGTTTTATATCTCAAGCAGTTTATCTTAATATGACAAGTGAGATTTGAGACAAGTCACAGGACTCAAACACATACCTATTATCCTGAGTTTAGTGGCAAACATCAGAGATACTCCAATGGGAAAACCAAAGACATAGTACCCAATGGCATTCAAGATAGCGCCAATGTTTTGTTTTCCTGTACCTCTCAGGACTCCACCACAGGCGCCCTATGGAGAGGAAAACCAAACCCAATGTTGCTGTCAAGTCTGTCATCATCACAAGGCTCAGAAATATGGATACAGTCAAATGGCCCTAACTCAAAACAGGCACAGCACATTATGTAAGAGAAAAAGGAAATCTTTTGTTTCTAAAGTTATATTAACAACAACAGCAATAAAAAACCGCAGCTCCTTTCATCAGAAACCTATCATAACATGACTTAAATCTCTAACTCTTTATCTTGACTATTTAAAAACATTTTGTAAGTTAAAAAAAGATGTAGAGGTTTCATCAATGGCATCTCTTCAAAAGTTAGCCTAATATCATGGCTGAGAAACATTAACGCCATTGCAGGCTTCTCATCCACACTTCTTACCACAGTTTCAATGGGTGCCACATCTTCAGGATGACATGGACAAAGTGCAAGAAATTCCATGGAAAAAAAGATGACTAATGCCTAGAAATCATGTCATGAGGAAAAAACTCAAACTGGGAAGAAGCCGGATGGGCTGATTCTGGGGTAGAGCAGGTCTTCAAACCCTTGTACACCCACAGATCAGCCTAGACAGGGACTTTCTAGTGGTCAGAGTCAACTCAAAGGTGGCGTGGCCTGCAGTGGAGGGTTCAAGCAAAGGTCACCTCACCACTTGGATACAACACCTGGCATTCAGGCACCAGATGAAGATAGAGGAGGGGAGAACTCACTTGGCTCACAAGCCTCTTCTCCACCTTGAGAGGCTACACTCTTTAATAAACCATCTTCCCCCAAGTGACTCACACTGTCTAAAGCAAGAGCTTTCTCTTTTTAAAAATAAAATCACCGACCTTTAATTTCTAATTAAAAAGCTAGAAACACAAAACAAATTTTGCTATCTTTATTAGAGTAAAATCACTCCAAATACTCACTGCAAGTGCATCAAATAGATGAAAAGGGGCAAAAATAGGTATCACTTGGCTCACAAGGGAAGTAATATCTCTGTTAGAGGAAAAGAAAGTAGTTAGTGATCTAAAAATCACATTAAAGTGGGGTATTAACTACTGATCTGACAAACCTGACAAATTTATCAATAAATTCAGTCAAAACAGTACATTTCTTTTTTTATAAAGTTAGTACATAATAAAACCTCACTGATTTAAAATTTATTATTATATAGAATTTAGGTTAAAATGGACAAGGCTGCCACTATAGAAGATAATTCTGAAAACTTTATCTGGATATATAAATGTGGGGATTGGGAAGAACTCGATTCAGGTTTCAGCCTGGGTGTGGGAATCATCCTTAAAAATGGAGTTGAAGGCCAGTATTCACATAGGAAGCATTTGCTTCCTCAGGGAGCCCCTGAACTCTGTTCAGTTATGGTGGAAGATCTGCCTGGGGAGCTCTGCAGAAAGATGCTGGGGCTCTGGAGAGGGACACAGCAGAGGTAACTAGAGACCCGTGAGATGGATCTAGAGTGGGTAAACACATGAAACAGGCCCAGTGCCCTCTCCCACTTATCCTACAGGGAAGCCCGCTGGTCAACAGGTACCACCAATTTAGACAGAGCCTACAGGACATCCTCTGACTCAGAAGAGTGACCTCTTTGGAACAGACCTACAGAACTGCAAAGTTACCTAACGTCTGCACTGTCTCCACCAATCAACATGGCAACACAGTCTTTCACTCAAAAATACAAATGTTCACAAAAACAAATGTTCACAATTGCAAAGATATGGAACCAACTAAGTGCCCATCAATCAATGAGTGAATAAAGAAAATATGGTATATATACACCATAGAATACAAGCCATACAAAAGAAATAATGAAATAATGTCTTTTGCAGCAACTTGGATGGAGCTGGAGGCCATTATTCTAAGTGAAGTAACTCAGGAATGGAAAACCAAATACTGTATGTTCTTACTCTTAACTGGGAGCTAAGCTATGTGAGTATGCAAAGGCATACAGAAATAATGGGCACTGGAGACTCAAAAGCTGGGGGTGGGATAGGGATAAAATAACTACATATTGGGTACAATGTATACTACTCAGGTGATGGGTACACTAAAATCTCAGACTTCACTACTACACAGTTTATCTGTGTAACCAAAAACCACTTGTACCCTGAAAGCTATTGAAATAAAAACATATTTTAAAAATAGAAAAATAAAATACATTTTCAACATTAAAAAAACAAAAACAAAAATACAAATGTTAAATCAGTGTTCACCAGACACTGAGGAAAATCAACAGCACAAAAAAAGGAAAGACCAAAATAAGCCTGCTAATACAACAGGAAACAAAGAATGCAAGGAACATGAGAGAAAAAAAATTTTTTTAATTATAATTACTATTATCAGAGACATTTATCAGCTAACAACAGGCAATTAAGGAAGAGGAGCAATTGAGAGAAAAGTAATTGGAAATGAAAAATATGAACACTAAAGACCTTTTTTTAGAAACTGGATAATGAATAGACATGGCTAAACTACATTTCAACTTGAAAGATAAAGTTGAAAAAATATCCCAAACACAGAGATAGAAACTGGGAGAAAAGAGACATGTCAGATTAATCCATACATTCTATCCTTTATCCAAAAAGAATTCCAAAAGGAGAGAACGGAAAAAAGGAAAAGGAGTAAAATTTTTTTTAAAGGGTAAATTTCCTAGAGCTAAAGAAAAATCCAATGCTTCAGATTGAAAGTCTACAAAATAGCAAGCAGAATATAAGAAAAAAGATTCACCCACACCTAAGCACACCCAGCAGAGACAAAAATAATATCTGAAAGATTTCCAGAAAAAAAAAATTTGTTCTACAAAAGAACGAGAGCCAAATCAGCATGAGAAGCCTCTATCCAGGTGACATCATGAACAACAGTGGAGTAGGAAGCTCAAGAATCAGTCTCTTGTGAGACTGATGGCGAGAGATGTCACAGTCAATGATTTTGGCACTCTGGAGGCTAGTGAGAAACTCGCAGTGAGCAACAAGGGGAATGCCTGAAGAAAGGGCCTGGTGATCATGGGTGAATTGCATTTCACATAGTGGCTACCTTTTCCCGTCTTCCAGTTCCGCGGCAGGCAGCTGCAGGGATGGCTGCCTGCATTCCTAGTGTGGCTTACTAGTGCCAAACTGGGCAATAAAAACCTTATCCTCTAAAAATTAAAGTTGTGTGTTTCGATCTATCTGGAGGTTCCACTGAGGAGCTGGCATAGAGGCCCTTTGGGATGAAGTGGCTTCACAGGCAGTGCCTGTCAAAAAAGCCAGCTTAACTTTCTTGTTAGATAAAGGCATTTAAGGAAATCCCTGCCAGATCATTCTGTCTTTGTAAAAACCACTTTGGAAAAATTACTAAACAAATAGACAAATAGCCCCAACAAACAAGAACAACAATGCCTGGAGAGAGATGAAAATCTGATTTCCAGTGTTTTCATATAACAATACTCACAATGTCCAGTTCTCAACACAAAATTACAGAGCATACAGAGACAGGAAGTATGGCCCATTCACAGGAAACACAAATTGGCAAAAATTGTCAGAATCAATTTTTTCATGGCTGACTGTGGTTGCTCACACCTGTAATCCCAGTGCTTTGGGAGGCCAAGGCAGGAGGGTCACTTGAGTCCGGGAGTTTGAAACCAGACTGGGCAACATAGTGAGACACTATCTCTACAAAAAAAATTTTTTTTTAAATTAACTAGCTGCACACAGGGGCAAGCACCTGTAGTTCCAGCTACTTGGGAGGCTGAAGCAGTAGGATCACTTGAGCCCAGGAGCTTGAGGCTGCAGTGAGCTGTGACTGCACCACTGCACTCCAACCTTGGTGACAGAGCGAGACCCTGTCTCTTAAAAATATTTTTTTTAATTTAAAAAAATACAATTTTTTTCCCAGATTTTCAGAAATTCACTAAAGGGAATTGGGAGCATTTATTTAAGAAAGGTGGCTGAATCTTGGTAAGAACAGTAAGCATTGTGGTATTTTAACTTACCCTAATATCATCCTGTTGCTCCTAGCTCAGCAGTAACCTTGAAAAATAACAGTTCCAGGACTTGAGGAGGAAGAATGGGTTGAACTCTTTGAAAGCCCTATTCCCAAGGAATAGTTATTATTTCACAGACAGATCATCTGTCTGGTGGTTCCCTAGAAGACCCCACTTGAAAGGCTAACTTTATTTCACCTGATTCAAACCTGCCCAGTGCTAAAGTTGATGTTGAGGGATGTTTGTTGAAAACGTATACGGGCAAATGTTTTAGCTGCTGCTGCCTGATACAAGGGATACACAATAAACTCACCAAAAAGCTTAGTAGGAATGGCTGGGGAATGAAATGTCTGAGGGGCTTTGCAAAGTTCTGACATATTCTGGGGAATCTAGAAGGCCATATGCATGCTTAAGACTGTGCCCCTGCTCAAGGAAGACCCATTAAGGCCTAAGCACTCACTTCTGGCCGAACTTGAGACTCTGCACAAACAGGAAGTGAAGTTTAAAACCAAGTTGTGGCTGGACATGGTGGCTCATGCCTGTAATCCCAGCACTTTGGGAGGCCGAGGCGGGCGGATCACGTGAGGTCAGGAGTTCGAGACCAGCCTGGCCAAAATGGTGAAACTCCGTCTCTACTAAAAATACAAAAATTAGCTGGGCAGGGTGGCACATGCCTATAGTCCCAGCTACTTGGGAGGCTGAGGCAGGAGAGTTGCTTAAACCTGGGAGGTGGAGGTTACAGTGAGCTGAGATAGTGCCACTGCACTTCTAGCCTGGGAGACAGAGTGAGACTCCATCTCAAAATAAAAACAAAAAACAAAGTTGTAAACTGCCTCACTGAGTGTTGAAGGTGTTCCTCAAAATGCACAGAGAGTCCCTTGGCAAAGAATGGGAGATATTTGGGATTCTAAGCATTTGAGAAAATATTTCTCCAATAATTAGCTGACATTAAGCTAACAGAACAGGGACTTTAGTGGCTATATTTGGCAAATAATATAGACTTTACAGAATTAGTCCATAAAAATCACTAAGCAAACAAGCAGCAACAGCAAAAGCCCCTAAAGAAAAAGACAATCTGACTTCTAGAACAGTGGCACTGTAATATTTAAAATGTCCAGTTTTCAACAAAAAACTATGAGTCATGCAAAGAAACAAAAAGATACAGCCCATACACAGGGTAAAAAGCAATCAATAAGAATTCTCTCTGAAGAAGCCCAAACATTGGACTTATCAAAAAAGACTTTTTTTTTAAGAGAGACAGGGTCTCGCTCTGTCACTCAGGCTGGAATGCAGTGGCACTATCCTGGCTCACTGCAGCTTTGAACTCCTGAACTCAGGAAATCCTCCTGCCTCAGCCTCCTGAGTAGCTGGGACTACAGGCACATGCCACCATGCCTGGCTAATTTTTAGTTTTATTTTTAATTTAATTTAAAATTTTTATAGAGACAGGGTCTTGCTATGTTGCTCAGGCTGGTCTCAAACTCCTGGCCTCAAGTGATTTCACCTTGGCCTCCCAAAGTGCTGGAACCATAGGCATGAGCTCCTGCACCCAGTCAAAAAAAAAAAAGACTTTAATTCAGCTATTTTAAATATGTTGAAAGAGATAAAACTACATCTAATGAAGTATGAGAATATTGTCTCACCAAATAGATGCTATCAATACAGATATATAAATTATTTTCCAAGAGAACCAAATAAAAACTATGGAGTTGAAAAGTACCACAACTGAAGTGAAAAATTCACTAGAGGGCTCAAGAGCAGATTTGAGCCGGCAAAAGAAAGAATCAGCAAACTTAAAGATAGGATAATTGAGATTAGTCTAAGGAACAGAAAAAAAAGGTAAGAAAAGTGAACACTGATATAGGGACCTAGAGAACACAATCAAGTATATCAGCATATAAATAATGGAAGTCTCAGAGGTGAGGAGAGAAAGAAAAAAACATAAAAATATTTGAAGAAAGAATAACTGAAAACTTTCCCAAATTTGATGAAAGACATGAATCTACATATCCAAGAAGCCCAACAAGCACCAAGTAGGATGAACTTGAGGAGGCAAGGTCATTTGCTGACAGTGATGGTGGAAGGTGGTAGGGAGGGGCCAGTGGTTTTAAAAGAGTAGAGAAGGTTTAACATGGGTTGCAGAGATGGACGGTGAGATGACTAAACAAAGGTAGGGCAGGGTGCTGAGGGTCTAATTATGGTTAATGGTCATAAGTTTCTAGTGTAACCAATATGAAGTGATTGGCTATTAGTACAGAAAATGTGCAACTGGGTTCCTCCAGGATGGAGTTCTGTCATTTAGAAGGGTCAAAAGAATTCAGGTTACTGGCAAAAGAGTTACTAAAATGATGAACCATACTGACTAAGCTACATAAGGAAGGAAGTAAAGGCAGGAATGTGGTAGATTGAGAAAGAGTTGTCAACTGACTGGGAGGCCCAAGTGGTTGAAGAAACCTCTTAAGTAGACATAGCTATAAAAGTATGCTGGAAGGATTAGGGATGTGGCCAGTTAAAGGGCTGAAGTTGGAACAGTTATATGCAATGAAAAAGCCCAAAATATGATCACGGAGTGTGTGCCCAAGGTAGGGCAGGAGAAAGTTACTGGAGAGAGGACTGGGGAGTTGAGGTGAGGGGCTGGGGCATTGAATGTCTTCATCTATATGGATGCTGAGTTCACACAGGATGCTGGTAAGATTTGAGGGTGGAAAGACTGTATGAAGGTGCTAGGGTTTTACATAAAAGAGGAGGAAATGAAGATCTAAAAGTGTATATCACATGTACAGGTGCCACTAGCTGGAAAGGATAGGACATACTGTCACTGGAAAAATTAGACACCAAAAATGTCAAGATGACTAGAAAATAAGAAAAAAACAATTAATGGGTCCAAATGTAGGATTCTGCACTTGGGCTCAGGAGGACAACCACACAAAGGAAGGGTGGTGATGCTGTGGCTGGTCAGTGGCACATTGGCAGGTCATGTGGTGTAGCCACCAAAAACTTAGTACTTCCCTAGAAGTCTAACGGGTTCTGCTCTAATGGAAATGGTTCTTCTCTAAATGGTGCTGTTTGTACTATGGACACTGCCTTCAGGCTTCTGTTAATTCAAGATGAAGATGGTAGAGACTCAAAACCACATTCCATGAGAAATGACTGAAGGAATTACAAATGTTTACCATGAAGATCCTGTGGAGCATGAGCCATCATAAAAACACCCATAGGGCAGTAACTGAAAAATGGACAGACTCTCCTACAGAATCATAAGCCCAACAGCTAGTATCAGTGGGTGAAAGTTATGGGTAGGAAAGGTAGGTTTCAGTTCAAAAGAAAAGTGTTCTGAGAATCAAGCTGCATTGGGAGGTAGCAAGTTCCTCATCAGTGAGTTAATTAAGTATAAACGACAGCTTGGCCAGGATGTTCTAGAGGAATCCCAAGGTCAGATCAGTGATTACATCAAATAAATACCCTTTTAGACCTTTAATCTGAAGATTTTATCAAATGTGGAAAGTTTTTTGCCATTATTTCTTTAAAAAAAAAGTATCCTGCCCCTCTTCCCTCTCCTCCGCTTTGGGAACTACGTACGATTATGTGCTTTTAGGCCACTTACAACTTGCTCATTTTCATTTTTTTCAGTCTTTTTTCTCTCTACATTTTATTTAGGATATTTACCATTGCTGTATCTTTAAATTCACTAATCTTTTCTTCTACAGTGTCTAATCTGCTGTTAATGTCAACCAATGTATTTCCACCTCAGATTTTTTTGTTTCATCTCTTGCAATTCAATTTGCTTTTCTTTTCATAAATTTGATATCTCACTTTAGCATGCTCATGTTATTCTCTATTTTCTTAAAGATTAAACAAAATTATAGAAACCATTTTAGTATTCCTGAGTAGTAATTTTATCTGTTCATTTCTGGGTCAGTTTCTATTGATTGATGTTTCTCTTTATTATGGATTTTAGTTTATTATTTCTTTGTATGCCTGGTAATTATTAATTGGCAGACATTGTGATTTTTACTTTGTTGGTTACTACATATTCTTGTACTATTTTAAATGCTCTTGAGCTTTGATACAGTTAAGTTCTGTGATGCAGTTGCTTCCTAGAAGCAGTTTGACCTTCTTGAGGTTTGCTTTTAAGCTTTGTTAAGCAGGACCAGAACACTCTTTATTTTTAGGGCTAATATTCCTCTACTACCCAGGCAAAACCCTCCTGAGAACTCCACCAGCTGTCTTATGTATTACGAGGTTGTTTCATTCTGGATGTTGGGAACACAAACTCTTCCCAGCCCTTATGAACTCCAGGGATTGTTTTGTCTGCTCCTTTCAGGTGTGTCCCGCTGGCTTCCAGTAGCATCCTCACATGCACATCCAGTTTGGTAGTCAGCTAGACTTGAGAGAGCCCCTCTGTGGATTTTTTTTTTTTTTTGAGATGGAGTCTCAGTTTGTGGCCCAGGCTGGAGTGCAGTGGTGTGATCTCAGCTCACTGCAACCTCTGCCTCCTGGGTTCAAGCAATTCTCCTGCCTCAGCCTCCCAAGTAGCTGGCATTACAGGTGTGTGCCACTATGCCTGGCTAATTTTGTATTTTTAGTAGAGATAGGGTTTCACCATATTGGCCAGGCTGGTCTCAAACTCCTGACCTCAGTTGATCCACCCACCTCAGCCTCCCAAAGTGCTGGGATTACAGGCGTGAGCCACTGTGCCCAGCCAAGATCTTGAAAGCACTCCCTCTCAAACTCTCTCCTCTCTGGTCCCCTGCCTTGTGAACTCAAGTCACATGGCCTCCCAAAACTCCCAACTCCATTTCTTCATCTCACAGAGATAGCAGGGCTTTCCCTCTTCCTGTGCTATGGCCTGGAAACTCTCCCCTAGTACACTGGGTAATCATAGTGTTCTCTCATTTTTTTCCCCTCTTTGGGCTGCCTGTTGTCCAATGTCTGAAAACTTTTTTCTTTTTTAAGATAAGGCCTTGCTCTGTCACCCAGGCTAGAGTGCAGTAGCATAATCATGGCTCACTGCAGCCCCAACTTCCTGGGCTTAGGTGATCCTCCCACAGAGCTGGGACTACAAGCATGTGCCACCACATCTAGGCAATTTTTGTAGTTTTTGTAGAGATGGGTCTTGCTATGTTGCCCATGCTGGTCTCAAACTCCTGGCCTCAAGGGATTGAAAACTATTTTAAAATATATATATATATTTTAATATATATATATATAATGTACATATATACATATACATTTATACATATATACATACATATATAATATATACATATTATATATTATATATACATACATAATATATACATATTATATATTATATATACATACATAATATATACATATTATATATTATATATACATACATATATATACATATTATATGTATGTGTTGGCCAGTTTTTAGTTGTTTAAAGCAGAAAGGTAAATCCAGTCCCTATTACTCCATCTGATCACCTCCTTGGTCCTGAGATTTTATAAGAATACGTTTAGGCATTGGTCTAAAATCAGTGAGGTCAGATGACACTAGGAAAGCACACTTGAAAATAATAAAACTGGGCCAGGCGTGGTGGCTCACATCTATAATCTCAGCACTTTGGGAGGCCGAGGCAGGCAGATCACCTGAGGTCAGGAGTTCAAGACCAGCCTGGCCAACATGGTGAAACCCCATCTCTACTAAAAATGCAAAAATTAGCTGGGTGTGGTGGCACGTGCCTGTAATCCCAGCTACTTGGGAGACTGAGGCAAGAGAATTGCTTGAACCTGGTCTTTAGAATTATTTCAGTAGAACCAAGTGTAACATTATTTAGTTGGTTTATCATTAACAGAAAATCATAATTAAAAGCTTTATTTAACTTTGTAAATTTGAAAGAGCATAAAGAATAGATGTTTTAGTTGAATATATATATATGATTCAATTCCTAGAGAAATTCTGATACATAGATTTTAACTTAGCACACTAAGTTCAGCACAGATGCCAGGGAGTAGAATGCTTGACTCACCAGCACACAGGAGAACTGTGGTGCAGGAGCACCAAGCCTCCTCTACATTCCCTTCCCCCAGAGCATTGCCCACTCGGATGCTGGCTGCAACTCCAAGGCCCAGGGGTACCTGAGAATTAAGAAGCATAAATCACAGTCGTAAAGCCTGAACATTGGAGTATTAGTGCACTAGCGTCTAACTAAATGGAAACAGGACAGACCCGGAGAGCTGAGTTCTAGAACTGGCTCTCTTACATCCTAGCTGTGTGACTGTGGACAAATTGCTTAGCCATGTGACATCCGATTTCTTTGCAGGTAAGGAAGCATGACAGTTGCCCTGACGGCTCCCTGTACCACATTCATCACAGCAGAACCTCGTAATGAAGCTGGATTTGAGGGCAACACACCCCCTTTATTGGCTACACACACACTATCAAGACAATTCAACTTAGCTACATTATACAAAGTAAGATTTAACTTAGTATAAACGTTAGTATACAAATAATTTGTAAAAATTAAATGACCCATGTGAAAAAGCATTTAGAACCGCGCCTGGCACACTGTAGGAACCCCAGACATTGATGAAATCTGACTCCACGACAATACCTCGTTTTTGGTGGGATGGGTGAAACATTCCATATGTCTGATTATCCGGTAAATTGAAAGAGGCCCCTTCAAATGCAAAGGCTTAATTTTAATCATTGATTATGAAAATCTAAAGCTATAAGCTTATTTGCTTCTTAAATAGACCACCACTCAACCTTTGGGGCCACCTTCTTGACCCCTATCATGATCCTGCAATACAATGCTGCCCCCAGGGGCTGCGAGGGTAACGTGGGTTGTACAGACAACTTAGCTTTGGGCTCTCAAGTTCACTTTTAATCACTCGTACATCAGCTCTAACTTCTCATTCCTACTAGAAACAGCATCCTCCCAAAAGCCTTCTAATTCATTACTGTTTTGAAAACTAGCCTAAGTTCAGTTGATAAAAATATATATTAAATTGTTAAGATTAAGAACTTGAGGCCAGGCGCGGTGGCTCATGCCTGTAATTCTAGCACTTTGGGGTGCCAAGGCTGACAGATCGCCTGAGCTCAGGAGTTCGAGACCACCCTGGGCAACATGGTGAAACCCTGTCTCTACTAAAATACAAAAAACTAGCCACGCATGGTGGCACGCGCCTGTAGTCCCAGCTACTCGGGAGGCTGAGGCATGAGAATCGCTTGAGCTCGGAAGGCGGAAGTTTCAGTGAGCGAAGATTGTGCCACTGCACTCCAGCTTGGGCTACAGAGTGAGACTCCATCTCAAAAAAAAAAAAAAAAAAAAGAACTTAAAAAAAAAAACAGACCTGAGTATGAGTATATAAACATCTCTTAAGATTTGCATGCCTAAAGTACACATAACTGGCTTCCAGTTCAAAATGAATGAATCACATGCCTAACTCCCTTCCCTCCCAAAACACTGTTAATGGAAAATAAATCTCCATGCTTAATAGAAAATAAATTCATTAACAACACTGAGAATGAGAGCCGGTCAGCTTCTGGAAGAGGGAAAGCAGGCTCCACAGCCATGATCCAAGGGCAGAAACGCAGGAAGCCACAGCACAGAACATGAACAGAATGCTGCCTCACACTCCGTCTTCCCAGTAGAGCTCCAGGAGCACTGACGCCCTGCTTCCCCCCACCGAGGCTGTGAAGAAGAGCAGTCAGGGAGATGCGCCACAGGGCTGGGACAGGACACCCAAGCCCCGCGACCTGCCCGTCCTTAGCCTTACTGCACACAAGAAGCTGGGCTGACACAGAAAAGCCAAGTGTGGAGCTTCCTCCGTGGCGTGAGTCAGGCCCTTCTTCTTTTGTTTTGGGGGATAGGTGGGACATGGGGATAAGGTGGGGCAGGAGGTCAGGCTGCCTACTGCCTAATCCTCACCCATAAGTCCTAAAATGAAGATGTCACTGGACAGGTACCACCTTGGTACCGAGTTCCCCACTGGTCCTTCCCATTTTGGGGAGAGGCCTGTTGGAGAAAAATCTCCAAATAATAGGAGAGGAAAGCTATGCCGGCCATTTGTTTGATAAATCAATGTACTCATTCATTCCTAAGTATAAACAGACTAGTAAGATCACCAGAGCTTTGAGGAAGACTGAAGCACACATCCCCAAAACAGATAAAGATAAGTAAAAGGTCAACTGATCTCAGAGAAAATAGATGACTCAAGGAACACAGAAGAACGTTTAAAGTTCCGATTTAGCATCCACAGGGATATTTAAAAGGTAATGCAGCATAAAACAAGAACAGGTTCCCATAAAAGAGACTATAAGACAAAAAAAAGATGTTCTTAGAAATTAAAAATGAAACTAAAAAAAAAAGCAGCAAAGAAGATAAACAAAAAGACAAAGAGATATTTTTTAATAGAAAAAAAAAAGCCAAAGCCAAGAAGATTAATTCCCAAGGTCAACCTCCACCTAATAAGAAATTTAAAAAGAAAGAACAGAAAAAAATTTACAGAAAAGAGGGAAAGAATATTTTTTAAATTTCCCAGAGTTGAAGAAAAACACAGGTCTTCAGACTGAAAGGGTATACCAAGTGCTAAGCAGAAGTTAAAAAGTATCCTCAGAGAAATGCACTCTTGTGAGATTTCAGAACTATAAAGATAAAGAAATAAACGTTAAAACTTTCAAAGAGAAAAATCATGCTGCCTACAAAGGAACAAGAAACAGATTCTGAGCAGACTTCACATCAGTAACTCTGAATACCAGACTGAGACACAGCAATGTCCTCAAAATTCAGAGGGAAGTTATTTTGAACCTACAATCCTATACTCAGCCAAATTATTAAACAAGTATAAGAGGAAAATAAAGACTCTCGAATATGCATGGCATATGATTTACTTTCCATATAATCTTAGAACAAGTTTTTGACTAAGTACTCCAGAACAAATTTTTTTAAATTTTCATTTGGCTGCTGCTAGATCAGAAGAAAAAAAATTAAAGAAATCTAAGAAAGAGGAAGAAATGGGATCAAAGAAATTGTAGGCTTAATTCAGGAGGACAATGAGAGAAATTCTGGAATGACAGCTGTGCAGCAAGCTAGAAAAAAGTCTAGAAATCAATGGATACAAATTAATTATTCCTTTTTTTTTTTTTTTGAGACAAGAGTCTTCTTCCGTCACCCAGGCTGGAGTGCAGTGGTGTGATTTCAGCTCACTGCAACCTCCGCCTCCCAGGTTCGAGTGACTCTCCTGCTTCAGCCTCCTGAGTAGGTGGGACTACAGGAGCCTGCCACCACTCCCAGCTATTTTTAGTAGAGATGAGGTTTTGCCATGTTGGCCAGGCTGGTCTCGAACTCCTGACCTCAGGTGATCTGGCTGCCTTGGCCTCCCAAAGTGCTGGGATTACAGGCATGAGCCACCGCGCCCAGCCTGGATACAAATTAAAACAAGGAATCAAAGGGCCCTGAGGCATTCAAGAAAAAAATGCACTCATACTTAACAGTATGTTTACACACTGGATCATCTTAGTAACGAGATGAGGGGCCATGCTGCTCCATCAATAAGAAATAAAGGCTGTTAGAAATGCCAGAAAAAACAAATGAGCTGCACAAGAAAAGTCATGGCCTAAATATGAAACAAAATATGACATGATTTTGACCAAATGACAAAAGCAAGAAAAAATAATGCATTTCATCTTTCACTTGTAAAAGCCTCTTTCAAGTGGTAGTGTTGGTGGCTACTGGATTTGCATTTCCTTCTCGTCTGATGCAAGACCACATTTGGATCTGCAAATAATCATATTTACAAAAATCATAATATTATGAATGTTTATTTTTTTCAGACAACCCCTAACACATGAAAGACATGATAACCATTAGATAATACAATTCAAATGTCGTAAGCTTCACAAAATAAAAACAGTGATATAGCTGAGAGGTAGCTGTGATTAAGACCATGACCATGACCTCTGGAGCCAAGTCCCTGGGCTCAAATCCTAGCCAGTTACTTCCTTGAACTTGGACGAATGATACTCTCTGGGCCTTAGTTTCCTCATCTGTGATGCAGGGGAAAGAACAGTAAATCCCTCACATGGCATTGCAATGAGGAGCTTGTGAGTCCCATTTGTGAAGTGTTTCGCATAGTGCCTGGCTCATGGCATGTGGGTGGCTATTAAGCAGCATATGGAATTCTGGAATTTGGGAGGCAAATGGGAAGAGAGACGGAAAGAAACAAAAGGACCCCATGTTCCTCATCTTACAACTTAGGGGTCAGGTCACAGGGTCTATAAAGTTGTTGGACCAAGAAATAGAGGTCTATGCTTATTATTTAAGGTTATAAACAATTTGACCACTAAGAGAACTATAAACAGAAAAACAAAAACCACAAGGAAGAGGGAGATGGCACGTAAAGTGAGCTGATTTCTCATCTTTCCAACAGGAAGCCAACCGTTACCGGGTAAGGGTGATAAGAAGTGTAGGGATAAAGCTCTGGCGACAATCATCAGAGCTATAGCCAGAAATGGTTAGGAAGTGGGACAGATTGGCCGGGCACAGTGGCTCATGCCTGTAATCCCAGCACTTTGGGAGGCCGATCATGAGGTCAGGAGATCGAGACCATCCTGGCTAACATGGTGAAACCCCTGTCTCTACTAAAAATACAAAAAATTAGCCAGGCCTGGTGGCACATGCCTGTAGTCCCAGATGCTCGGGAAGCTGAGGCAGGAAAATTGCTTGAACCCAGGAGGCGGAGGTTGCAGTGAGCCGAGATCAGGCCACTACACTCCAGCCTGGGTGACTCCGTCTCAAAAAAAAAAAAAAAAAGAAGTGGGACAGCTCTGGGGAACTAGCCTAAATAGAAGAAGTGCTCACTTTCAGTTGTGTTAACTTCTGAACTATGCTATGTGTTCAGAATGTGTTATGTGTTGCTTAATATAATTTGCTTTTATAATAAAACATTTTTAAGAATACATAAAATTTTAAAATAAAAAGGAAAAATTCGTCACAGACACAACTGATAGAAAACTAATAATCTTCTAGTTATAAAGAACTCATATAAATTCAAAAGAAAAATAAACCCCAAACTGATAAACAGGCAAGAGACATAAACAGATAAAAGATGATTAAAAGAAAAACTAGTTAAATATAGTCAACCTCACTAATTTAAAAAATTGAAATTAAGTACCCATTTTTCATATACTGAGCTAGCAAAGATTTTTTGAAACACTTGTTTCTGATTTGGGATTCTAGTCTCAAGGATCAAATTTTGTGTAAAGATATTCAGGGAATCAATTATAGGGGATAGTGAAAAACTAGACAAATGAAAAGTCCAATGACAGTGAAGTAATTAGGTGAACAGTGTGACAGTTACTGATTATACAGAGACAATCGGATTTTAACATTATTTTCAGGAAGTGCCTTTATAAACATAAAAAACATGTTTGTGTGGTAATGTTAAGTAAAAAAGCAGGACACGGCTGAGACAAAAAAGCACTGCAAAGAGATTGGAAGTGAGGGAGGGGAGATTTGAGAGTCTATCTTTGGGAAATTTTGTGTATTTTCCTTTAGTGTGATTATACATATTTGAGATTTAATTCTACTATCTTATTTTGTATTATTATAATGCCTTCTTTTTACTTTTTATCTTCATTTTCACTGCTTTATGTTAGATTTTTTTAATTTCCTTTTGATTTCTACTGGTTTATAAATTATATATTCTAGGCCGGGCGCGGTGGCTCACGCCTGTAATCCCAGCACTTTGGGAGGCCGAGGCGGGCGGATCACGAGGTCAGGAGATCGAGACCATCCTGGCTAACATGGTGAAACCCCGTCTCTACTAAAAATACAAAAAATTAGCTGGGCATGGTGGCAGGTGCCTGTAGTCCCAGCTACTCGGGAGGCTAAGGCAGGAGAATGGCGGGAACCCGGGAGGCGGAGCTTGCAGTGAGCCGAGATCGGGCCACTGCACTCTAGCCTGGAGGACAGAGCGAGACTCCGTCACAAAAAAAAAAAAAAGTTTGAGATTCACATGTTATGACATGTATCGTTTGTTCCTTTTTATATATGTCAATTTGTTCATTGTACTATTTGCTATAAAACGAGTTTTACGGCCGGGTGCAGTGGCTCACGCCTGGAATCCCAGCACTTTGGGTGGCCGAGGCGGGCAGATCACAAGGTCAGGAGATCGAGACCATCCTGGCTAACACAGTGAAACCCCGTCTCTACTAAAAAATACAAAAACAAAATTAGCCGGGCGTGGTGGTGGGTGCCTGTAGTCCCAGCTACTCGGGAGGCTGAGGCAGGAGAATGGCGTGAACCCAGGAGGCAGAGCTTGCAGTGAGCTGAGATCGTGCCACTGCACTCCAGCTTGGGCGAAAGAGCGAGACTCCGTCTCAAAAAAATAAATAAAATAAAATAAAATAAATTATATATTCTATTTCTTCCCTTTTGGTTATTCCCTTAAAATAGCAACATGCATACCTGACTTAAAAACTTTGTCAATCACTATATCCTACCCTCTTCCCTGATAATATCTAGATGGCTTTAACTAACAGAATCTTCTCCCAATCTTACCGTTTATTGCTGTACATATTTTATTTCTACTTTATTTTTGTACTGTATGAATTAGCCTATTATTTTTTAAAATTTAAATTCAAAGTGAGTTTCAATATATCCATATTTACCAATTTCGTTGCCATGTTTTGGACATCAGTGTGTTTTTTTTTTTCATGAATGCTCTATAAATAAATGGTGATGCCTCTCAGTATTTGCTGGAAAATGTCTTTTAATTTGCCCTCTTTTGAGAACAATAGTATAGCTGAATAAGGAATAACACTATTCTCTTAGCATTCTGATGATATTATTTCACTGTCTTCTGGTTTTTATTGTTGTTGGTGGTGTGTGAATCCTCCAACTTTCTTCTTTCACAAGATTGTTCTGACTATCCTGGGTCCCTTGCATCTCCATGAGTTTTAGGATGTGTTTTTCAATCTGCAAGAAGGGGGCCTATTTAAAGTTTGATAGGGCTTGCCCTGAATCTGTAGATCAACTTAGGGTGTATTTAACAATTTTAAGGCTTCCAGTCTATGAACATGGGAAATCTTTATTTACATTTTTAATGTCTTTTAACACTGACAAGTCTTGCACTCCTTTGGTTGAATTTATTCCTAAGTATTTTATTCTTCTTTGTTATTCTTGTCATTTTTGTTTGTTTGTTTGTTTGAGACGGAGTCTCGCTCTGTCTCCCAGGCTGGAGTGCAGTGGCGCCATCTCAGCTCACTGCAAGCTCTGCCTCCCGGGTTCACGCCATTCTCCTGCCTCAGCCTCCCGAGTAGCTGGGACTACAGGCACCTGCCACCATGCCCAGCTAATTTTTTGTATTTTTAGTAGAGACGGGGTTTCACCATGTTAGCCAGGATGGTCTCGATCTACTGACCTTGTGATCCGCCTGCCTCGGCCTCCCAAAGTATTTTATTCTTTTTGATACTTTTGTGAATGGAGTTGTTTTCTTAATTTCATTTTCAGATTGTCTATTGCTAGTGGATAGAAATTCAACTGATTTTTATGAATTGATCTTGTATCTTACAACTCTGCTGAACTCATTTATTAGCTCTAGTAGTTTTAGTTTTGTGTGTGTATGGATTCTTTAGGGTTTTATAAATGAACGATCATGTCACACTCAAATAGGATAGTTTTACTTCTTCCCTTACAAGCTGGATGCCTTTTCTTTCTTTTTCTTGTCTAATCACCCAGGGTAGAATCTCCAGTACAATGCTCATTAGATTTTTGAATATTAAGATTCATGTCTTACTTCAAGTGTCTTCTGTCAAATGTCTGAGTACTACATCTCCACCAGTCTCCTACTCTTTTCCTTAGAATTTCTATCAGATAAATAATGACCTAGGCCCGGCGCAGTGGCTCACGCCTGTAGTCCCAGCACTTTGGGAGGCTGAGGCAGGCAGATCACCTGAGGTCAGGAGGTCGAGACCAGCCTGGCCAACATGGTGAAACTTTGTCTCTACTAAAAATACAAAAATTAGCCGGGAATGGTGGCAGGCGCCTGTAATTCCAGCTACTCAGGAGGCTGAGGCAGGAGAATTGCTTAATCCTGGGAGGCAGAAGTTGTAGTGAGCCGAGATCGCGCCACTGCACTCCAGCCTGGGCGACAGAGTGAAACTCCGTCTCAAAAAAACAAGAAAACCCACTTAGATCTTGCATACATTCCATCTCTTTACATATCTTTTATTCTGGGGAATTTCCACAAATCTATCTTCAAGTTCATTATTTAATCTTTCAGTTGTAACTAATCTGCAGTTTAGTCTATCAAGTATTAAATGTCAATGGATATATTTTTTACTTCTGGAAGTTCCCTGTGGTCCTTTTTCCAATATTGTTCTTTTGGTTTCAATTCCTTCTTTTATGTCTAATGATTTTTTTTCTTTTTTGAGATGAGTTTTGCTTTTGTTGCCCAGGCTGGAATGCAATGGCACAATCTCAGCTCGCTGCAACCTCCACCTCCCGGGTTCAAGCGATTCTCCTGTCTCAGCCTCCCAAGTAGCTGGGATTACAGGCGCATGCCACCAAGCCTGGCTAATTTTTGTATTTTTAGTAGAGACGGGGTTTCATCATATTGATCAGGCTGGTCTCGAACTCCTGACCTCAGGTGGTCCGCCCACCTCAGCCTCCCAAAGTGCTGGGATTACAGGCGTGAGCCACGTGCCCGGCCTTTATGTCTAATGATTTTAAACATAATTTTCTATTCTCTGTCTGATTATGATACCATTATTGCAAATTCTTAACTTTAATTTTCCTGTTAGTTGTATGTGTTAACTCTTGTTCATGGTGGATTACTTCTTTATATTTTATAATTTTTACTGTAAGCTCACCACTAACAGGGCTTGTTTTGCTGTTAGTGGTGTTGGTGTTAGTATTAGGGAATAATGAAGAATTGTTGCCTCACTGTCTCTAACAAAAAAGGGCCTGCGACGAGAAACAAAGTAGAAGGTGGTTACCAGGGTCTGGGGAAGGAGGATAAGAGTTGTTTAATGAGTACATGATTTCAGTTTTGCAAGATGAAAAGTTCTGGAGACTGGTTGCACAACAGTGTGAATACAGTTAACACTACTGAACTGTACACTTAAAAATGATTAAGGAGGAGTCCAGGCACAGTGGCTCACACCTGTAATCCCAGCACTTTGGGAGGCTGAGGTGGGCAGATCACCAGAAGTCGGGAGTTCAAGACCAGCTTGACCAACATGGAGAAAACCCAACTCTACTAAAAATACAGAATTAGCCGGGTGTGGTGGGGTATGCCTGTAATCCCAGATACTCGGGAGGCTGAGGCAGGAGAATTGCTTGAACCCGGGAGGTAGAGGTTGAGGTGAGCTGATATTGCACCATTGCACTCCAGCCTGAGCAACAAGAGTGAAACTCCGTCTCAAAAAAAAAAAAAGATTAAGGAGGCAAGGCGCAGTGGCTCATGCCTTTAATCCCAGCACTTTGGGAAGCCGAGGCAGGCGGATCATCTGAGGTCAGGAGTTTGAGACCAGTCTAGCCAACATGGCAAAACCCTGTCTCTACTAAATATACAAAAATTAGCTGGGCCTGGTGGCAGGCGCCTGTGATCCTAGCTACTTGGGAGGCTGAAGCAGAAGAATTCCTTGAGCCCAGGAGGCAGAGGCTGCAGTGAGCCAAATCACACCACTACACTCCAGCCTGGGCGACAGAGCAAGACTCTATCTCAAAAAAAAAAAAAAAAAAAAAGTTAAGGAAGCCGAGTGCAGTGGCTCATGCCTGTAATCCCAGCACTTTGGGAGGCTGAAGTGGGAGGATCACTTGAGCTCAGGAGTTCGAGACCAGCCTGGGCAACATGGAGAAACCCCATCTCTACAAAAAAAAAAAAAAATTAGCCAGGCATGGTGGCTGGCTATTATATGTATGTAGTCCACATACATATAAGTACATACTAAAAATTCCTTAATCAACTTTCGTACATCTACTATTAATGGCCCCTAAAACAGAAGAAACACCTGCCAAGTGGAATGAGAAGATGGTTAAATCTACAGAGGCTCCTGCATGTGTTCAGTTTCCTGCTAAAGGGGGATGAACTGTTCAGCGGGTTCCAGCGCCGGCTTCTACTGTTGAGGATGCAAGTAAGAGTAGGAAAGAGACGGGCAGAACTCAGAAGCTCATATTATTTATCCAGGGAAATGTCATATCGGGTGCACCAATTATTAGAGGGACTAGCCAGTTGCCGAAACCTCCAATTATGATTGGTATTACCATAAAGAATATGATGATGACTGCGTGGGCGGTAACAATAACACTGTAGATCTGATCATCTCCAAGCCAAGTTCCTGGTTGGCCTAATTCTGCTCGAATTAGAAGGCTTAAGGTGGTGCCCACTATCCCCACTCATGCGCTGAATAGCAGGTATAGTGTTCCAATATCTTTGTGGTTAGTTGAAAACAATCAACGACTGATGAACATAAGTGGGAAAAAGGTAAAATGGCTGAGTAAGCATGAGACTGTAAATCTAAAGACAGAGGTCAAGACCTCTTTTTACCAGCCCTGAAGTGATTTCTCATGTTGAATTGCAAATTCAAAGGAGCAGCTTCAATCCTGCCAGGGCTTCTCCCGCCTTTCTCCCCGCAACAGTGGGAGAAGTAGATTGAAGCCAATTGATTAGGGTGTTTAGATGTTAGCTAAATTTTCGTGGGTTTGAATTCCACCAGCCTAGCCAGGGCTTAGCTTCATTAAAGTGGTTGATTTGCGTTCAATGATGCAGAAGAGAGTCTTGCAGTCCTTAGGTCTGTTACAGAAATTAAGTATAGTTTACTTACTAAGGACTTTGAAGGCCCTTAGTCTTATTTAACCTAAATTTCTAAGTTATAGTTAGTGTTAATGGAGAGATGGGTAAGAGGAGGGTAGAAGAAATGATAACTGGGGGGAGGAGTAGTATGGGTTTTGTGTTTTCAAATTGTCATTTTATTTTCATGTTATTAGATGTGGAGAATATTGTCACTGAGATGGAATAAATTAGGCATATGTAAACGTACAGGTTGAGTAGGGTTATGGTAGCTATAATGATCAGGATATTAAGACTATTGTTTTTTGTAAATTCTTGAATGATGGCTCATTTAGGCAAAAATCCTGTTAATGAGGGTAAACCTCCTAGGGATAGTAGAATTAGTGGAATTATAGGTGTTAATCATGTTAATTTGTTTCAGGCATGAGATAGTGACAGGACTGCAGTGCTTATACTCAGGTTGAGTGCTAGAAATGCAGTAGTTGTTAAAATAAAGTAAATAATCAGGTTTAGAATGGTAATTTTGGGGTCATAAATTAGTACTGCTATTATTAAACCTATGTGAGTAATTGAGGAGTAGGCTAGGATTTTACGCAGTTGTGTTTAAGTTCTCAACCGCCCACAATAATGGATAAGATTGTGATAGATAGGCTGGGCGTGGTGGCTCACGCCTGTAATCCCAGCACTTTGGGAGACTGAGGAGGGTGGATCACAAGTTCAGGAGTTCAAGACCAGCCTGGCCAAGATGGTGAAACCCCGTCTCTACTAAAAATACAAAAATTAGCCAGGCGTGGTGGCAGACACCTGTAGTCCCAGCTACCCAGGAGGCTGAAGCAGGAGAATCGTTTGAACCTGGGAGGTGGAGGTTGCAGTGAGCCAAGATCGTGCCATTGCACTCCAGCCTGGGCGACAAGGGCAAAACTCTGACTTAAAAAAAAAAAAAAATTATGATAGGAGGATGTTCGAGTTTATTGTTGGGAAAATTTGAAACATAATCAAGATAGGCGCTAGTTTTTGTCATGTGGGGAGAAGTATGCCAGACATTAGAGAGGTTCCTTGGGTTACTGTTGGGACCCACAAGTGAAAGGGGGATATTCCTAGTTTTATTACTAGGACTGTTATTATTAAGGATGAAAATTGATTACTAGTGTTTATTATTGTTCATTGTCCAGAGGACAGGTTATTGGAAAGGATACCTATCATGAGAATTATAGATGTGGTTGCTTGTGTAAGGAGGTATTTGGTGGCTGCTTCTGTAGAGTGGGGATTTATCTATTTATTTATTTATTTATTTATTGAGATGGAGTCTCGCTCTGTCGCCCAGGCTGGAGTGCAGTGGCGCAATCTCGGCTCACTGCAAGCTCCGCCTCCCGGGTTCAAGCAATTGTCCTGCCTCTGCCTCCCGAGTAGCTGGAACTACAGGCACCTGCCACCACACTGGGCTAATTTTTTGTATTTTTAGTAGAGACGGGGTTTCACCATGTTAGCCAGGATGGTCTCGATCTCCTGACCTCGTGATCCGCCCGCCTCAGCCTCCCAAAGTGCTGGGATTACAGGTGTGAGTCGCCGTACCTAGCTATTTTTTTAAATTAAGATTGGTATAAAAGCTAGTATGTTTATTTCTAGGCCTGTTCAGATGAGAAATCAGTGTGAGCCCAGCATTGTGATAAGAGTTCCTGTGAAAATAGTAAGGCCAAGCTAATGGATTAATTAGTATGGGAAGGGTATGACCAACATTTTTGGGGTATGGGCCCGATAGCTTATTTAGCTGACCTTACTTTAGGATGTGGTGTAATAGGTGGCATGGAGAATTTTGGATTATCAGGGGTAGGTTCAATTCCTATAGTTCTAGAAATAAGAGGATTTTAACCTCTATTATTTACTCTATCAAAGTAATTCTTTTGTCAGACATATTTCCTATGTTTGAGGTGGAATGCTGGAAATTAGGACAGGCCATATAACATATGCAGAATGCTAGTTTAAGTGGTAGGAAGTTTTTTCATAGGAGATATATGAGTTGGTTGTAGCACAGTCAGGGGTATGCTGTTCGAATTCATAAAATCAGGGCGGTTAGAACGAGGGTCTTGATAATGAAATTTGTGGTATAGAGTTCTGGTGAATATATAGTGTGTAGTGCTCCTAGGAAAATAGTAGTAGTTAGGGCACTTATTAAGATAATATTCATGTATTCTGCCATAAAGAAGAGGGCAAATGAACCTGTGGCATATTCAATGTTGAAGCCCGAGACTAACTCTGACTCTCCTTCTGTTAGGTCAAAAGGGGCTCGGTTAGTTTCTGCTAGTGGGGAGATAAATTATATTATGACTAGGCGGCATGATGGTAGGAGCAGTCAGAGGAATTCTTGTGTTGTGATGAGTGCATATAAGTTAAATGAGCCACTTATCAGTAGAATTAACAGCAGGATGATGGCTAGGGTGACCTCATATGAAATTGCCTGGGCCACAGCTCGTAATGCGCCGATTAGTGCATAATTTGAATTAGATGCTCATCCTGATCATAGAATAGAGTAGACGGCTAGGCTTGATGTGGCTAGTATAAATAGGAGGCCTATATTAAAATTAATTAGAGGATCTGGTATAGGGAGGGGAGCTCACAAGAGGACAATGATAGAAAGGGCCAGGGTTGGAGCAATAATATAAAGGGTAATAGTAGATGTTGAGGGCCATAAGGGTTCTTTGGTGAAGTTTTACTGCATCAGTGAATGGTTGAAGCAGTCCATAGGGACCTACAATGTCAGGTCCTTTGCGTAGTTGTATATAGCCTAAGATTTTCCGTTCAGTGAGTGTAAGGAATGCTATAGTGATTAGAGTAGGAATGATGAGTAGGAGAAGGTTAATTATAGGCATACTGTTAAGAAGAGGAGTTGAACCTCTGATTATAAGTTTTAAGTTGGCCGGGCGCAGTGGCTCATGCCTGTAATCCCAGCACTTTGGGAGGCCGAGGTGGGTGGATCACGAGGTCAGGAGATCGAGATCATCCTGGCAAAACATGGTGAAACCCCATCTCCACTAAAAAATATCGAAAAATTAGCCAGGCATGGTGGTGGGTGCCTGTAGTCCCAGCTACTTGGGAGGCTGAGGCAGGAGAATGGTGTGAACTCAGGAGGTGGAGCTTGCAGTGAGCCAAGATTGCGCCACTGCACTCCAGCCTGGGCTACAGAGTGAGACTCTGTCTCAAAAATAAATAAATAAATAAATAAATAAATAAATAAATAAATAAATAAAGTTTTAAGTTTTATGCAATTGCTGGGCTCTGCCATCTTAACAAACCCTGTTCTTGGGTTGGGTGTGTGATAATTTGTTTGACTGAGATAGCATCATCTATGGGGCAAGAGCGCTTTTGAAGTGGGCCCTATTTCTCTTGTCCTTTCATACTAGGAAAAATGTTAAATAGATAGAAACCGACCTGGATTACTCCGATCTGAACTCAGATCATGTAGGATTCTAATCATTGAACAAACGAACCCTTAATAGCGGCTGCACCATTAGGATGTCCTGATCCAACATCGACGTCGTAAACCCTATTCTCGATATGAACTCTAGAATAGGATTGTGCTGTTATCCCTAGGGTAACTTATTCCGTTGATCAAATTATTGGGTCAGTGTGTGTTAACTCACTTACACTAGTGCAGTCTTAGTTTAGGTTGTTCGGAGGTTGGATTATGCTCTGAGGTCACCCCAACCAAAATTTTTAATGCAGGGATAGTAGGCTAGGGCCTGTAGGCTTTTTTTTTTTTTTTTGAGTTTTTATTTGCATTAATAAATTAAAGCTCCATAGGGTCTTCTCGTCTTATATCCGCCTCTTCATGGATACGTCAATTTCACTGATTAAAAGTAAGAGATGGCCGGGCACGGTGGCTCATGCCTGTAATCCCAGCACTTTGGGAGGCCGAGGCAGGCGGATCATGAGGTCAGGAGATCGAGACCATCCTGGCTAACATGGTGAAACCCCATCTCTACTAAAAATACAAAAAAAAAAAAAATTAGCTGGGTGTGGTGGCGGGCACCTGTAGTCCCAGCTACTCGGGAGGCTGAGGCAGAATGGTGTGAACCTGGGAGGCGGAGCTTGCAGTGAGCTGAGATCACGCCACTGCACTCCAGCCTGGGCAACAGAGTGAGACTCCGTCTCAAAAAAAAAAAAAAAGAAGTAAGAGACAGCTGAACCCTCGCGTGGCCATTCATACAAGTCCCTATTTAGGGAACAAGTGATTATGCTACCTTACATGGTCAGGATACTGCGGCCGTTGAACATATGTCACTGGGCAGGCAGTGCCTCTAATACTGGTAATGCTAGAGGTGATGTTTTTGGTAAACAGGCAGGATAAGATTTGCTGAGTTCCTTTTACTTTTTGTAATCTTTCCTTAGAGCATACCTGTGTTGGATTAACGGTATAAATAATAGGATGCTTATTATATCACTTATTAATATTAGGCTTTCAGTGGGTTATTCCGATCTTATATAAGCTTATGCAATGGAGAATATCTTCATGTTACTTACATTAACATTATTGCTTCTATTAAGTAATAGATTAGTCCAGTGTGATGTTAGGAGTTCAGTAGAATGATTAGAATTTAAGATAGTTAGATGTTGAGCTTGAATGCTTTCTTAATTGGTGGCTGCTTTTGGGCCAACTATGGTGGTAATATTTTTTACTCTCTGTAGGAAGGCTGTTTCCTATGGTCTAAAGAGCTATCCCTCTTTAGATTAACAGTTAAACTTTTTTTGTTTTTTTTTTGAGATGGAGTCTTGCTCTGTCACCCAGGCTGGAGTGCAGTGGCACAATC
The DNA here is from genome assembly GCF_000001405.40 of Homo sapiens. Classification (NCBI taxonomy): domain Eukaryota; kingdom Metazoa; phylum Chordata; class Mammalia; order Primates; family Hominidae; genus Homo; species Homo sapiens. The sequence goes on along the minus strand of NC_000017.11, from coordinate 19,600,320 downwards.
TCAGCTCACTGCAAGCTCCGCCTCCCGGGTTTGCGCCATTCTCCTGCCTTAGCTTCCTGAGTAGCTGGGACTACAGGTGCCCGCCACCACGCCCAGCTAATTTTTTTTTTTTTTTTTTGTATTTTTAGTAGAGTTGGGGTTTCGCCATGTTAGCCAGGATGGTCTCGATTTCCTGACCTCACGATCCGCCCGCCTCGGCCTCCCAAAGTGCTGGGATTACAGGCATGAGCCACCGCACCTGGCAATTAACAGTTAAACTTATAGGGAGATTAAGTAGTTCTGTGAGTAAGTTTAAAGTTGAACTAAGATTCTGTCTTGGACAACCAGCTATCACCAGGCTCCGTAGGCTTATCGCTGCTACTCATGAATCTTCCCCCTATTTTGCCACATAGGTGGGTGTGCTCTTTCAGCTGTTCTTGGGTAGCTCATCTGGTTTTGGGGGACTTGGCTGTGGTTCTCTGTGTAAAGTTATTTCTAGTTATGCAGAAGGTATAAGGGTTTGTCTTTGCTTTTTAATGCTTGATTCAGTTCTTTCATCTTTCCCTTATGGTACTATGTCTATCACACCAGGGTAAAAATTTCTATTATCTATACTTTTGTCTAAGGTAAATGGTTTGATTAAGATAGTTCGATAATGTTTTTAGTGAGGTTTGGGGCTAGAGTTGGCTCAAAGTGATCAGGTCGTGATGAAATTTTCCGGATGAAAGCCGGATGCTTTGGGTTAAGCTACACTTTGGTTTGTCCAAGCACACTGTCCAGTATGCTTAACATGTTACAACTTATCTCCTCTATATGTGCGTACAGAGTTTTTAGTAATAGTAATTTCTAGAATAATATTTGAGGAGGGTGATGGGCGGTGTGTGCATGCTTCATGGCCTTATTCAACCAAGCACTCTGCTCTTGGTTTACTGCCAAATCCTCCTTGAGCCCTTAGATGTCATAAAGATTGTCGTGAGATTTTCTGAGTATAGAAAATGTAGCCCATTTCTTGCCACCTCATGAGCTACACCTTGACCTAATGTTTTTATGTGTATACTTGTGCTTACTCTACAACCTTTTTAGGGTTTGCTGAAGATGGCACTATACAGGCTGGGGGCAAGAGGTGGTGAGGTATATCAGGGTTTATCGATTATAGAACAGGCTCCTCTAGAGGGATATAAAGCACTGCCAAGTCCTTTGAGTTTTAAGCTGTTGCTTGTAGTACTCTGGCGAATGGTTTTGTTAATGTAACTATTAGAGTTTAGGGCTAAGCATAGTGGGTTATCTAATCCCAGTGTGGGTCTTAACTATTGTGTCTTCAGGGTATTAAAGCCACTTTCATAGTATATTTTATTTCAGCTGGAGGTTTTTTACAACTTAGATGGAGTTTAGCTTTATTGAGGCCAGACCTTAAACACTCTTTACGCCGAGTTCTATTAACTTGGGTTAATGTTATGGCCACGATGGCTGGCATGAAATTGACCAACCCTAGATATCAGTATACCTTAAACTTTCGTTTATTACTAACAGTTTATCACTGCTGTTTCCCCTGGCGGTGTGGCTGAGCAAAGTGTTTTGAGCTGCATTTGTGCATGCTTGATACCTGTTCCTTTTGATCTGGGTGATCTAGAGGGCATTTTCACTGGGGCGGGGGTGCCTGCGTGTGTAATCTTACTAAAAGCTAATAGAAAGGCCAGGACCAAACATATCTGTTTATGGGGATGTGCAGACCCATCTAGACATTTTCAGTGTCTTGCTTTGAATAATTAAGCTACATTAACTGCATAAATACTTAAGTGTAAGATTAAAATATGAGAAGGAAAGAAGTAAGTATAAATAGTCGTTTACAGTTCTGGGAAGTCAGGGTCTTTAAAGTTGAATTGGCAGAGGTTTGGCTGAGAGGACTACTCATAATTTGGATATAATTGATTTAGGGTATGGCATATGGGGTAGCACTTTCAGAGGGGTATGCCCAAGGTGTTATATCAGTATTAGGGTGGAAATTTAGTTATTGTATTTATTATATAAAATGGAGGCTTAATTTAGTAGGAGGGTCTTAAGATTTTTAGGAAAATGACATCAATCGAGTGACAGCTGTTGGGGTATTCATGGTTAAAACATGATTTCTGGGCTCTGACTGGGTTGCATTTTAGTCTCTTGTTTTGGGGGTTTGGTGAGGGTACACTTACCTAGGTTGATGGTAAAGTCAGAGATGGGGGGTTGCGGATTTAATCGGAAATAGTTCTTGAAAGTGAGTGGACATGCATGAGCATACGTGCCTATTGATTAATTGTTATGTCTTTCAAGCATGAATTAATTAATACCTTGTGGTTATTGTGCCAGCCTGGAATATTCAATATAAGCTCAGCTTCTACAATTGATTTGGCAGGAATCAATCCAAGTTCATCTACAGCGGATTCGGAAGGGACTAGACCTTCCGCAATGGTGAGTGATAGCATCCCCCAAAGTTAGAAATACCCAAGCATGACAGTGCTCCCATGACTGGTTAATAGGGTGATAGTCATTAATCCATCAAGATGTCTTATTTAAGGGGAATGTGTGGGTGATCTTAGTTTTATGGCCCTGAAGTAAGAACCGGATGCCAGGTATAGTTTCAGGATAGTCACCCCCAAGTGTTATGGGCCCAGAGCGAGGAGGGTAGCACTCCAGAGCGGGATGATGATTTATTGGAGGTTGGTAGATTAAGAGACCAAAATCTGGCAGAGGATATCCATGTTGACAAGGGATTTCTTGACTGAAATGTGCCATGTCCAATGAACGAATATATGCGCTATGCAATATTAAGAATTTCTAGTACGGATCAATATTCATATGGATTAGGTTTTGTTGTACAGTCAATAATAGTATATATACGCATATATGTGTGTGTGTGTGTGTGTGTGTGTGTGTGTGTGTGTGTGTGTGTATAAACAAAAATGGCCCATAATCCCACTGCTGAGATGGCCTCAGTTGATCTTTAAAAACAAAACAAAACAAAAACAAGAAACAAACAAAACAAAGGGGATATCTGCACTGGGTTGGGACATTCAAAAAGCATCAAAAGGCAACAGGCATTACCGCTACAGTTGCTCAAGCCAGAAACTCTGCAGTCTGTGACCCTTCTCCTTCACTGTTTTGCATTCCACAACCAAACCCTGATCATGACCTGTCGATTCTGCCTCTACACATAACTGATCCACCCCCTTCTCTCCTCCCCCACCAGCAGCCTCCTGATTGTTCATCTGGACGATTCCAACAGCCTCCTTCTGCCCTCCCAACTCACACCCACACCTGTTTTCCTCTAAGCCCACTTCTACATGGCACCAAGAATGGCTGTTTCCTTCTGGAGCCCACAGGCCCTGCGTGCTGCCTCCAGCCTCCTTCTACCCTCACTAACCCTTCACCTCATCCACGCCAGGTGCTTGGACCCATTGCAGAGCCTTGGCCCAGGCTGAGCAGTTGGCTCCTGTGCACAGGCTCCCAAGCTGGCTCCTCTCATCCTTCAAGTCTCAGCTTAAACAGCAATGCAGAAAGACCCTTCCTGACTACCCAAGCCAAAAAGGTGTCATCTCTGTTTTCATGCATATCAGTCCTACTTTTGCTTTTTTTTTTTTTTTGAGACGTAGTTTCGCTTTTGTCACCCAGGCTGGAGGGCAGTGGCACAATCTCAGCTCACTGCAACCTCTGCTTCCCAGGTTCAAGCAATTCTCCTGCCTAGACTCCTGAGTAGCTGGGATTACAGGCATGCACACCACACCCAGCTACTTTTTGTATTTTTAGTAGAGATGGAGTTTCACCATGTTGGTCCGGCTGGTCTTGAACTCCTGACCTCAGGTGATCTGCCCTCCTCAGCCTCCCAAAGTGCTGGGATTACAGGCATGAGCCATCGCACCTGGCCCTGCTTTTGCTTCTTAATGGTACCTATCGCATACATTTACAATGCTCTCACTCATCTGTGTACTTGGCTCATCCCTGTCTCCCCATGGGGCCACGAGCTGCAGAGGGCAGGAGGTGACCCCATCTCACACCCCACTGCATCCTAGCACCAACTCCACATCAGGTGAACGTATGTGTCAGGCGTCGTGTTGAGTGTTGCATATGCATGCATTCTCATTCAATCTTCACCTGCAAAGTAGGTTTTTTTTCCCCCCATTTTGTATATGAGGAAACTAAAGTTTGGAAAGGTTAAGTAACAAGCCCAGGTCACACAGTTGGGGAACAACATGGCCAGGACTCACCTCCGTGTGTCTGGCCCCCATCCATGCTGTCCACACTGCACTGTCCTCTCTCACTTGTGCTGCCTGGTTCCTCCCTTCCCATGGTGCACATCTGCTGAGTGAATGCAATGACAGTGGCACAGCAGGTTTAAGCAGAGAAGGTGCCAGGTCTCGTCCCGAGTCTCACCCAAGTTCTTACCATGTAGGCCACTGACGCCAGCTCACAGATGATGCCCTGAGTGCCGAGCTCCATCACATCAATCAGTCCTGAAACATCAGCACACACACAACACATTTCAAAAAGTATATAAACATTTTCCTTATGAAACTAGAACTTATTTTAAGAGAACCCAAGAATGCCCCCAAGAAGCATAACCTGGTGGCAGAATTCACTGCGTGTGCTGAGAAGCCCAGACATCCTTCCCTGAGCAGTTACCATGACCATGATCTCAGGCAGCTCAGATTAACACAGCCTCATTCTACAAATCCCTACTCCGCCAGGAAACAAAATATCAGGTTCAAGGTAGAAAAAAGAATGGCCAGGTGCAGTGGCTCCCACCTGTAATCCTAGTACTTTGGGAGGCTGAGGTGGCAGGATCACCTGAGCCCAGGAGTTTGAGACCAGCCTGGGCAACATAGTGAGACCCCCATCTTTACAAAAAAAAAAAAAAAATTAGTTGGGCGTGGTGGCACACTCCTGTAGTCCCAGCTACTCAGGAGGCTGAGGCCGGAGGATCACTTGAGCCCAGGAGGTCGAGGCTGTAGTGAGCTGTGATTGCACCACTGCACTCCAGCTTGGGTGACAGACTGAGACCCTACCCCCACCCCCAAAAAGCATAAAAAAGTGAGGCTGTTAGAGTTGCAAGTCACTCCGTAGAGAGACATGGGGTCACATGGTGGGAGGGGAGGCAGAAGGCTGCAGAACTCTACAGATAGCTGATGGGACTGTTGATGTGTTCAAGTGTCCATGGAAATGGCAACGTTGTCACTGTCACCCTCTGCATCGACTGTTACTTTACTAATAACAAGATGGCTAAGGTAAATATCTATGGCAAAAATTATTACAGTTCCAACAGAAACATAGGCCATGGCTAAAACAGGGCTAAATCCGTCACCCTGAGTACATACAACTCTTAGAAATTTGGCTTGGGCTAGGCATTGTGGCTCATGCCTGTAATCCCAGCACCTTGGGAGGCCAAGGCAGGTGGATCACTCAAGGTCAGGAGTTTCAGACCAGCCTGGCCAACACGGTGAAATCCCATCTCTACCAAAAATACGAAAATTAGCCAGGCGTGGTAGTGCACGCCTGTAGTCTCAGCTACTTGGGAGGCTGAGCCAGGAGAGTCGCTTGAACCAGGGAGGCGGAGGTTGCAGTGAGCCGAGATCACGCCACTGTACTCCAGCCTGGGTGACAGAGCGAGTCTCTGTCTCAAAAAATAAATTAAAATTAAAATTAAAAAACAATTTGGCTTGATACCTGGCAAAAGTCAGCTGAGGCACAAGCTAGTTCATGAGGCCTGGGGTGGGGCTTTTGTTCCTTCAGTTGGTGACCTCTGACAAACCTCTGACCGGCAGCTTCCCTTTCCTCACTTACAAAATGAAGGGTACTGCAGCAGAGCCAAAACCCCACCCAACCTGAGTCTGCTAATGATGGGATGAGGGCTTAAACCTATATTGAAAAGCTCCACAAGAGCCTGATGAAATGAGGCAGGACAAAGAAGCAAAGCTGGAGCTTCCTGGGAATCTCTGGAGATGTGACTGGCCGGGCTGAGGACAGCTTTCAGCTGGACTGCTGACAAACCTGCAAGGAAGTTTCCGATCTCAAAGGTCCACTGCTCAGTGCACACCATGAACATACTGGGAATAACCAGGTGGATGTAGGAGCCCCACTCCTGGAAGCACTCCCTCGTCCAACCTAGGGAACAGGAAAGAAAACAGGCGTTTGTTTTTCAACAGTCTCTGGCACCAACAATTCTATTTCACATACCTGTACCCTGCAAATGGCCAGAGACTAGGCGCAACCTCAGTTCTCCAGCAAAATATAAAGATGCCAAATGGATTGAGATGGCAGGCACTAAGCTGGCAAGACTCAGTAGATGCCCTTTCACCCACACATTCTACTCCCGGGTATAAATGGCAGAGGGATTTTTGTAGACCTCTATAAAAAAACATATAGAATATTCCCTGTGGCAGACGTTAGTTGAGGGGTGTGGGAGACAACATGGAACTAGAGGAATAAAATATGATAGATGCACATTATGATTAAAAGCAAAACTGATGTATATATAGCAATGTGGATTTTTTTTTTTTTTTTTTTTTTTTTTTTTTTTTTTTTTTTTTGAGACGGAGTCTCGCTCTGTCGCCCAGGCTGGAGTGCAGTGGCGCGATCTCGGCTCACTGCAAGCTCCGCCTCCCGGGTTCACGCCATTCTCCTGCCTCAGCCTCCCGAGTAGCTGGGACTACAGGCGCCCGCTACCACGCCCGGCTAATTTTTTGTATTTTTAGTAGAGACGGGGTTTCACCGTGTTAGCCAGGATGGTCTCGATCTCCTGACCTCGTGATCCGCCCGCCTCGGCCTCCCAAAGTGCTGGGATTACAGGCGTGAGCCACCGCGCCCGGCCGCAATGTGGATATTTTAAAATACACTATGTATTTAAAATACATAGTGCTCACCAGCAACAAAAGTAAACATAGATAAAACTTGTATGCATCAAAGGACACAATCTGCAGAGTGAAAGGGCAACCCATGGAATGGGAGAAAATATTTGCAAATCATATAAGGATATCTGGATATCATAATGTCCAGAATACATAAAACATTTCTATGGCCAGGCGCAGTGGCTCACGCCTGTAATCCCAGCACTTTGGGAGACCAAGGTGGGTGAATCACCTAAGGTCAGGAGTTCGAGACCAGCCTGGCCAACATGGTGAAGCTCCGTCTCTACTAAAAATACAAAAAATTAGCCAGGCGTGGTAGCAGGCACCTGTGATCCCAGCTACTCGGGAGGCTAAGGCAGGAGAATCGCTTGAATCTGGGAGGCGGAGGTTGCAGTAAACCGAGATTGCGCCACTGCACTCCAGCCTGGGCAACAGAGCGAGACTCCATTTCAAAACAATAACAACAACAACAACAACCAAAATTCCTATACCCAACAACAAAAAAAGAAGTAACCTGATTTAAGAAAAGGGAGGGCAACAGACTTGAAGAGACATTTCTCCAAAGATGATATATAAATGGTCAACAAATATATGAAAAGATGCTCAACATCTTTGTATTGGAAAATAACCATGGAGTGTCTTCCATAGGTCATATTTTATCACAACAAATAGAACCATGCCCCGCTCTGGCATACAGAGCCAGGGACTCTGTCTTCCTGTCTATTTTTCCATTCCACTCCCCTACCCAATCCTCCATTTTACCCTTTGTTAATCCATTCCTAAATTTTCTTCTCCTTTTCCCCGCTATCCCCAAGCTTCCCTGTGTACATCTGTTGGGGAAACCTCTAAGAGACGCTTTCTGAGGTCCACCTCCCAGGAGAACCTGGGTGGCCCAGGCCTCCTGTTTCTGGACATGGGTCAACCAACTGGTGCTCACACCTCCCTGTGGGACTCCAGCTTCCCGGGCCAGTGCCTCGTCCAGCTTTCTGACAGAAGGTGTGTTTCACTGATGTGTTCTTATGTTCCATCTTCAGCCAGCCTTTAAAGATTTTCTGGCCACACTGAGGAGCCTGGCTCTGGCTCTAGGCACAGAAGTGTCCCCCAGTGAGGGACCAGTGAATTGATAGTGTTTTCTTTCTGGGACCCTCATCTCCTCAAGCTTCATAAGGATGCAATTGGGCTCAGTTTCTTACAATTCCAAGATGCTAGGAGAATCCCTAAGGTGTCTGCCCTACTCTGTCTTTGCTGGGGTGGCCCCTTTCAGCCTTCACAGACCACAGCAACTCCCTTCTCTAGGCGAATTCCACCTCAACACACAATCAGCTTACACATCGCTTCTTCCCAGGCACCATCCCTATCTCTCCACCCACTAACCCACTGACCTTCCTTCCAACAGCCTGAGCCAGCTGCTTCTCCTGTGAGGTCCTGTGGCACCCAGTTCTCATCTGGCACACAGACCACCTGAACACCCAACTCTATTGCCTGTCCACCTGTCCATATTCCCTCTACCAGACGATTTCACTCTCGCTATCCCCAGTCCCAGGGACAGGAGACAGCAGACAGCAGACATTCAGTATGTGTTGAATTCAGGGGTCGTGACTTACACCACTCTGAAGTCCAGGGCATACAGCAAGAGGGCATTCATGCCCACGTTGATGACATTAGCTGCAATCCTGGTAATAACTTGAGGCATGCTGATGCCCTAAAACCCCCAAACAAATAGGAAAACATTCACATTTTCGAAAGCTAATTAGCTAGCCTATCAAGTGAACACTCACAGTTAAACAGGGAACAGTTTAAATGATGGCAAAGTTACTCAGGACTGGAATGGTCAGGAGCTGAGATGACCAGATTAGTCTCCTCCGTTGGTGCATTATCTGCCTATCCCAACCAGAAGCTTGCAACTGCTTCTGAATAACCTGGTAGGTCATGGTTTCCAGAAGAGCAGCAGAGAGAAAAAACCTCCTGAAGGGCAAATGGGCCCTGGCATGAAGTGAAGGAGAGGCAGCTTGGAAGATATCTGTGCCAAGTTGCTAAAGTTCTTGCATACAAGACACCCAGCAATGCCTGCTTCATAGCAGGTGTGCAGAACATGTTCACCCTATTGTTGTAGGCGCCAGTCACTCATTTCTTTTGTTTATCCTGTCTATTCAAACATTTTCTTTCAGTAAAACCTCTCTTTCATTCCTGCATTGAAACAGAGAGCTGACTGTTACCAAAGCTGGGTAAGGCAAGAGGGCTGCGGCCTCAGATGGGCGAGAAGGGACCCGGGGAGGCAGAGCTCTGCTTCTCTCCACTGTCCACCCAAATCTTGCCCTCAGACTCCTTCGCTGCTCCCTAGTGGCTGTAGGGACCCCAGGCCCTCCTCTCTAAAGCAGAAGCACAGGAGCCAGGCCCCAGGCCAGATGCAAAGCTGGCACCAGCCCCAAGAGAGGGGAGGGGTCGGGGCAGGGGTCGAAGCAGGTGGTGGTGATTGAAAGGGGAATGGGATGGATTGATACAGCCGTCTCTCTTGGGCTAGACAAAATTCACCTACAAGGCCTCAATCTCTCAGGCAAAGAACTCTAAGGTAGAATTACAGGGGGAAAAATGTGAATTACTGTTATAGAACATTCCCTACGAATATTTACTAGACATTTCCAGGATTATGGAGTAAAAATTGTAAAAAGAATCTATACCTGACTTTGTAAATATCTTGTCTGCAGCTGGAACAAGAATGCTGCCTGTAAGTTTAAACAGAAAAACAAACACTTCTCATTAATATAAATTCCAACGGTTTAGTTTAGTTCCGGTTTTTAATCTTAAATAAGACACTTCCCCTTGATGTATGATCTCAGAGAACCTCACTCACATGAGACAATGCTAGGGCACTATTTGGAATTTTCCAGAGTGGATAAAAGATGTACTCCCTGAAGAATTGACACAGGCCGATTCCAACTGGCTGAGGCAGAAGCCACCGTCTTGACATTTCGAACGGCTCCGAGGGTGCCCGAATGCAGCACTCCCCAAATCCTAGATGATCCAGAAACATTCTGGTTGATTTGCAATCAAAAATAACCATAGAACAAGGAATCAGGAAGGAAATGTCTTCCCCTCATCAATCTTTGTCTTTTTTTTTTTTTTTTTGAGACAGAGTCTTGCTCAGTCACCCAGGCTGTAGTGCAGTGGCACGATCTGGGCTCACTGCACGCTTCGCCTTCCGGGTTCACGCCATTCTCCTGCCTCAGCCTCCCGAGTAGCTGGGACTACAGGTGCCCGCCACCACGCCCGGCTAATTTTTTGTATTATTAGTAGAGACGGGGTTTCACCATGTTAGCCAGGATGGTCTCGATCTCCTGACCTCGCGATCCACCTGCCTCAGCATCCCAAAGTGCTGGGATTACAGGCATGAGCCACCGTGCCCGGCCCAATCTTTGTCTTTAATTTAAGCTACTGTACACCAGAGTGGTACATGTCCTGAGAGTCAGCAAGGGAGGGACGACAGGGCCAAGAAATACATGTCGGGCTTTTGGCATGAACTGCACCAAGATGGAGAAACAAGAGCCGGGGGAAGGGGCATGTGCAGGGCGACACATGTGAGCTGCTTCATGTAGTGAGACACAACAGCCTTGAAACTTACAGGAAGGGCAGGAATGAAAATCAGCACATAAATTTGGGCTATCCTGAAACAAACAAAATAGTCTTCAGTTAATATTAAAACAGTTGCTGGTCATATTGTCTTCAAATTGAACCCACAGAGTATTTTCTAAAAATTAAAATTAAAAATTATTTACTTTTTAGAGACAGGGTCTTGCTCTGATGCCCAGACTGGAGTAGAATGGCACCATCATAGCTCGCTGTAACCTCAAACTCCTGGGCTCAAGCAATCCTCCTGCCTCAGCCTCCCAAAGTGCTGGGATTACTATAGACGTGAGCCACCACACCCGGCCTAAAAATGAGAGAAACTTAATAACAACTTTTAAGTGTTTTTCTTCAACCTACACAAACATGACACTAAGTCTACTAAATGTCTGCTATCTAAGGGGCAGTCTGACCACTTTCCATTTTTCAGCTCATTCTTAGCATGAAAACTAAAACTTGGGCAAAATTCAGAAACCATTGGAAAGTGTCAGGGTCACCTAACAGTGAGCGAGACAGTCTTCTAGAAAGGACCACGCACCCCAAGGACAATACCAGAGAATACACTGGAATTATAGGTTAAAGAAAAAACCCAACACTAAAGTCATACGTGAAGGCGATTACACTGCTATTCTACTTCAGGGGAAAAATATTTTCTGCATTTGCCAGACAGCAAAATGGAGGGACTCGGTGAACGGGAGACAGGCCAGGCACACAACACCCTGGTCCTGTATCTTGTCACCCTGAGTCAGGTGGTCCCTGCAGCCCCCAGACCCTGTGGCCCACAGTCACAGCTTTCATTTTGTTGTTGTTGTTGTTGTTGTTGTTGTAGTTGTTGTTTGAGACGGAGTTTTGCTCTTGTCACCCAGGCTGGAGTGCAATGGCACGATCTTGGCTCACTGCAACCTCCGCCTCCCAAGTTCAAGTGACTCTCCTGCCTCAGCCTCCCAAGTAGCTGGGATTACAGGCACCTACCACCACGCCTGGCTAACTTTTTTGTATTTTTAGTAGAGACGGGGTTTCACCATGTTGGCCAGGCTGGTCTCGAACTCCTGATCTCAGATGATCCACCTGCCTCGGCCTCCCAAAGTGCTGGGATTACAGACGTGAGCCACTGTGCCTGGCCAGCTTTCATTTTTGAAAGGGATCAAGACCATGTAATTGGCCGAAAATGTCCACACAGGTACAATGACCAGATAGCCACTTACTCTTAACCTAGGATTGGGAAACAGGGGACCTCACCTGGAGACTTCGGGTCTTGTTTTAAGAGCAGGAGGATGCGCTCGGTGTTGACCAAGTCGGCCCAGCAGGGAAAGCAGCACAGCATAAGGATGAGGACCCCTCTCTGAAGTATGATCCCCACGCGCTTGAGGTTCTTGACTCCAAAGGACTTGAGAAAACAAATGCACTGCTAACAGCATATGCCAGGCAGGCCGAGGCTGGGGGCCTGCGCCACAAGCAACCCCTCCCAGGGGCGCCTGCCCGGCGCCCAGGCAGTCCGGTTTCCCATCATCTGCTCCCGCCCTCCCCACCAACAGCTGACAGCATTGGGGGAGCTTCTGAGCCAGGGACAACCACAGAGGCCCCTGTGGCATTTTACACATGTCCTGGGACAATGTGTCCCTGCTCCCAGGAGCTGGGACTGTTAACATGGAGGGTAGAGGCAGCAGAAACTGAAGCTTAAAAGAGAGTTTTCCACATGGGGGAGACAGATGCTGCAGGAGAATGTGTGCCATTGTAGAAGGTGAAGTTGTGGGGGACTCTGAGGGCCAGGGATACCCGGGGAGGGTGCAGTGGAAGAAAAGCACACACTGTAGGCTGAGAAGGGCAGCTAGCAGGGTGGCAAGAACTTCGGGGGGCGGGAGGTCATGGAGGCCAAGGCAGTGCTCTAGAAAGCAGGGATGGCCAAGTGGATTAAGGACGGCCAAGCGCTCACCTGAGGATTTTGTCACAGGAGGCCGGGAAGAGGCCAGGCCCAGTGGACTGGGCAGGAACAAACAAGGCATCAATAGGGGCTGAGTCGGGAGTGCAGGCCAGGCCCGAGTGCAAAGAACACCTTCAAGAAGCTTGGCTTGAAGGAGGCCAGCAGGGAAGGAGGGGTGGTGGTAAGGGAGGGCGATTTTAGGGTATGGGAGACCAGACTGGGAGGAACAAAGGACAAAATGCCCTTGAGCAGGTGGCCCCAGAGGACAGCACTAGTCAAGCTGACTCTGCTGTTTTGTTTTTTTGTGTTTTTTTTGTTTTTGTTTTTTTGAGATGAAATTTAGCTCTGTCGCCCAGGCTGGGAGTGCAGTGGCGAGATCTCAGCTCACTGCAACCTCTGCCTCCCGGATTCAAGCGATTCTCCCACCTCAGCCTCCTGAGTAGCTGGGATTACAGGCGCCCACAACCGTGCCTGGCTAATTTTTGTATTTTTAGTGGAGGTGGGGTTTCATGATGTTGGCCAGGCTGGTCTCGAACTTCTGACCTCAGGTGATCTGCCTGCCTTGGCATCCCAAAGTGCTGGGGTTACAGGCGTGAGCCACTGCGCCTGGCTGACCCTGGTTGTGTTTCCAGTCATTAGCAGCTATGTACAGATGTTTGTTCCAGTAGTCCCAGCTACATGGGAGGCTGAGGCAGAAGGATCTCTTGAGCCCGGGAGTTCAAGCCCAGCCTAGGCAACATAGGGAGACCTCGCCTGCAAAAATAAATATAATTTTTTTAAAAAGATGCTCCATGACTTACAATGGGCTACCTAGCTACCTCACAACTGTAAATTAGAAATATCTTGAGTTGAAAATGCATTGAATGCATCTAACCTACCAAACATCACAGTTTAGCCTGGCCCACTTTAAACGTGCTCAGAACACTTACATTAGCCCACAGCTGAGTAAAATAATCTTAGATAAAGCCTATTTGTGATACAGTGTTGACTATCTCATGGAATCTACTGGACGGTACTGAAAGTGGAAAGCAGAATGGTTGTAAGGGGCTTGAAGTGCAGCTACTGAACGCGTGTCACTGTTGTACCATCACAAAGTTTAAAAATCTAAGTCAGGGACCATCTGTATTTGACAAATAAAATGCAACAAAACCCATAGGGTGGATGGTCCTAGAAAGTCTCTATTATGAAAGGTAACTGTCAAAAAACGGTATGTGGGGGAGGGTGGTCCTCACCTGAGACATGAGGGTGTCATAAGCTGAGGCTAAGCCAGTGCCAACTGCAATCCCAGTAACGTTCACCACCTGCAAGAGAACCACAGACCTGGTGTGGCAGACCTTCAGGGGACGACGCCAGTTCAGGGTCGCATCAGACAGCTCCCTCTTCATGGAGGAACCTCAACAAGCTTGTCTCTAAAGGGCAACTCAACAGATGTATGCTGTATTTTAGATCAAATGGGTGTCTACATCTATCCTTATTGATTACTGAACAAAAGTGTACCTTCTAACTAAAGGATGATAACCACCTTGTGTCAACTGGGGAAATATTAAACCTAGTTTTTCTTAAACAGTATAGCACATTATAATTTCTATATTTAAGGTTAAATTGTGGGCCAGGTGCGGTGGCTCATGTCTGTAATCCCAGCACTTTGGGAGGCCGAGGCAGGTAGATCACTTGTGGCCAGGAGTTTGAGACCAGCCTGACCAACATGGTGAAACCCCATGTCTACTAAAAATACAAAATTGGCCGGGCATGGTGGCGGGCGCCTGTAATCCCAGTTACTCGGGAGGCTGCGGCAGGAGAATCACTTGAACCCCGGAGGTGGAGGTTGCAGTAAGCCAAGATCATACCATTGCACTCTAGCCTGGGTGACAGAGTGAGACCCTGTCTCAAAAAAAATAAAAAATAAATAAAGTTAAGTTGTGGTTAACATCTAAAGGTGATGCCCCGATCTGCCAGTAGGATGTGCATTTAGTAATAATAACAGCAAACTTTTATTGAGCACATACTATGTGCCAGGCACTGTCCTAAGCCCCTCATGTGCATAGTGCTAGGACAACTCGTCTCATTTTTTGTTTTGGGTAACCTGAGTTACACAAAGTGTATGTCCCTTGCCCAAGTTACTCAGATGGTGACCTAAGTCTGGGAAGTCTGGCTCCAGATCCCAAGCTTTAGTCCTCCAGTGAGGAACAGGACTAGTTGTGTCACCCTCTTGACCAGACCTCACCCAGTCCCTGACAATTAAGGGCACATAGAGTAGCCTGCAGGTAGGGTGCAGGAGGCATTCAGGACGAGGGGCTGAAAGACCCTCATTTGCGTCCTGGGTCTCACGGTTACTGGTGATGGCAGCCCCAGGTGAGTTAGCTTCTTCACTGACCACGACTCTGGCTTGATAAACACAAACTCCAGCCCCACCACATAACTGACAGGCCATACATGTACTGCCCAGCGGGACCCCATGAGACCAGGGTCTCCATCTAACCGTGCCCCAGGAGGGCTGTGGCACAATGAGGATTTACCCACACAGCAACACTGAATTCCAGCCAGGGCAGAGGGGCATGACTAAAGCTCCCAAACCCCTCGGACTGCCAGGAAAACAGAAAGGTAAAGCATGCTAATTTATGAAGTTTTGTGTTTTAAAAAGTCACACAGAGCTGGGCACGGCGGCTCATGCCTGTAATCCCAGCACTTTGGGAGGCCGAGGTGGGCAGATCACTTGAGGCCAGGAGTTCAAGAGCAGCCCGGACAACATGGCAAAACCCCATCTCTAGAAAATACAAAAATTAGCCAGGAGTGGTGGTATGCACCTGTAGTCCCAACTACTCAGGAAGCTGAGGCACAAGAATTGTTTGAACCTGGGAGGCAGAGGTTGCAGTGAGCCAAGACTGCGCCCCTGCACTCTAGCCTGGGCAACAGAGCAAGACTCTGTCTCAAAAAAAAAAAATATGTCACATAGGAGTGTAGGGGGATGGGGGGGATAGGGAGAGATGTGTTAAAGGATACAAAGTTACAGTTAGGCAGAAGGAATAGGCTCCTGTGTTCCACCACACTGCAGGGTGACTGCAGGAAACAATCACAGATAGCTTCAAATAGCTGGAAGGATACTGAAGCCTGGGCAACATGACCAGACCCCATCTTTACAAAAATTTTAAAAATTAGTTGGACATTGGCCGAGTGTGGTGGCTCACGCCTGTAATCCCAGCACTCTGGGAGGCTGAGGCAGGTGGATCACCTGAGGTCAGGATTTCGAGACCAGCCTGGCCAATACGGTGAAACCCTGTCTCTACTAAAAATACAAAAATTAGCTGGGTGCGGTGGCACATGCCTGTAGTCCCAGCTACTCAGGAGGCTGAGGCAGGAGAATCGTTTGAACCCAGGAGATGGAGGTTGCAGTGAGTCACTGCACTCCAGCCTGGGTAACAGAGTGAGACTCTGTCTCAAAAAAAAAAATTTTTTTTGCTGGACTTGGTGGCACACAACTGTGGTTCTAGCTACTTAGAAGGCTGAGGTGGGAGGATCACTTGAGCCCAGGGGTTTGAGGCTGCAGTGAGCTATGATTGCACCACTGCACTCCAGCCTGGGTGACAGGGCAAGATCCTGTCTCAAAAAAAAAAAAAAAAAAGAAATAAAAGAAAAGAAGATATTGAATATTCCCAACACAGAGAAATGAGAAATGTGTTACTCTCCCCCGGGGCTCAGTCTACCCATGTAAAGCAGGACCATGGCCTTGGGCCCCGTGGCTTCTGCTGTCACAAGCTTTTATCAAACTGAGCTCTGACGTTAGACCTCTCGCTTACAACACACAACTTTATAAAAGATAGAACAAAAATTGCTACTCTGTCTCTGGCGACAAGCAGCCCAGAACACCACGCTCCATGTCATGGTGTCTGCCTTCTGAAGGTCAAGGGGAATGTGGCTGAGGCTCAGTACCCAGGCCCGCCCTTCCGCTGAATCAAGGCTTCCATAAAACCTCAGCACAGTTTCCATCCTATCCCATGCCAACTCACCCCTGGCTCCCAGCTTTTCCACCCATGTTTCTTTGACCCAATTCTAACAGCTATTTATTTATCCTTCTTTTAGGGAAGTATTTGTGTAAACTGGTTCAAATTCTTCGTGGAACAAGGTGGACTATAAATAAATGTTCCTTTATTTAAAAAAAAAAAACACATTTTTATTAGTCCTTTTATACTATGAACATTTTTCCAAAGGTAAAAAATTTTGTTTTCACAGTTATCTTAAAAATGAGTCTATTATCTTCCTAGAAGATCTCACTGCAACCTCCGCCTCCCGGTTTCAAGAGATCTCCTGCCTCAGCCTCCCAAGTAGTTGGGATTACAGGCACCCACCACCATGCCTGGCTAATTTTTGTGTTTTTAGTAGAGACGGGGTTTCGCCATGTTGGTCAGGTTAGTCTTGAACTCCTGACTTCAGGTGATCCGCCCGCCTCAGCCTCCCAAAGTGCTGGGATTACAGGTGTGAGCCACCACGCCATGCCTAACCACAGGAATTTCTGTAGCCCGTTCCTGATAAGGGGCTCTGCGCTCTTCCGCCTTTGGCCAAGGGCAGTGGTAGGTCAGCTAAGTTGTCAAGACAATTTTGGCCAACATGGTAAAACCCCGTCTCTACTAAAAATACAAAAATTAGCCAGACACGGTGGTGGGCGCCTGTAATCCCAGCTACTCAGGAGGTTGAGGTGGGAGAATTGCTTGAATCTGGGAGGCGGAGGTTGCAGTGAGCTGAGATCTCACCACTGCACTCCAGCCTAGGCAATAGAGCAAGACTTCATCTCAGGAAAAAACAAAAACAAAAAAAACACAAAAAAACAAAACAGCAGAGTCAGCTTGACTAGTGCTGTCCTCTGGGGCCACCTGCTCAAGGGCATTTTGTCCTTTGTTCCTCCCAGTCTGGTCTCCCATACCCTAAAATCGCCCTCCCTTACCACCACCCCTCCTTCCCTGCTGGCCTCCTTCAAGCCAAGCTTCTTGAAGGTGTTCTTTGCACTCGGGCCTGGCCTGCACTCCCGACTCAGCCCCTATTGATGCCTTGTTTATTCCTGCCCAGCCCACTGGGCCTGGCCTCTTCCCGGCCTCCTATGACAAAATCCTCAAGTGAGCGCTTGGCCGTCCTTAATCCACTTGGCCATCCCTGCTTTCTAGAGCACTGCCTTGGCCTCCATGACCTCCCGCCCCCCGAAGTTCTTGCCACCCTGCTAGCTGCCCTTCTCAGCCTACAGTGTGTGCTTTTCTTCCACTGCACCCTCCCCGGGTATCCCTGGCCCTCAGAGTCCCCCACAACTTCACCTTCTACCATGGCACATGTTCTCCTGCAGCATCTGTCTGCCTCCCATGTTGAAAACTCTCTTTTAAGCTTCAGTTTCTGCTACCTCTACCCTCCATGTTAACAGTCCCAGCTCCTGGGAGCAGGGACACATTGTCCCAGGACACGTGTAAAATGCCACAGGGGCCAGCTAGCTCACTGGTTGTCCCTGGCTCAGAAGCTCCCCCAATGCTGTCAGCTGTTGGTGGGGAGGGCGGGAGCAGATGATGGGAAACCGGTCTGCCTGGGCGCCGGGCAGGCGCCCCTGGGAGGGGTTGCTTGTGGCGCAGGCCCCCAGCCTCGGCCTGCCTGGCATATGCTGTTAGCAGTGCATTTGTTTTCTCAAGTCCTTTGGAGGCAAGAACCTCAAGCGCGTGGGGATCATACTTCAGAGAGGGGTCCTCATCCTTATGCTGTGCTGCTTTCCCTGCTGGGCCGACTTGGTCAACACCGAGCGCATCCTCCTGCTCTTAAAACAAGACCCGAAGTCTCCAGGTGAGGTCCCCTGTTTCCCAATCCTAGGTTAAGAGTAGGTGGCTATCTGGTCATTGTACCTGTGTGGACATTTTCGGCCAATTACATGGTCTTGAT